>NC_000023.11:153869545-154172575 GCF_000001405.40 Homo sapiens
AGCAAGAGCCCGTGCCGGTTGCGGGCCTCACATTGGGTCACCATTGTGTCACTGGGCTGCACGTTGCTCAGGATCAGGGCGCCACGCTGAATCCGGTACTTCTGGTCTTTGGCCAGCTCTGTGCATGCAGCAGGTGGGCCCATGGGCCACAGCCCGGCATTGAGCTGCGTTGAGGCCCTTCCTCACCCTCCTCTTCCTCTCCCCCACAGCCCCCAGGGCTCGCCACACTCCCCACTCCTGCCTGAGGCCCTGCTCACCCTCCACAGGGATCCCGTTGATTCTCCAGGTGACCTCTGGTTGGGGCCTGCCCTGGACTTGGCAGTCCAGGCGGGCAGTCTCTCCTGGCCCATATAGATGGCTCTGGGGCTTGTGCAGCCAGTACGGGGCAGCTGGGAGGAAGGGGAGAGCCGCCCTGAGCCCGCAGCCAGCAGCTGGCTCTTGACCCGGCGCAGACCCTCCCCTCCCCCATGACAGTGGGCATCACAGGCCACTGTCCCAGGAGGTCCATACCCTCCACGGTGACATAGTACGCATGCCGGGCACTGCCCAGTGAGTTCTCGGCCAGGCAGCGGTACTCGCCATCATCCTCCTCGCCCACTTTCAGCAGCTGCAGGGTCTTGTTGTGGTTCTGGTAGGTGACACGGTCGGCTGGCATGGGGCCACTGGGGCGCAGCCATTTGATGGTGGGCGTGGGACTGCCCGGGAGGCAAAGGGAAGAGAGCAGAAGGGAGAAAGGACAAGGCCAATCACCCCAGCCCCCTATACCCCGCGGTGGTCTGAGCTCCCTGCTAGGGCTCCGCCACCCTGCCCTGCCCTGCCCTGCCCTGGGTTCCCAGACTCACAAGCCCTCGGCGATGCACTCCAGGACCAATGGCTGCCCCTGCAAGGCCACCAGGTGGCTGCTGGAGTTGGTGGGGAAGAGCAGGCGCGGCTTCCTGTCAATCATGCTGTTGGCTGCCAGGAGAAAGTGGGTGGGTGGGCTGCCCACTCTTCCCTCCACCCCAGAATTGCAAGGCTGAGGGACTCGACACTCCAGCCAGCCCCCGGGGCCTCTGTGTCTTCCTCCATTAAGGAGAGTGTCCTGTCTCTGCTCTCGACGCCTGGGAAGGGGTCTGGGCAGGGTAGAGGTGGGAGCCAAGCTGTTCTTGAGGAAGCCTGGAGTTGTCAGATGGACCTATGGTGGGAAGGGCCATGCCTGAGGGTGAAAGGAGTCAGGGAGAGAGTGCAGAGCCTCTGAGACTCACTGGCCTTGACCCGGAGGTCAATGGGTTCCTTCTGAATGATGGTCCTGGTGCCTGGGAAGTGGGCGTGGCAGATGTAGTCTGAGTGGTTGTCGGAGGTGAGCACATTGGCAAAGTAGAGGTTGCCGTTCTGGCCCATCGTCACCCGCTCGTCCTGCTTGATGTGCAAGATCTCTGCAGGGGGCAAGGAGGCCGAAGTCATGACCCCGTCCAGGAAGACACCCCCGCTAACACCCCGACCCCACGAGGCAGCCGCTCGCCGGCACCCACTGCTGTTCATCCAGTAGATCCGGAGAGGCTCTGCACTTGGGGGAGGGTTGCAAGGCAGAACCACTGACTCCCCTTCCTCCACCTCCACGGGCTTCACTGTCTCCTTTGGCCACTTGGGGGCACCTAGAAGGGACAGACGGGCTGACACTCTCCTCCTGGTCCAGATGGTGCTAGGCAGGAGAAGGGAGGTGGGGGCAGGGGGGTGGCGGGCTACACCAGGGATGGACGAGGGGGCGAGAGGGTCAGGCCAGTAGAAACTTCACAGAAAAGGAGGCAGACACTCTGGATACCTTCTGGACTCATAGCAGAGACTAGCACTTAGGGAGGCCAGGGTGAGCAGGAGACCAGGAGGCCAGGAAGGGTTAACCTTCCACGGTTCTCAGCTCTCCCTGCCCACCCTAGGAAAGGACGGGTGGGGGGAGGCTGAGGCTGAGGTGCAGTGATGGGGGAGGGGAGCTGTGGAGGGATGCAGGAGTCACAGACCCTTCCATCATCCTGACACAGAAACCATGGCAACGGTTCCCAAGGTAACTGGAGGGGTGGGGAGGGGAGAGGAGAGCGCTCAGGAAGCAGAAAGCTCAGGGAGGATGGAATGCAAAGGGAAAACCCCAGGGAAAAGGCGACACAGATCAAGACAGAGCCGTGGAGCAAGAGAGACCAAGTCGGAGGTGGAGGGGAGGAGATGGAGAGCCAAGTGGAAAAGCCAGAGAAGAGGGGCCCTGCTAAGGAGTGCAGGTGTAGACAGAGATGACTGCAGTGACTCAGGCAGGTCTGCCCAGAATCAGTCACTCCCCCCACCAGCCCGCCCCCCCCTCCCCCCGCCACCTTCCTGCTCAGCCATGAGGCAGGCACCAGGAAAGCCTGAGGGAGTGAAAGGGCATGAGATGACCGGAAGTGCAATGGAGACAGAGACAGGGCAAAGGAGGAGACTGCACAAGAAACAAGATGGGCCAGGGGAGAAGCTGGGGTGGGGTGGAGGGCTGGCAGGACACCCAGGCCCCTCGCCACGAGACAACTGGCTGACAGCAGCTTCCAGCCCACAATCCCACACGAACTCCGGGACCTGCCCTCCCTGGTCCCTGCAGCGCCTCGCACCCTCGGCCATGAGCCGGATCTCATGGGACATGGCGGTGCCCAGCTTATTGCTGGCAAAGCAGCGGTAGATGCCCTGGAACCTCTGAGCAAAGTTGCTGTTGTTGCCCGTGATGGTGAAGGAGCCAGAGTGGGGCGACTGGTACACGGTCACACCCAGCTCTTCCTTGGGTTTGAAGTGGACACCATCCCTCGTCCAGCGGAACCTGTGGGCGGAAAAAGGCCCAGAGGCCTGAGGCCCTGGAACCCAACGGGGGCTGGAACAGGCTGGAGGGACAGGTGCAAGCAGCCAGGGCCCCCAGGGGATGGACTGGGAGATGGCGAGGACTTGGGGTGATTAGCAAGGTTTGGGGCTTCTGGGCTTAGAAGTTAGGCAGTCCAGGGAGGCACAAGGCCGGGGTCAGTGGCAGGCAACAGGGGCTGAGACGGCAGAGATCACTCACTGCACTTCGGGCTTGCCACTGGCCTCACACTTGAGGCTGATGTCATCTGTGGGGAAGACAACCAGGCGCCGTGGAGACTGTTCCGTGATGACAGGTGGCTCCATCACTGAAGACAGGGTGGAGAGAGCGGTGGTGAGGGTGCTGCCTGGCTGGTGTCATAGCCTCAGCACCTGTCCCATCGTGAGGGAAGCAGGGTCCAGAGCCCCTGGAGGCCCCATGGCCACAGGGGGACGAACGGAGGGGAAGAACAAAAGAGGCTTGTGGGACATGAAAAGAGGGAGAGAGGGGACAGCCACGTAAGTTACAAAGAGATGCCTGAGAAAGACAAAAAGGGTATGACAGAAAGAAGCGGGGGCAACAAAAGCCAAGACACAGAAACCAAGAAGGACAAACCCCAGACAGGGGAGAAGGGACCAGAGAGAATGGCAGAGAGGAACAGTGAGGGTGACAGAGTACCCAGGCTGGGGCAGAGACAGAACAAAGCCAGCCCCACACAGGTGAGAGAAGCACATGGTGCTCAGGGAGAGCCGAGCAGGGCCCCGGCACTCAGGAGGGCGGGGGTGCAGGCTCAGCTGAGGGCCTCCTTACCCTTCTCCTTGGCCTTCTGGGAAACACTCTCACCCCTCCCCAACTTACCATGGTGTCCTTCATCTGAGAAATCCAGGCAGGCAGCAAGGGAGGGAATGGAGAGAAATACTGACAGGCAGCCCCAGAGTGGGGCAGATGGCAGGGGACATAGTAAGCTCCTGCAGCCCCCCCGTGGAGAGGGAATGGCAGGAGAGGAGGCCCTGGCAGTGGCAACAAGGGGGCACACGCTGGGCTGGAGCAGTGGCAGGTCAAGCCCAGGGAGATGGGACAGAGAGATGCCCAGGGAGAGGAGCTCCACTGGATAGACACACAGGGCATGTAGCCCAGAGGCAGCCAGGCCATGCCTCCAGCTCTAGCAGACAGGGAGAGAGAAATTCTTGCCTTTAACAAGGAGTGTCCTTGCAGCCCCCTGGCAGGGCCTGGCAGGGCCTGCAGAACTGACCCCACCCATTCAGGATGCCTTGGAAGGCACCGTCCCCTGCTCCAGCCTGCTTCCCTCCTAATCCAATTAGCACAGCTGAGTGTTTTCAATTACCAGGGCCCAGCCTTCAGAGCCCTGCTGCCCCCTCCCCCTGAAAACTATCCCAAAGGCCCTGCTGCCTCTGAGTTTCCATAGCCTGCGGGGTTGGCGCCAGCCCTCCTCTTCTCCCTCCTTCCTCCCAGACAGCCACCAAGCTCTCTGGGGCAGAGGCCAGAGCTGCTGTCCCAGCCCCAGGACTCTGCAGAGCACTGGCCAGGGCGGCCTCGAGGAAGGGAGAAGAGGGAGGGAGGGAGCAGCAGGCTGCCTCTGAAAGCTTTGTCTCTGCAGAAGACCTCAGTGTGAAGGTCCAGGGAGGGAGGAGGGGGCTCCCTGGGGACACTGCAGAGGGCCCTGAGCTGGGGAGGGAGATGGTGACAGGGATGACAGGATGCAGAAAGCCAACTAGGTGGAGGAAGCAGGAAAAGAGACAAAGGGGGCTGGAGTGGCTGGGGAGGGAGAGATGGAAGACAGGTTCCAACAGGGAGGGCCGGCTGCCTGCCACTGCCCACTGTGTCGTATCAGGGTCAAGAACAAGTGCTGGTCAGTGACCAGGGCAGCCTTGGAGCTGCCATGGCCTTTTGGCCTAGTTCTCTCTCCCCACTCCCATCTTTCTGTAGAGAATGCACGGCTTGCATTCCACTGTACAGTGTTATATTGTGTATCCACCTCTGTGTCCTCTGGGTCTAAAAGCCTCACTGGTGTGTGTTTCCACCTGTGTGGCCTCTCAGCGGCTCTGCTCCTTCATCCCTGCACCTGCCTTGTCTTCATGCACCTGTGTGCATGTGTCCATGTGCATCTGTACCAAGGGAGTCTGCCTGGCCCTGGCCCTCCATGTATGTGTCTAAGGGGCCAGCCCCTTTACCTCCTCCAAGCCCTCACTGCCTCCCAACGCCAGGTGCCTCCCCAGCCTCTCTCTCGCAGCCCCTGTCCCACTGCTGGCACAGACAGTCTTCCCAACCCCTATCCGCCAACTCGTCTCTCAGTGACACTGGCCTCCTCCTTGTCCAGGCCCAGAGACAAAGGTGTCAAGGTGAGGCTGGGAAGGGACTGGAGCCTGGTAGCTCAAGAGACACAAATGCCCTCACACATGATACCCTGTGACATGCCCCTCACACGGCCTGACAGCTACTTACAGGAGAAAACACCATCACGGTAACACCCCCCACACGCAAGTGTGTACTTACATTCAGCCCCACTCACACATACACATGACCCAATGCAATCAAATGTCGTGGTCAAATACCTCCCGACCTCCACAAGCCTGGCCAGTAAGTAACAGAGTGACTCACACAGTCACCCATGTAAGGAAGTCAAAATCACATTCACGAATATCTACGCTCAGTCAATCACAAGAACACACAGACATACACAGTGTATCCATGCTTAATCACAACCCTACGGCCACACTCCCCAACATCCACTCACCTGCTTGTGCCCCCAACAAATGTTACAACCATAGACACATGCTCCAGCAGCCCTGCCCCCACCCCCACCAAATAACTACACACAAAAAAGGGTCCAGAAGGCTGCTGGGCTGGGACCAGGGTTTTTCAAGCCACCTTTTCCTGTCTCAGTTCAGAGACAGGGTGACCAAGGGCCCAGGAGGGGAAAGAGAAATGGGGACAAGACTTGAACACAGGCCTTTGCACAAGCCAGCTGAGGGCTGGGGACGACCCCATTCTCCTGCTGCCACACCCCTGTGGTGGGGGATGGAAGCGGAGGAGTCGGAGTGGGGCGGGCAGAGATGGGGCGGGCTAAGGAGAGCATGGAGGAGGCCCAAGACCTCGGGGCCCTGCTCCAGGTTCGCTGTCCCTGGTGCTGAAATCGCCCCGGCGGCCGCGCCTGTCCCTGTCCATGGTCCTGACACGCCCCGCACCTTCTACCCTGCCCTTCTCTCCGGGGGTACCCAACGTCCTGGCTATCTCCTGCCCACCCTGTGCCCAGGAAAGGCCAGGGAGAGGAGTCAGGGTCCGGAACAGGGAGAAGGTGAGGAGGTAGAAGATAAAGAGGGGCCCAACATAGCGGCGAAGGTAGGCGCCCAGGCTCCCTTCAGCTACTCACATTCCTCGGGGATCTGGATAAGCAGGCAGGGGCTGCAGAGGAGGAGAGGCCACACGTACCGCAGCGCCACGACCATCTTTCCCGGCGGCACCGCGCAGCACAGCCAGCCGGGCTCGGTTCAGGCTCCGGCCGGAGGGGAAGGGGGCTGGTGGGCGGCTTGGGGCGGGAGTTGGGAGTGGGGGCACTGGGAGAGGGGAGAAGGGAAGGGAAGGGTGGGGGAAGAGAGACGAGAGAACGGAAGGACGTTAGTGACTAACATCTGGGTAAGCCCGGGCTCTTGGCCCCGCCCTCAGCCCCGCCCCCAGCTGGCCGGCTTCTCCAGCCCTCCCCTCCCCATCCGCACCCCTCCCCACCTTGGAGGGAGAAATCTGGAAGAGATAGCCCTGGCTGGGCCTCTAGGTTGCCTTTTATTCCCTCTCTACTCTCTGTCTGCACCTTTCCTGCCAGCTGCCTTCCCAGCACCAACTTGTTGCCCCATCAGCTCCCCTGTGCATGGCATGCACATCCCCGTATGTGTCTGCATGTGCAGGTGTCCGTGGGCATGTGTGTGGTTGTGGATCTGCAAGCAGGGAGTGAGCTGTATGTGAGCTGGTATTTCTGTGGTGTGTCTTCTCTGGGAGGGGTTGCACTCATGAGTGGGTGTGTTAGTGTGTGTGCCTGAGGGAATCAACACACAAGTCTGCTAGCTACGTGTGTCTTCTTGTATGTCTTTATGTATCTGTGGGGATGAATCCCTGTATCTATTATCTCTGTGTGCACACACATGTAGAGAAGAATTCTTCTTGCAGTCACATTGCTATAGCTTTCAGAGCCAACTGATGCCTGGGTGCTGTACAGACCTAAAAAGCTAATGGGGGGATTGGGAAGTGGGATAGAGAAGGGAGGAAAGGGGCCCAAGATGGCAGCATTTCACAAAATAGTTTCAGGAAAATGAAGAAAGAATGGGGAAAGGGCCAGGCGTGGTGGCTCACGCCTGTAATCCCAGTAGTTTGGGAGGCTGAGGTGGGTGGATCTCTTGAGGTTGGGAGTTTGAGACCAGCCTGGCCAACATGGCGGAACCCCGTCTCTACTAAAAATACAAAAAGAAAAAAAATTAGCCTTGGTGGTGGGCGCCTGTAATGCCAGCTACTTGGGAGGCTGAGGCATGAGAATCACTTGAGCCTGAGAGGCGGAGGTTGCAGTGAGCCAAGATCGTGCCACTGCCCCCCAGCCTGGGTGATGGAGTGAGACTCTGTCTAAAAAAATAAATAAAAATAAAAATAAAAGGCCAGGCACAGTGGCTCATGCCTGTAATCCCAGCACTTTGGGAGGCCGAGGTGGGTGGATCACCTGAAGTCAGGAGTTCAAAACCAGCCAGGCCAACATGGTGAAACCCTGTCTCTAGTAAAAATACAAAATTAGGGCTGGGCGTGGTGGCTCACGCCTGTAATCCCAGCACTTTGGGAGGCTGAGGCAGGCGGATCATGAGGTCAGCAGTTTGAGACCAGCCTGGCCAACATGGTGAAATCCTGTCTCTACTAAAAATACAAAAAAAAAAAAAAAAAAAAAAAAAAAAGCCAGGCGTGGTGGCTCATGCCTGTAATCCCAGCTACTCAGGAGGCTGAGGCAGGAGAATCACTTGAACCCAGGAGGCAGAGGTTGCGGTGAGCGGAGATTGCGCCATTGTACTCCAGCCTGGGTGACAGAGCAAGACTCTGTCTCAAAAAAAAAAAAAAAGTTAGCCTGGCGTGGTGGTGCATTCCTGTAATCCCAGCTACTTGGGAGGCTGAGGCAGGAGAATCTCTTGAACCCAGGAGGCGGAAGTTGCAGTGAGCCAAGATCGCACCATTGCACTCCAGCCTGGGCAACAAGAGCGAAACTCCATCTCAAAAAAAAGAGAGAAAGAATGGGGAAGGAAGCCTTCCCTTGAGAACTGGTGTGGGAGAAGAGAGGAAGGAGGAAAACAACCCCCTGCTGCTCCTCAGCCCCCTGGGGGTCAAGAGAGGCCACTGAGGCCTCCTCCCTTCCAGATGCTCCAGGTTAGGGTCAGGACAGGGGTCAGGACAAGCTCTGGGACATTTTCCGTGACAGTGTTTCTAACACTTCTTGTGTGTCTCAAAGTCCCAATTTCTAGGTCTTTGTCTGAGTCTTCAGAGCTCAACTGCTGCATGTGTCCACCCCAAACCCAAGCCACACCGGCCATGTCCATATTCACCTACAAGTAAGGGGAGCCAAAGACTAAGGGTCTGAAAGAGGGGGCTCCTCTGACAATGACAAGAGGAAACAGACTCCCAAGTGGCCAGACCACTTCAATTCCAAACAGGAAGTGGTTAAAGTGCAGGCAAGGCAAGAAAGGGTGTTGTTAGGTGACAGAGCTTGGAGGCTGAAGTCCCAGACTAGACGCCTTCATTAAATCCATACTGTGCATCCTCCCTCTGCCCAGCCAGGACCTTATCAAAGCGGGCACCGAGCCTCAGCAGGAACACCGAAAGGATGGTAGAGAAGTCAGCCATGCTGTGCTAAGGCTCTGGGCCTTGTCAGTTTTGTGTAACAGAGTGACCCAAGAAGAGCTGTGAATGCGGCAGATCCCGTGGGGACTCTGGGCAAGAGCTTGCTGCAGAGGGTGGTGGAGAAGCAGCAGGGTGGGTCAGCGTGCATGGCCTGGAGGCCAAGAGATGACTTGGAGGGTAAGAAGAGTGATTCCCAGCCTGCAAGAGCTGGACCTGGGCCCAGAAGGGAAGAGCAACAGTGGATCTGTTCCACCCCGGCCTCTCCCTACAAAGCCAGTGGATCAGGGGAGGCCCCAGGCAGCACTGGCCTCAACTTCAAGGCCTGTAGGAGCAGTAGGAGACTCGGATCAGAGAGCAGATGATCAAACAGCAGCCTTGGGAGCTCTGAGCACTGGTCTTAGGAGGGGGAGGGGAGGAAACCGGAGCAAGGAAAAGCTCAAAGAAGGACCCTCCTGCATGTCAGAGGCTTTTGGGTGCTCTGGAGGTCGATAATTTCTGCCACGCAAGTTCCTCTATTTGTCCTCCAAATCTAGAATCCTGGAATGGTGTTTGGCATGTACGCTCAGGGGAAATACAATATCCCCAAACCCCTGGTCCCCGCTCCCTGCCCCATCCCAGCCCCATCCCATCTCCCCACAGGCTCATATCCAACTTCTTTTTTGGTCTCCCAGTATTTGCCACCTAGCTTGCCACCGCCCTGGGCAGTCGGAGACAGGCAGGAAGCAGCCAGAAGGTTGCGAGATATAACAGCTGGGAGGGGGCGCTCCCTCCTCTCCTCCCACTGCTGCTGGGTCTCTGATCTCTCACCATTCCTCAGGCAATTACAGAGCAAGCAGCTAGGGTTGTCAGCTCAGCAGGCCCTCTACCCCCCACCAGCACCACTAAGGGCAAAGGAGCGGGGAGGGGGGAGTGTTCCACAGATGGAGCCAAGGCCGGGTCTGCCAAGGGTGACAGACAGAGTGAGAAGAGGCAGGGGGGAGCAGGAGACAAAGACAGACGTAGGAAGACAGCGCTAACCACGATGGAGATGGTTAGGGGGTGGGGAAATTCCGAAACGGAGACCCAGGCAGCAGAGAAAGGGAGAGAAGAGGAAACCGGAGCACAAAGGGTGAGAGGCAGCTGCAGAGTGCGCCGCTGAGAAATGGCAGAAAGAGCGAGAAGAGTGAGGGGTGGGGGTGGGCGTGTGCACGTGCGCGTGCGCGCAGGCCGCCTGCACAGCGTCCTTGTCCCTGGGGGCTGTGCCAGGCAAGGGGCGGGGAGGAGGGAAGATGGGCCTGGGTCAGTGGAGGGGCTTCCCGGCGTGGACGTCACGCTGGCCTGGGAGCAGGGTAGAGAGACAGACAGAGGGTGGAGCAGCTGTGAGCTGGGGCCGGAGGGGCCTACAAAGCCCCACGCAACAGAGCATCAAGGCCCTGCCCACTTGTGGCACTGGGCAAGGGACGGCCGTGAGACAGGATGAATGGCACACTGCTGGCTGACCCATGCCATGCCAGGGAACAGGTGGGGGTCGGGGGATTCCTGCTGCGGGTAGGAACGGGGGGAGGGGGAAGCACCCAGAAAATCCCAGGGAAGCCTTCCAATATTGCTGCTGGCTGGGAGTAAGTGGTCACCTGGCTGGAGGAGACGCACATGTGTTAGGCCAAGAGTGAGCCTGCGTGACCATGCACTGAGTGGACAGTGGCCGCTGTGCTGGGGCAGTTGAAGATGGGGCCATTCCTGAGTAAGTCCGGTCCCAAACCCATCCTCCCCGGTGGGAAAGGGCCAGGGAGGCAAGGGTCACGCCCAGCAGCCTACAGGGAGGGGTTCAGCCCCAGAAGAGCCTTGCCCCATCCCACCCCACCTGGCCTCCCACTACACCCGCAGGTCCCTCAGGGAGTCCTCTGTCCTCTGCTCCAAAGTGCCTGCTTTGGTCTGATGGGAAGCAGCTTGCCAGGGAGGGACCTGGGAGGTTGTGGAGCCTGGCTAGACCTGGAGTGACTGCCTCCTCCCTGAAAACACACACACACACCCCATCACCACCACCACCACACACCTTGAGAAGGGAACCTCCAGCGGTGCCCTGCACATGTGCCCTGCACACCTGCCTGTCAGTTCTCAGGTTCTGCCTGGAGTTCCTCTCAAAGGAGAAGCAACAAGAGAGCCCTTCAACAGCACAGCAGAGACTATCCGGCTTCTCCTGCCCTTGTCTCCTGGGGACATGGTGCCTGGTGACTCAGTGGGCCAGAGTGGGGGTGGGGCTGGGGGCTCAGCACAGGGCACATGAAAGGGTCAGAGTGTGGTGCTGGGCCCATGTGCTTGCAGGCCTGGGAGCCTGGGGGGCTTCTGTGCCTGTTGGTGTGTATACGATGGTGTGGGTGTCACCTACACCCTGTGCACTGTGTCCCTTTAAGGCTCCCGCTGGCCCTCCCCGCCCCGCTCCCCAGGCCGTGGCTGGCGGGTTTCTATGGTGATGCAGCCCAAGTCCCAGAGGTGGGGGAAGCCAGAGGAAAGCCTTGTTATGTGTTATGTAGACAGCACATAAAGGGGGCTGCTCCAGGGAGCCCCCACAGGTACCTGGGGGCCCAGAAGTCCTTTATGACTGCTGCTTAGTCCCTGCACTCCCAACCTCACCCCTCCCTAAGAGGGTACCCTTAGGAGAGAGTGAGCCCTCAGCCCCCTCATCTCGCCTGAGGCTTCAGTCTCCAAGGCAACTACAACTCACCTGTAATGGACCATTCTCCTTAAAAGATGGGGAAAAGAGACGGAGGTTAACCCTTTGTGGGGTTCAGGGAGGACGGTCTTGACTACTGGGGAAGGGAGGGAGGAGCCCCACTCCATCCCCACAATCACATGCCTCTGTGGTCTGTTCTATTAAATCAACTTACAGCGTGGACTTACCACGTACCAGAAAGCCTCATGAGCACTTCCACTCACATCCACTCATCTCCTCCCCAGATTTGCCTCAGGGAGGGAGGTGCTATCATCATCCCCATTTTACAGATGAGGACACGGAGGCTCAGAAAACTGGAAACTGTGTCCAAGATCACAGAGCTGGCACTGGGTCTCAGCAGGGGTGGGGTTTTAGAGGGCGTGGTGGCTCCCTAAGCTGCCTCTCAGAGGCTCTGGCATCCCAACATGTGTGCCTGCTGGGCTTCCCAGGGAACCAGGGGCCTGGGCGAGGATGGCCTCCAAGCCATCCTGCCCCGTGGGGAGGGCTTACTTGCCAGGCAGATGGCAGGCAAATGTCGGGGGCAGGGAGTGACATCTTGGGATGGAGGCCATGCGGAAGTAGGATGTGATCAACATCACGTCTCAGCACAGAGCTGAAGCCCGACACCAAACAAACCCCCAAGTCCCCCATCCAGGTACTCAGTCCAAGAGAAGGCCAACTCCTTTCCCTTTTGGGCTTGGGGACAGGCTGGTTTCTTGGTCCCCTCTTCTGCTCTCTGGAATCTGGACTTGTTCTGATACCTTTCTTGCAACCAGAGGCTCCAGAACCCCTCCCAAAGAGGCCCCTCTCCAATCAGCATTTAGGGACAGCAGTGGCCCCATTCTTGTGTCGAAGGAGATACTGATGCCCAGCAGGCGGCAAGGCTTCAGCCTCCGAGACCCCTAGAAGGCGAGAGAAATGAGGTGGCAGCAAAACTAGGGCTCCTCTCAGGCCCCAGGCCTCCTCAGGGAGCTAGGATGACCCTAGCACTAGAGGGGGCTTCAGCGGCCAGGCCAGAAGGAACAGACTGCATCCAGTTCCTGGGGCTGTGGCCTGAAAAGGAGAGCAGGGAAGGAGCCCAGCCTGGGGCAGGGAGAGGCCCTGGCCCACAGCAGTCCTGGGATACCTAGCCTGTGTTGGTTTGCGGGGGGCGGGGTGGGGGTGCCTGGAAACAGCTCAGACACTGCCAGGCCCCACGGGCCCCCTCCAGGGGCCCCACTCCCGAGGGGTTAAAGGGCAGAGGGGGACACAGGAAGCCCGGGGGCGGACAATGGGGCCTCTGTGATCCCCAGGGCTTGGGCATTCCTAAGTCATGAACACAGACGCAGATGGCTGGGAGACAGGGCCACAGGGAACCCCCCTCCACTGAAGCACAGCCTGGGTTGGCCAGAGGCTCTGTCCCCATCCAGCCACTGCAGCAGCCACCCTCAGCCCCACCCCTTCCCAGCACAGGCCCTGTTGGGGCATCTGAGGAGACCCACGTGGCCTCATGACAATATGTGTGTGCATGCTGGTTCACGAACACACACACACATGCAACCAAATATATGACCCCACCCAGACAAACAGGAATACTGGAGGTTACACACACACAAATACACACACACAAGCAGAGACACAAACCCCATACATGCAGATAGGAAGTCTGCCTGGCTGGAGGGCAGGGGGCAGAGGGGCTCCCGGGACTCAGTCCCTTTCCCTCAAGTTCCACTCTCAGACCCGCACTGGGATGGACGGGTTCAGAAGTCCTCTTTGGCCAAGTGCATGGAGCCCAGGACGCTGCCACCCTCCTGCCCCACCCAACCCCTGGCCCTCGCAGCTGCCCCTGCTGGGTGTAAGGGCCAGAGATGAGCAGGAGCTGCTGACTGACAGTGGCTGGGCACTCCCTCTGCAGCTTTCCAACCTGGGAAGAACACGGGGACCTGGGCTGGGGGCCACTGGACAAAGAAAAGCTTCTAGAAAGAACAGCGGCCAGACCCTCCCCAGCTCCTCCCTCTTTTTCCAGCCACAGCCTTCAGGAAGCCACAAAGACCCTGTTGATATCTGGGGAAGAGGCAAGCTGGGCGGGCTACCTCCCCCAGTGCTCGTCTGGCTGCTGCTCACCAGGCACCCCCCATACAGCCTTCCACTCAGACAAGGCCCCCATGGGGGGTCTGGGCCCAACCCCAAGGCGTAGAGTCCAGCAGAAGGGTGCTGAGTGGCTGCTGGACAGGGCACAACCTCAGGGCCCTCAAGGGTGAGGCAGGGGCAGCTGGGGGGGACAAGGAGAGGAGCAGAGCGGTGGAAGACAGACAAAAGGGTAAGCAGAGAGATGGAGCAGAGCCCTGACGGGAAGGGGGAAGAGGGAAGGGAGGGCCAGGCAGGCAGAGGCAGAGGGAGGAGACGGGGAGTGGTGCACCCCATCCCCGGCAGCAGCAGGCTTCTGCCTAGAAGGAGGAGGAAGGTGATGGCCCTGGGGGTGGGGCACAGGGAGACGTGGGAGGCTGCAGAGGAGAGAGCAGGGGGGCGGGGGAAGCAGGAGAAGGAGGTGTCCGAGATGGGCCAGATCAGAGCAAGTAAGACAGCGACTGCAGGGGCAGGGATGCTGCAGGCCCATTCCAGATGGCCCCACCCAGGGACCCAGCCCCAGCCCATTGCAGGGGCAGAGGACAGGGCAATGAGCACCCTGCTGGGGACCCTAGAAGGGCATCCAGACCCCCCGCCTCCCCCACTGTCTGAACCACGAGGGAGGGAGGCAGGGCCCCCACTCATGCCCCCACTCATGCCTGGCAGACCAGGGTCTTGGCTGGGATCCCCATCCTGGCAGACCTCCTCACAGGACCCCACCACTACCCCAGGTTCTCCCATGAACGTGCCCTCCTGGAGCCTGGGCCACTCTGCGAGGCCGCATCACCCTCACACCCAGAAAAGCACTCAGTGCAGCCATTTCGAGCTTTGAAAGGGAACTTGGTGATCAAGGTAGGGCACACAGGCCTGTCTCCTCGACCCTCACCTGCCAGTCCTGGCCAGGTGCATGCCAAGGAAGGCGCCAGCTGTAGTTCCAGTGGTGGAAAGGGCTCGGACCTGGGAGAGGCCGATTGGGGGCACAATCTGGGCACCCTGCTCACTGTAGGAGCCCTCAGGCCAGGCCCTTCCTCACTCTTTGCCTCCCTTTTCCCTTCAGATAATCATCAAGAAAAAAGAAAACAAGTGACACCCCACGAAGACAGGGACAATGCTGGTCCAGTTTGTCACTGGCTCTTCCATGGGCAGCCCAGAGCCCGGCCCAAAGGAGCACTGGCCATGAGCAGCTGCCCAGTACACGACTGCCCATCGCTGGGATCCTGAGCGCCTGGGTAGGGAAGCTCTTCACTGGCTGCAGGGCAGGGGACCCCGCCACCTTGAAGCGCTGATTGTCCTCCTGATGCTCAGCAGGGAGCTGGCAGCTGGGAACTTGGGGAGGAGCCTTTTAGGAGCGCGGTGTAGCAAACCAGGGAGGCTGGGGCGTGCTGAACGTGTTTCCCTCTTGGTGATCAGATCACTAGCGATTCTTAATTTCTTTTGTTCTTTTCTGTATATTTCAAGTGTCCTACAATAAGATGTATTACTTTCGGGATCATACACACACAAACATCAATAAATATGGAGAGAGACTCAGATGCAGCAGAGAGAAATGACCAGGAGCCAAGGAGGTGGGAAGGTCCCAGGCCCAACCCTGCCCCAAACTTCCCATGTGGCCAAGACAGCCGAGTCCTCAAAGGCTCTGGAGCCCTCAGGTGTGCACATGTGGGCACTGCATGGGAGCTGTGCCAGGGGAGAGGCCAGGCTGGGCCAAGTCCCACCACCTGCAGCAAGGAGCTGACGGGAGGGGAGAGGCCCTGGGGAGGCCCCCGCCCCAGAAAGATGATGCTGGGCAGCAGCCCCCAGGGGAAGAAGGGCGGACTGCACTGATTTACGTCAGGGCCACATGAGTCAGCAGAGATGGCACTGGGCTGCCCCGATGCCCCTGCCCTCAGGGTGGGGTTAACAGGGGCAGGGTATCTACCTGGGGGGTGCCAGGCCCCCACTCCTTCTGGAGAAGGGGGCAGATGGCTCTAGGCCTGCCTTCCTGAGAGGGACAGTGATAGGTGGGGGGTCCAGATACCCTGTCGGGGGCAATGGATTGTAGTGCGTGTTCTTTGCAATCCCTGCCAACCAAGAGGCCCCAAAAGTCTGACCTGGAATGGAGGGAATAGGAATCGCTGACCCCTCCCATAACCGCACAGAGATAGGAAGATGTGGCAGTGGGCAAAAGACCTGCAGTGCGCAGGGACCGCCTGAGCCAGTGAGGCCCACCTTCCCTCACCCCTACCTGATGGACCCTACCTGATGGACACCCATGCACGGGAGGCACAGCAGTGGGTGCCCGAACCGACCTCACCCACTCCAGCCCTGACTGGCCACAGAGCCTGTGGAAACGGGCTCCAGAGGCGCCCTACGCCTCCGGGGAGGAGCCCCTGGCTCTGCGGCAGGTTTTCGGGTGAGCCCGGAGGAGCCCAGGCTGGGATTTGGAAAGAAGAAGGAGGAGAACAAAGCCCCCCCAACCTTGGGGCGGAGGGGCAGGCAGCGCCCAGTCCCGTTCACTCCCCTCCCCCCATTGCAGGGGCGGCTTATCCCGATCTACCCCTCACCACGCTGTCAGCCGGGATTTTCAACCAAACTGAGCTCTCGGCTGGGGATGAGGGGCAGCCACGCCCAGGGCCACACCCCACGGCGGCCTGTGGGGGAGCGCTCGACCCGATCTGGCTTCCTTTCTCAGACACGCACACACGCACGGGGACCCGCCAACTTCAGCCCCCGCCTGCCCACACAGACCCTGCCTGACGCCCCCCGCCCTGTTCTCCCGCCCAGGCCAGCATCTGGGGCCCCGCAGGTTACCCCTCACCTGTCGGGCTCGGGCACCCGGCATCCCTCCCCCGCCCCGCTTACAGCCCGCGGTGCCCGGAGCCCGACGCCCGGCATGGGTGGGGCTCCGGCAGCAACGCCGGTTACCGCGGGCCGGACCGGGCCGGGACTCCCTGGTCCGTGCACCCCGGGCAGAGCGGTGTGGTGTCGCCGGGGGATCGCGGCCGCGGCCCGGGTCGCACGGGGAGGCCAGCCCGCCTTACCTGCGCTGCGGCCACCGCTCGGGCTGCCCGCCCAGCCTCCGCGCACGCCGGCCTCGGACCCGCCGCCCGAGCGCGTCTGCGATGCCGATGCTGCGGCAGCAGCGGCTGTGGCGGGGCGGGGCGGGCGTGCGCGCAGGGGCGGGGGAGGGGAGCGCCGGGGAGGAGAGGGAGGGAGGAGTGAGATCACCTCCCCGGCCGCCCGCCCCGCCCCGCCCCGCCCCGCCGCACCCTAGCCCCTGGTGCCAGCCGAGCGCGGCTTGGGCTGGGGGCCCCCGGGCAGCCCACTCCGGGAGCTCAGCGGGACCCCAGCCGACGGGTCCCGCCAGACCCCCTTCCCCGCAGACCGGGAGTCTCCGGCCGGAGAGTGTCCTCAGCCCCAGCGCAAGGGAGCCCGCTGTGAAAGCTCGGAGCGGGAATCGCGGGGCGAGAGTGCTCCCAGAGGCCTGGGGCCGGGCGGTGGAGAGAGGAGTCCGGCAAGGAAGGGGATGCTCCCTTAGCCTCGGCCTGGCCCTCGACGGCGCCGGCCAGCGATGGGCACCTGCACGCAACGCCCCCCCAACACACACACACAGGGCAGGACTCCCGGGACCTCTCCCGAATGCCCCCCGATCCTGAGGGCCCAGTCAGGGTCCTGTTGGGAGGGGTGCGGGGGCTTCGTCCTCAGCGTGTTGGGGAGGCGCCGCGGAGCACCGGCTCCTGCGCACCCCAGAGCCCAGGTGGGCGGCAGGGTAGGAGGCGAGCCCAGGGGAGACAGGGTCTGGGAGAGGGTATCCCTCGAACTGCCACCCCCAACTCCCAGATTTTCCTCCAGCTCTCTGGTGTCTTATTTCTTTGTCCTCGGGATTGGCCCCATTCGACCTTTCCCGCCGACTCCACTCTCTCCCACTCTCCCCCGCAGCCCTGCACAGGATCGAGAAGGAAGGAGCTCCTCCCCAGTGCCCCCTCCTAGGCTCAAGGCCATGACCTCACAGGCGAGGAAGCAAAATGGAGGGGGTAAGAATTCCGGAGCCGGCGAGCTGGCTGCAGCCTCAGGGCTAGGAAGGCCTAGGGCCCCGATGGCAGATTGCAGATCTGGCGGCCACGGTATTTTTATGGGCATGCCTGTTGCCCAGTGAAGCATTCCAGGGGCCCTCGACTCAGTCTCACAAGACTCCCCAAGTGGTGTGGGGCCCTGGAGGGCCCACATGGGAGCAGCCCTGGCATCCTGGCTTGGATGCCCCACCCCCATAGTGCCAGCTTCAGTTCCCCTGGAATGGGAAGCTTGGGGTGGACCCATCTGTGCTCAGAGAGGGTCTGGATGCCATGTTTGCCCAGCCTTTAGGAGGAGAATGGACAAGACTAGGCACCTGAGTGAAGACGGACGGCTAGGGAGACTGCTTCCAGAGTGGGGGCACTTGCAGGGCATCTTCAGGTGACAGCAGAGGAAACTGAGCCCGCCTGGGTCACGAGGCCAGCAGGCTCATGAGCTGGGCCAAGAGGGCGTACTTTCCATGAGGCACTGAGCTGTGGTCAGCTTCCTGCCTTTGCTGATCTGAACTCTGATAGGCCTCTCTCCTTTCCAGTTGCTGCCTCCACTCACTCCCTACGTTCCCAGCCTTTCCTCCAAGCCCCAACTTCTGCAAATCCTTTACCTAATCTAGGGTTTGATGCCCATCAGGATGGTGAAGTAAGCAGGGAATAGAGCCCGTTTATACGCACCTGCTAATGTGTAGTGATGGGTCCATTTATGGTAACAAAAAATTCATTACTAGGATTACACGACATCACATTTCCTGAGCACAGCCATGGACCTGCCATCGTTACATTTCCTGCACATTTAAATTGCACACCAACCTGGGGAGGTCTGTTGAAGCATTCGCCCCACGTTACAGATGAGAAAACCAAAGCCCACAGAGCTCAAGGCTGGGTCCAGCAAGCACAGTTAGGAAGGTCTCTTTCTCTCCACTGGCTCATTGCATCCACACACACACCCCAGATGATGGTGCTGTTATTATCCTCACTCTCCCAGTGAGGTACCCAAGGTCCAGAGAGGGGCAGTCATGCAACCAGGAAGAAATTGGCACTATCAGTGCCCCCATTTCACAGATGAGGAAACCAAGGTTCAGAGGGGTCAAATGACCCACCCAAGATAGCCCAGAAGGTAAATGGCAGAACTCGGACTTGAATTCCCTTCTGCTTGACCACGATGCCCATTCTCACTTCCATGTAATGAAGTGGAGGAGCCAATGGGAGCAAGAGCAAGAGTGACAGAAGACCAAGGGCAGAGCAAGTCCCAGGAGAAGCAGGAGGGACTGGCCCTGAACAAGAGGCAAGCCACCCCCCCACTGCCATGTGCTTGCTGTTGGAGGTTAGGGGGACACCAAGTAGACAGATGACTGTCTCTTTCCCTTCAACGTCAAGTGCTTCTCACAGCCCTGCTCCCTGTGACCCAGCCCTCATAGACACAGTGGACTGGACAAGGGAAGCCCCAGACTCTGACCCTGTGATGAGCATGCAGAAGACGCAGAAGCCACAGACGACAGTGGGGCAGTAAGGAAGTGCCAGCAGGCAGGCGGGGTGGGCTCAGCCAGACGTGTCTTTCTCTGTTCTCCTTTCAATCTTTCTGTGTCTTCATATCTCAGGTGTAGCGCTTGGAAACAGCACATAGTTGGGTTTTGGTTTGGTTTGATTCTGTCTAACAATTCTTGTCTTTTTAAAAATCAGCTTTGAGACCTGCCTGGGCAACACAGCGAGACCACGTCTCTACAAAAAAAATTTTAAAATTAGGCATGGTGGTGCATGTCTGTAGTCCCAACTACTCAGGAGGCTGAGGTGGGAGGATCGCTGGAGCCCAAGAGGTTGAGGCTACAGTGAGCCATGATCACACCACTACACTCCAGCCTGGGTGACAGAGTGAGACCCTGTCTCAAAAAAAAAAAAAAAAAAATCAACTTTATTGGAGTATAATTTACATACAGTAAAATTCATCCTTTTGAGGTTTACAGTTCAAGGAGTTTTGGTGAATGTTGTGTGCAGCCAACCACTCCCACCACCCCCTGCCCTTGGCCACCACTGATCTGATTTCTGTCTTTTCTAAATTTTATTATAAATGGAATCATACCGTATATATTCTTTTGTCTGGCTTCTTTCACACTCACGCAGCATACTTTTTGAGCTTCATCCATGTTGGTGTGTGTGTTTGTGTGTGTGTGTGAGAGAGAGAGAGAGAGAGCATGCGGGCGAGAGAGAGCAGTATATTTCCTTTTGATTGCCGAGTAGTATTCCATTGTTTGGTTGGATCAGGGTTTGTTCAGCCATTCACTCACTGAAGGACACTTGGGTAGTTTCCAGCTTTGTGTGATTATGATGGAGCAGCTCTAAACATTTATATGCAAGCTTGTGTAAATGTGTGTCTTCATTTCTCTAAGGTAACCGCTTAGGAGTGGATTGTTCAGTCAAGTGGTAGATTGATGTTGAACCTGCCTTTGTCTTTGAACTGTGCAGGTCAGCTGGTCACACGGTGATGACTGCTGCTATCTCTGGATGTAGTCACGCCAGGTGAGTATTTGCTTTCTATTTGTCCTGCTTTCCCCATCTCTCTCCCCCACCTCCACTTTATTATTTTTTATTAGTGTTGTTATTACTTTGAGACAGGGTCTCACTCTGTTCCCTAGGCTGGAGTGCAGTGGTGTGATCATGGCTCACTGCAACCTCGACCTCCTGGGCTCAAGTGATCCTCCCACCACAGCCTCCCAAGTACTGGGACAACAGATGTGCCACCACCACACTTGATTAATTTTTTTTTCTTTTTTGGTAGAGGTGAGGTCTCACTATGTTGTCCAGACTGGTCTTGAACTCCTGGGCTCAAGTGGTGATCCACTGCCTTGGCCTCACAAAGTGCTAGGATTACAGGAGTGAGTCACTGCACCTGGCCTCACCCCCACATTGTATCAGTGAAGGTGTGTCTGGAGTTGGTTCCTTCCAGTGGGTTCTTGGTCTCGCTGACTTCAAGAATGAAGCCGCGGACCTTCGCGGTGAGTGTTACAGCTCTTAAAGGTGGCACAGACCCAAAGTGTGAGCAGCAGCAAGATGTATTGTGAAGAGTGAAAGAACAAAGCTTCCACAGCATGGAAGAGGACCCAAGCAGGTTGCCGTTGCTTGTGGGGGGCGGGGGGGGGCCAGCTTTTATTCCCTTATTTGTCCCCTCCCATGTCCTGCTGATTAGTCCATTTTACAGAGTGCTGATTGGTCCATTTTACAGAGTGCTGATTGGTCCATTTACAATCCTCTAGCTAGACACAGAAAACTGGTGCGTTTTTACAGACTGCTGATTGGTGCATTTACAATCCTTTAGCTAGACACAGAGCGCTGATTGGTGTGTTTACAATCCTCTAGCTAGACAGAAAAGTTCTCCAAGTCCCCACATCACCCAGGAAGTCTAGCTGGCTTCACCTCTCAAAGGTTCAGGGTAGGAAGCAGAAATTCCTCCCGTGATCATGAACAGAAAGGGATTCTGTAGAAGGGATTAGATGCTTACCTGACCATTGGATGGGCCAAAGGAGTGGACTCTGGGCTAGGTGTTGATAACACCAGTGCAGACCTGGCTCCTCAAGGGAGCTGCTACCTCTGCCACCATCCACAAGATGGGGGATTGGGAGGCGGCCAGTGTAACCTTTGAGTTCAAAAAGACACCACCAAAGTCATGACCTGAGGATCAGCAAGCTGGGACCAGGAAGCCATTGCTGCCACAAGTGCCCCTCAACAACCAAGAAGTGAAGGTTAGACCCCAGAAATTCTTTGATGTCCAGCAGAAACGCAGCCCCACACAGCAGAAGTGTGGCTTCCCTTCCTTCAGTCATCCAAACTTCATGTGAGCACACCCAATTTGGCAATTGGCAAATTTGCCAATTTGCCAATTGGCAAAACTAAATTTGCTTCCCAAAGTCCAGCTGCTCTGGAGTCTGGAACATTTCCAGCCTCTGCCATGCAGAGCCCACAAGGTGGGAGTGAGTGCCGAGAGCTGTCAATATGCCCAGGCAGATGCTCTGCTCTTGGTCATCTTTTAGATGGACTGGATTTGTTCTCTCATTCTATTTTCTCCTCTGTTTGTTTAGAAGTGCTCTATGAATTTTTTAGTAGTTCCTCTACCTATTTTAACATGCATTCTTAATAAAGTCTAAAGTTAACTAATACCTCTGCTCTGGTGGTTTTAATGTAGGTCCATAAATTATTTGATACTCCTGCCTTCAAAAGGTAGTGCTTAATTCTCCTCCTCTTGAGTATAGGCTGGACTTGGTGGCTCACTTTTTTTTTTTTTTTTTTGAGATGGAGTTTCGCTCCTGTTGCCCAGGCTGGAGTGCAATGGTGTGATCCCAGCTTGCTGCAACCTCCACCTCCTGGGTTCAAGCAATTCTCCTGCCTCAGCCTCCCAAGTAGCTGGGATTGCAGGCGTGGGCCACCACGCCCAACTAATTTTTGTATTTTTAGTAGAGATGGGGTTTCACCATGTTGGTCAGTCTGGTCTCGAACTCCTGACCTCAAGTGATCCACCTACCTCGGCCTCCCAAAGTGCTGGGATTACAGGTGTGTGAGCCACCACTTTTTTTTTTTTTTTTTTGAGATGGAGTTTCACTCTGTTGCCCAGGCTGGCATGCAGTGGCGTGATCTCGGCTCACTGCAACCTCCACCTCCTGGGTTCAAGCGATTCTCCTGCCTCAGCCCCCCAAGTAGCTGAGATTACAAGCCCCCACCAGCACGCCCAGCTAATTTTTGTATTTTTAGTAGATACGAGGTTTCATCACGTTGGCCAGGCTGGTCTCGAACTCCTGACCTCAGGTGATCCGCCCGCCTCAGCCTCACAAAGTGCTGGAATTTCAGGCTTGAGCCACTGTGCCCGGCCTCATTTCTTTTTTAAATTTTATTTTAGAAGTTGAGGTCCTGCTCTGTCACTCAGGCTGGAGTGCTGTGGCATGTTCATAGCTCATTGCGGCCTCGAACTTCTGGGCTCAAGTGATCCTCCCGCCTCAGCCTCCTCAGGAGCTGGGACCACAGGCACACACCACCACACCTGGCTCACTTCTGATGAAAAGAATAAAGCGGAAGCAATGGCTGCAGCTGTGGGGACTAGGTCACACAGGCACTGCTGCTTCCTCCTTGTTTTCTCTCTCTCTCTCTCTCTCTCTCTCTCTCGGATTGCTCTGTTGGGTGAAGCCAGGTGCCACATCGTGAGGACACTCAACAGCCCTATGGAGGAGCTCACATGGAGAGAAACAAAGGTCTTCCGCCAACAACCATGAGTGTGCCATTTTGAAAAGGATCCTCCAGCCCCAGCCAAGCCTTTGCATGACTGCAGTCATGGCCAGAATCCCACTGCAGCCTCACAAGAGCCTTTGAGCTAGAACAATCCAGCTAAGCCACTCCTGAATCCTGACCCACAGAGATTATGAGATAATAAATGGTTACTGTCATTTTGAACTACTGCATTTGGGGGTGATTTGGTTTGCAGCCACAGATCACTAATACATCTTCCCTCCTCCTACACAATGCACGGCCTGGGATAACATACTAGCCACATGAGGTGGGCCCTATTATCATGTAGGAATGAGGAAGGCAGTGAGCTCAGATATGTGGACAGGAACCCAGGCAGAGTCAGCCGTCTGAGCTTTGGGAAGCCTGGTTTTCAGTAGCTCTAGGGACTTACCCACACCCCCACACTCCCACCCCTGAACTGCTATTATGGTGCTGTAGCCCCCACGGTGCCTGTCACTACCCACCAGCTGCTGTCCCCTCTCCTCTGTGTCCATCTTTTCTTCATGTCTTTGCTTCTCCTGGCATTCTCCTGCTTTGTGACAAATACCCGTGGCTTTTTCTGCACATGTCTTTTGGCTTCTAATCTCACTGCAGTTTCAATTCCAAGAGAGAGAAACTTATGGGCCCAAATACTCATTATCCTCATTTTGGTGGAGCCTTCATGCCAGGTAACTTCGTAGGCAACTAACCAGCCTATGGACTAGCTAGTCTTGGCCAGGTGCGGGCTCCTGGTCCAGGCAGCTGAGGCCAAGGTTGGTTCAAGCTGTGTGATAGGCAGTATGGCCATCTGTTATGGACTTAATGTGTGTGTACCCCCAAAATTCGCACGTTGAAGTCCTAACCCCCAGATGGAGCAGATAAAGAAGAACAGAGAGGCTGGACATGATGGCTCATGCCTATAATCCCAGCACTTTGGGAGACCAAGGTGGGCAGATCACCTGAGTCCAGGAGTTTGAGACTAGCCTGGGCCACATGGTGAAACCCCATCTCTACAAAAAATACAAAAAATTAGCCAGGCATAGTGACACACGCCTGTAGTCCGTTACTCGGGAGGCTGAGGTGGGAGAATCACTTGAGCCTTGGTGGGGAGGCTGTAGTGAGCCGAGATTGCACCACTGCACTCCAACCTGGGTGACAGAGTAAGACCCTGCCTCAAAAGAAAAGAAAGAAAGAGAGAGAAGGAAAGAAGAAAGAAAGAAAGAAAGAAAGAAAGAAAGAAAGAAAGAAAGAGAAAGAAGGAAAGAAAGAAAGAGAAAGAAAGAAAGAAAGAAAGAGAAAGAAAAGAAAGAGAGAAAGAAAAAGAACACAAGAAAAGCACTGTTCCCTCCCCTCCACCACTGCCCCTACCATGTGAGGACACAGTGAGAAGGTGGCTGTCTCTAAACCAGGAAGACAGCCCTCACCAGAAGTGGACCCTGCCAGACCTTGATCTGGGACTTCCAACCTCCAGAATTGTGAGAAGATAAATTTCCATTGTTTAAGCCACCCAGTCTGTGGTATTTTGTGATGGCAGCTGGAGCTGACTAAGACACCACCAATGGGTAAGTCACTGGCTAGTGGTGCTGCTGCAGCAGGGAGTATGTCTTGGTGGGCATCTTGCTCGACCTCTCCTATCTAACCACACTGAAGTCATGCATTCCCTTGTTTTTCTTTATACTAGGCCCACGAAACCCCATGCTTTGAAAAGAATTGCTTGTTTGCCTTCACCACTCCTCCTCACAGCCTGGAGGTGATCATGTTACTGTGTAGACTGGTATCCCTAGGGACTTATGGGCTCCAAACAAGCTGCCCATGAATATCACAATCCTGTCACATGCCCTTAGCCAGCCCTGCTTCCCTTCCACGCAGTGCACCGGCTGGGTGCAGTGGCTGATGCCTGTAATCCCAGCACCTTGGGAGACCAAGGCGGGCGGGTCACTTGAGGTCAGGAGTTCGAGACCAGCCTGTCCAACAAGGTGAAACCCTGTCTCTACTAAAAGTTTAAAAAAAAAAAAATTAGCCGGGCATGATGGGGCACCTGTAATCCCAGCTACTCGGGAGACTGAGGCAGGAAAACCAGTTGAACCCAGGAGGCGGAGGTTGCAGTGAGCCGAGATCATGCCACTACACTGCATCCTGGGCAACAGAGCAAGACTCCATCAGAAAGAAAGAAAGAAAAGAAAGAAAAGGAAGGAAGGAAGAAAGGAGAAAGTGACAGATTAAGCACATACATTCACTTTCTCTTCCTCATGAAATCCCACCAAAATGACAGTAAATGACTTTTTAAAAAGAAAAACTCCCAAGGACAGAAATAATGGGAAAATAGAAAACAGCAGCAAAATCATGGGAGCTGAATTTCACTGCGGAACCCACACGCATCCAGAAAATGGGGGTGAGTATGGAAGTGCCATTAAAAGTCTGTTGAAGAGGCAGTCAGATCTCCACATGCTTTTCCCCATCCCAACGGAACAGAATGTTTATTCTTTGGAGATGATGAAACAAAGAGTGTTTCAAGTGGGGAGTACCAGGAACAGCTTAGATGGCACCATACTAAAAATGAGGGGGTTAAATAAATATTTACCTACTGAATTTGGACCACTTTGGACCCTCCTGGCCCACTCTGTTTCTCAAGTGCTGACAACCAGCCTCAGGCAGCAGGCTAAAGATCTATCTCTGGGTATTTGGCCATCCCAAGGTGAACGAAAAGGTAGTAAAATTGGGGTTCTCCAATAAAACCAGCCCCGCTACATCATCCTATGATGAAGCTCATAGTTGACATGTCCTTCCTTTTCAATCAGCTCATTAGTGCCCCATTCTTTTTTTTTTTTTTTTTTTGAGACAGAGTTTCGCTCTTGTTGCCCAGGCTGGAGTGCAGTGGCACAATCTCGGCTCACTGCAATCTCCACCTCCCGGATTCAAGCGATTCTCCTGCCTCAGGCTCCCAAGTAGCTGGGACTACAGGTGCGTACCACCATGCCCAGCTAATTTTTGTATTTTTAGTACAAACAGGGTTTCACCATGTTGGCCAGGATGGACTTGATCTCTTGACCTCAGGTGATCCGCCCACTTCGGCCTCCCAAAGTGTTGGGATTACAGGCATGAGCTGCCATGCCCAGCCTGCCCCATTCTTAAATATGAGAAGACAACCAAGGATCACCAGACACCTGAGGAAAACCTTTAGCATGAAAGCAGGAAAGATCAAAATCAAAACAAACAGGAAAACAATTGTTGGGAAACACGACTATGAGAGGTAATAATTTTTAAAACTAGGCTGGGCACGGTGGCTCACGCCTGTAATCCCAGCATTTTGGGAGGCCGAGGGGGGCAGATCACAAGGCCAGGAGTTTGAGACCAGCCTGACCAACATGGTGAAACCCCGTCTCTACCAAAAAATACAAAAATTAGCTGGGCGTGGTGGCGCATGCCTGTAATCCAAGCTACTCAGAAAGCCGAGGCAGGAGAATTGCTTGAACCCAGGAGGCGGGGCTTGCGGTGAGCTGAGATTGTGCCATGGCACTCCAGCCTGGGCGACAGAGCGAGAATCTGTCTCATAAAAAAATTTTTTTAAAAAGAATTTTTAAAGCTATTAACTCACTCAGGGAGATAATAGAATGTAAAAATATCCATGAATCAAGAATAGGATGCTATAAAAAAGGAACATTCAGCGAACAAACAAGAGTTTTTTGTGGAAGCATACATGAAAAATTCAATAGATGGATATTTTTCTTCTAACAAAATACAGAAAGTTGCAAGACAACATCACTCCCATCCTAGCTACAAGAAGCTGGATAACCTACAAATCATAGGATTTTTTTTCTTTTAAGGCTATCGGGAAGCTGAGGTTGGGGGGAAAAAAAATCAAAATCTTGAAAAGCCCTTTCTAGGAGAAAAGAGCCCCATAGCTGCTTTGATTTTTGGCACAGCAGCAGCAGGAAGAGGAGGCTGCCACAGACTTGTGTACAAAAGAAACAGAGAAACTCTGAACACATTTTAAAAGGCTGAGTGTGCGACGGCATGAGGCTATAGACTCTCTAATGCCTCCCATTCAAGAGAGCTTACATTCACCCACTAACTCTTTTGCATGGGCCTTCACCAAGAAAGTTTGAAGGCAAAGCAGGTGGGCCGAAAGATACTCTCCGAGGTAGACATGTGCTCAGGCTGCTGAAGTCTGGATGCAGGACAAGGGAACCGACAGGAACCCCCCTGGGGCTCCTGACCTTCCACTGAGTACAGAGCAGCTGTAACTGGTGAATGAAGCAGGGCAGGAGGACTGAAGAGTTCATCCCCAGGCTCTAGGAAGTCTTAAGGCAGGACAGAAGAACTGAAACAAACCTTCCGGTTGATTCTAATCCTTACACTGAGTACAAACCAGAAGCGAACTGTGGTTGGAGTGGAGGCAAAAGACCTACAATAGGCACCCGGGAATGTGCGCTCAGGGATCTGCTGAAGTCTACGGGTGAGGCAGGAGAATCAAAGAAACTCCCAGCCACTCAGATCACAAGTCCCACCAAAGAGAATGTTCTGATCCTGCTCTGAAATCATTCGAAGTATACAGAAAACTGAGTCTACGCAAAGCAACAAGAAACCCCAGACTCCACTTAACTACACACCAGCCTCTAATACACACACACGCATGCACACACTAATGGCCTGACAAGAAGGGTCATGCCCTTTTTGGGGCATAATTTTATGTGTATCTTCCCCACTGTTCTATTACATATATTTACCCCAGGAGGGATAAATATATATGATTATTTACTTCTTAAAATAGAAATAGGCCAGGTGTGGTGGCTCACACCTGTAATCCCAGTACTTTGGGAGGCTGAAGTGGGAGGATTGCTTGAGCCCAGGAGTTTGAGAACAGCCTGGGCAACATGGAAAGACCCTGTCTCTATAAAAATACAACAATTAGCTGGGTATGGTGGTACATGTCTATAGTCCCAGCTACTCAGGAGGCTGAGATGGGAGGATCCCTTGAGCCCGGGAGGTCGAGGCTGCAGTGAGCCGTGATCATGCCACTGCACTCCAGCCTGGCTGACAGAGTGAGACCCTGCCTTAAAAAAAAAAAAAAAAAGGAATTTGGGAAGGGCTCACCTGGGCAGTCCTGGCCCAGGTCTTTCATGTGGTGGCTGTCAGATGGTGGCCCTCTTCATATTGCCTCAGAGCCTTTTTTTTTTTTTTTTTTTTGAGAAGGTGTCTCACTTTGTTGCCCAGGCTGGAGTGCAGTGGCGGGGTCTCAGCTCACTGCAACCTCCGCCTCCCGGGTTCAAGCCATTCTCCTGCCTCAGCCTCCCGAGTAGCTGGGATTACAGGCGCACGCCAGCACACCCAGCTAATTTTTGTGTTTTTCAGTAGAGACAGGGTTTCACCATGTTGGTCAGGCTGGTCTCTATCTCCTGACCTCTTGATCCACCCACCTCAGCCTCCCAAAGTGTTGGGATTACACGTGTGAGTTACTGTGCCTGGCCTCAGAGCCATTTTCTGTGGTCCTTCCATGATGGCTGAATTGGGCTTCCTTATAGCATCAGGGAAGTTGGAATGCTTACATGGTGGCTAAAGGCTTGAAGAGTGAGTGTCCCTGTTAACAAGGCAGAAGCTGCATTACCTTTTCTGCACTAGCCTCAGAAATCAATCAGCACCACTTTTACCATATTATCTTGAGTACAAGAAAGTCACAAGCCTGCCCAGATTATAGGGGGGAGGGTTAAATTCCACCTCTTGATGGGGAAGTGGCAAGGTTCCAGGAGAGCATGTGGGATGGGAGATATTGTTGGGGCTACCTTTGAAAAACACAATCTGCCACACACACCAGTTAAAAGGCAGAGACTGTTGGGCTAGATAAAATAGCTATATGTTATTTACAAGAAGCACATTTGAAGCATAAAGACACAGACATGTTGAGAGTAGAAGTATGGAAAAAGATATACCAAGCAACCACTGAGCATAAGAAAGCTGCCATGGCATCATACTAATATCAGGTAGAGCAGAATTCAAGACAAAGAGTTTACTAGAGATCAAGAGAGACATGTCATAATGAAAAAAGAACACATAATCAAGAAAACACAACCATTTCAAATATATAAGCACCTAATCTACCAAATATATGAAACAAAATTTATAGGACTAAAGGGTTCTAGATACAGATAAATCTCCAAACATACTGGCCAACTTTAACATTCCTTTCTCAGTAAATGATAAAACAAATAGGAAAAAAATCAGAAGAATATAGATTTGAACAACACTATCAACCTAATTGACTCAATTGATATGTACGGAACACTACATCCAACAACAGCAGAACACATATTCTTCTCAAGTGCAGATGGAACCCCAACCAACACAGACAACTTCTGGGCAATCGAGCAAGCCTCAATAAATTACAAAGGGTCAAAATCATACAAAGTACGATTTCTGACCAAAATGATGTTGAATTAGAAATCAACAACAAAAAGACATCTAGGAATTTTCTAAATATTTTGAAATGAAAAAATATCTACTTCCAAATAACCCAAGAACCAAAGAAGAAACCACAAGTAAAATTATTGGTAGAACATATCTTTCACTGAATAGAAATGCAAATAAAATATGAAAATTTGGGAATTCAACAAAACAACTGATTAGAGGAAAAGGAACTACTTATATTAGAAAAGCAGAAAGGTCCCAAAATAATTATTTAAATTTCTACTTTAAGAAACTAGAGCCGGTCACGGTGGCTCACACCTGTAATCCCAGCACTTTGGGAGGCCGAGGCAGGCAGATCATGAGGTCAAGAGATCGAGATGATCCTGACCAACATGGTGAAACCCCATCTCTACTAAAAAATACAAAAATTAGCTGGGCGTGGTGGTGTGCACCTGTAATCCCAGCTACTCAGGAGGCTGAGGCAGAAGAATTGCTTGAATCTGGGAGGCAGAAGTTGCAGTGAGCCAAGATCACACCACTGCACTCCAGCCTGGGCAACAAGAGCAAAACTTCGTTTCAAAACAAAACAAAACAAAAAGATCAATGAAATTGATAAGCCTCTAGCCAGACTGATCAGAAAAAAAAAATGGAGAGAAGATACAAATTACCAATATGGAGAATAAGAGAGAGGGGGCATTATTACAGATCCTACAAACATAAAAAAGTGATAAGAGGATGTTGTGAAAAACTTATTCCAATACATCCAACAACTTAGATGAAATGGACAAATTCCTTGAAAGATACAAATGGTCAACGCTCATTTAGGAAAAAATAGATAACCTGATTAGCCCTGTATCTGTCAGAAGAGTTGAATTTATAACTGAAAAAATTCTCACAAAGAAAACTCCAGGTTTGTGTAAATAATACCAATTCTATACTAACTCTTCCAGAAAACAGAAAAAGAGAGAACACTTCCCAACTCGTTTTATAAAGTCAGCATTATACTCATCCCCAAACCAAAGATATTACAGAAAGGGAAAACGTAGACCAGCATCTCTCATTAATACAGATGTAAAAATGGTAAACAACAGCCAGGCACAGTGGCTCACACCTGTCATCCCAGCACTTTGGGAGGCCAAGGTGGGTGGATCAGAGGTCAAGAGATCGAGACCATCCTGGTTAACATGATGAAACCCTGTCTCTACTAAAAACACAAAAATTGGCCGGGTGTGGTGGCTCATGCCTGTAATCCCAGCACTTTGGGAGGCCGAGGCAGGTGGATCACCTGAGGTCGGGAATTCGAGACCAGCCTGACCAACATGAAGAAACCCCGTCTCTACTAAAAGTACAAAATTAGCTGGGCATGGTGGCGCTTGCCTGTAATCCCAGCTACTTGGGAGGCTGAGGCAAGAGAATCTCTTGAACCTGGGAGGCGAAGGTTGCAGTGAGCCAAGATCTCGCCATTGCACTGCAGCCTGGGCAACAAGAGTGAAACTCCGACTCAAAAAAAAAAAGAAAAAAAAGAAAAAAATTCAATACTCACTTGTGATAAAAGCTTTCAGTATACCGGGTGACAGAGTGAGAGACTATGCCTCCTCCCCACCAAAAAAAATATAAAAAAAAAAAAGAAGTTACACAAAATACTATGTACTCTTTTATTTATTTATTTATTTTTATTATTATTTTTTTTTGAGACGGAGTCTTGCTGTGTCACCCAGGCTGGAGTGCAATGGCAAGATCTCGGCTCACTGAAACCTCCGCCTCCCGGGTTCAAGCGATTCTCCAGCCTCAGCCTCTGAGTAGCTGGGATTACAGGCTTGCGCCACCACGCCCGGCTAATTTTTGAAAATACTACATACTCTATGATTCTATTTATATAAAATTCTAGAAAAGGAAAATCTATAGTGATAGATCAGTGGTTGCTAGGCTTTCAGGTAGGGGAAGAAGCTTGACTGCAAAAGGCCACGAGGGAACTTTCTGGAATGTCGAAAATATTTATTCTATGTCATGATTGTGGTTGTGGTTACACGACTGTATACATTTGTCAAATCTTACTGAACAGTACAATTACAATTAATGAATTTTACTGTATGCTAATCATACCTCAATAAAGCCGAAAAAAAAAAAAGTCATTCTGGAGGAGAGAAATCATTGCCTGCGGAGGGCCATTCCAGGGTGGTGAGTGCATGAGCACTGAAGACACCCGGAGCAGCTGCTGCAATAATCTGGGGGAGGAACGTGCAGGCAGAGAGAGCAAGAGGAAGTCAGACTGGGAAACCCCGAGGCAGTTACCCAAACAGCCCACTAACAGCAACTGCAGTCGGCCGCCTCTGGGGAGGAAAGCGGGAGGGGCCACTGCCTTTAAAAAAGAAAAAAAAAAAAAATCTCTGCAGTTTTGCCAGGGAGCCGCCTCCTGCCTGACTCTCACATGATGACCTGGAGGCCATCTATGGGTACGGCCCTCAAGCCCTCAACGCTCACCCTCCTTCTACCCCCCGCCCCTCACCCCAGCACCTGCTGGAGACCCTGGCCCTCCCTTCCACTCCGCGAGGCTCTTAATCTATCCAGTTCCATGGGCTGCCTTTCCGCAGCTATAAACAGGCTCTGTCCAGCTTTCCCAGTTATTATTCACTTAGGTGAATGGACACAATTAGATGATCATCCGCAGGCTGTCTTCCTGTCATCATTGGCACACGCACACACCCTCACACACGCACACACCCTCACACACGCACACACCCTCACACACGCGCACACCCTCACACACAACCCCCCCAACGCCACACACACACACACCACACACCCTCACACACAACCACCCACGCCACACACACACCACACACCCTCACATGCACACCCTCACACACCACACACCACACACACCCCACACACACGCCCACCCTCACATACGCACACTCTCACACACACCCTCACACACTCTCACACCCTCACACACGCACACCCTCACACACACCCTCACATTCACACAAGTACACTTGAGTTTTTATTAAATTTGTTTTTGTCCCCTTCAATCCCATCCTCCAACCCGTTGTTCCTCCCTATCTCCTGGGCTCTAGGTATTCTCCTTCGGGTCACAGTCCCTGTGAGGGCCGTTCCTGTTGACAGGCACTTGGCTCCGTCCTTCCCACTGCCCACAGGCTCCACCATCTGCACATGCACCCCTCCCACACAATCGGGGGCCTCTTTCTCCTCGTCCTTGGCTGCCTCCTCTTTGTCTTCCACCCCTTACAAATCCTTCAGGGCCCTTTAAATGCCTTTTCCACCTGCCTGCTCCCTCTAGCCCCGCTGCCCAGTGTTAAGTGGGTCGCACCATTTCTCTCCTGGGTGACAGGCACAGCTTCCACCAGCCTCCCTGCCTCCACTCTTCTCTGCAGAAGCCCATGTGCTCCTGGGGCAGAGCCCAGGTCCTTCCATCTCTGCAGCCACAGTGCTAGGCCAGCGGCACTTGCAGTTTGGTGAATGGAAGGTTCTGATCATGGGGAACCGGTAGATAGAGAGGGACAAACAGTGTCCCCCCAATCTGCCTCCTGTCCTCTTCTGCCCAGACACTAGGCTGGAAGATCAGGAGCCACACCTTGGCACTCACAGAGCCCTTTCTGCAAGTCTTAGAGGGACCAGTGGGAGGTGTGCACACAGGGGCTGCGCTGGCAGGAGTGGGGGCCTGGCACACCCCCAGGTAGATGCCCTGCCCGTTAACGCCCAAGGGCAGGGGCTTGAGTGACTCATGTGGGCCTAGCGTGAATCAGCACAGTCTGCCCTTCTTCCCATGGGAGCTGCTGCCCAGCCCCATCTTTCTTGGCCCCCGAGGGGTGGCTGCCCAGGGCCTCTCTCCTGGCACAGTTCCATGTAGTGCCTGCCCATGTGGCTCCCAGTTCCTCCCCGGGGTCCTGGCTGAGCAGAATGGCACTGGATCCTGATCTGGCTTCTTGCATCCCAGAGGAGACCGCCATGCGGGCCCTTCCTCCAGATTCTTCCCTAGTTTAACAACAGGAAGCGAGGAGTCCAGGGGGGCAGAGATTGCCACGGGCCTGGCCACATTGCTAGGGGAGGTCCCAACCTGCTGCTGAGATCCGGCACTGCACAGCCTCGTTCAGGCAGAGAAACTGATAAGGAGATGGTTGTCTGCTCACCCCAAAAGGTTAGCATGGATTCCTCGCCCTAGCCGGCTTTAGACGGAGGGAACAAAGGCTTTCCCAAGGCCCTGCCAGTCCCCACCCCTGCCCATCTTACCACCGTAGTCTCCCTCAATCATCAAGTCCCATTGCACAGAAGGGGAAGCTGAGGTGCCAAGAGCTGGCGTGGCCTGTTCAAGGTCACACTACTGGGCAGGGGCCAAGCAGGGGCTGGAGCCTTGCTTTCCTATTCCCCAGCCAGGGTCCCCAAATTCTCTGCCAGTTGAGGGAAGCCATCTCCTATTCCACTGATCTGGGTGGCATTAGGAAGGCCTTTTCTATGCTCCTAGATTAGTGACAGCATGCGGTTATTGGGGACAGCATGAGGATGTGCATGCGCTGAGGAGATGCAGCTGAAGCGTCAGGCCTGGGGTGCCAGCACTCTGCAGCCTGCCCCCAAGGGGCTCTGCAAAAACATGGCAAAGATGCGGGGTGTGATGTGCACCTGTGTGTGCTGCGGGTGTGTGCGTGTGTGGTGTTGGCTGTGCGTATGTGGTGTGTATGGCTGTGTGGTGGGTACATGTGTGGGTGTGTGGCGTATGGGAGTGTGTGATGTGTGCATGTGTGTGGTGTGTAATATATGTGTGCATGGTGTGGTGTGTGTGTGGTGTGGCGTATGGGTGTGTGGTGGGTGCATGTGTGTGTGGCGTGTGGCTGTGTGCATGTATGTATGTGGTGTGGTGTGTGCGCTGTCTCTGGAAAATGCCCACCCTGTGTTCCCACCACCCTAACAGGGCCGGGAGGGGCCAGGGTGCTGCCAGGCTCTCTGGGCAGGAAGAGGAGGCCTTGGCCGCGGGCCGGACTTGGGCCTGGTCCGTGAGGCTGTTTTGGTCTCTGGCTTCACAGGCAACAGAGAAGACAGACAAACAGGAAGAAAGCAGCTGCCTTGGGCTGGGCTGGGCTGGGCTGGCCTCGGCTGAGCCAAGCCAGGCCTGGGTGCGGGGGGAGTGGAAAGAGAACTACTGGGATGGGGGCTGGAGGGGGTGTGGGGACAGGGGAAGGAGAGAGGTGTTGGGGGAGGGAGGAGGAGGGCTCAGGTACAGGGAAGGTGCGTCCATACTCATGGTATGTTCAAGAACATGAGCGAGCGTCTCTGTGTTGTGTGTTTGTGGCTGTGTGGCTGTATCATGTGAGGTTGTGTGTGGTGGGAGGGAGCCCGTGAGCACACGGAGGTCCCCAGCCCCTCTTCCTAGGACAGGTAGTTGCAGGTGGGGCAGGAGGAAGAGGGTGGGGGTGTCCCTGGATCTCACAGGGGTTCGTGAAGCCTGGCTTGGCCCCTGCCCCACTCCTCCCTTTCCTGTCCCTCGTCTCCGGCCAACTGGGCCCTAACTGGGGAGGAGGAGGGGCCTGCGTGGGCCTGGGAGGGGCCCAGCGAAAGTGTTTTCACCCCTTCCTTGCCTGGGCCCAGCGAGGAGCAGGAGGACCCCAACTTGGGAAGGGGGCGTGAAGCTCCCATGAAAAAGCAGCGCAGTCCTGGGCCAGACCCACCGCTCTCTGGCCTCAGTTTCCCCACTTATAAAATGGGAATGCTGAACTAAGTGACCTCCCAGAGCACTGCCAACCCAGACAATCCAACCAGGGGGGCGTGGTAGGGTGAGGGTGGGCGTGGAGGCTATGGCAGTGGGAGGAGGGAGTCCTGGGCCGGGACCAGGGAGGCCCTGGGGAAAGGAAGGGAAACAGGAGGCCAGGGGAGGCCTGGGGGAAAGGGGGAGGGGGAGGAAGTCCCCTCCTGGCCAGGTCACTCCCAGAGGCTGGGCTGGGCCAGGGCAGGGCAGCCGATGGAGAGCAGATCTGAGCACCCAGCCACCTTCACGCCACCGCCCAGCTGCCCAGGAGCCCAGCCAGGTAAGGGGCTGCGCCTGCCTGCCCCCCTGCCCAGTCCCCAGCCCTCGGATGGTGGCCTCTCTCGGCCTCGGTTGGGGCAGGGGAGTTCTGCGTGTCTGTCTGGGGTGCCCACTCCCAAACCCGGGACTCATGGGCTGCCTGGGGGATCCTGGGTTCTGTGCATCCGTCTGTCTGACCATCCCTCTCAATCTTCCCTGCCCAGGACTGGCCATACTGCCACCGACACGTGCACACACGCCAACAGGCATCTGCCATGCTGGCATCTCTATAAGGGCTCCAGTCCAGAGACCCTGGGCCATTGAACTTGCTCCTCAGGCAGAGGCTGAGTCCGCACATCACCTCCAGGCCCTCAGAACACCTGCCCCAGCCCCACCATGCTCATGGCGTCCACCACTTCCGGTAAGGCTTGCCCCTCCATGAGTCCGGTGGGCAGAGTGGGTTTGACGATTCAGGGAAGCCCCTCTTTCTAAAGACCTCCTTCACCCTCACCTCTGGGTGTGTCTCTCCAGGCTGCCAATGAGTGGGGAGGGGAGCACAGCCCCACTTCCCCGCCAGGGCTGGGGCTGGGGCTGGGGCTGGGGCTGCCCTTCCTTCTGGACTGCATGAGCCTGGGGTGTGTATCCCTCATAACATGGCTTTCCTGGAGTCCCCTCTGCTAGGAGCCAGGAAGTGGGTGTCCGGATGGGGGCACGGGAGGCAGGCCTGAGTCCCCCTGCACAGCACCCTCTCTAACCAGGCCCTCTTCCCGACTCCTTCCCAGCTGTGCCTGGGCATCCCTCTCTGCCCAGCCTGCCCAGCAACAGCAGCCAGGAGAGGCCACTGGACACCCGGGACCCGCTGCTAGCCCGGGCGGAGCTGGCGCTGCTCTCCATAGTCTTTGTGGCTGTGGCCCTGAGCAATGGCCTGGTGCTGGCGGCCCTAGCTCGGCGGGGCCGGCGGGGCCACTGGGCACCCATACACGTCTTCATTGGCCACTTGTGCCTGGCCGACCTGGCCGTGGCTCTGTTCCAAGTGCTGCCCCAGCTGGCCTGGAAGGCCACCGACCGCTTCCGTGGGCCAGATGCCCTGTGTCGGGCCGTGAAGTATCTGCAGATGGTGGGCATGTATGCCTCCTCCTACATGATCCTGGCCATGACGCTGGACCGCCACCGTGCCATCTGCCGTCCCATGCTGGCGTACCGCCATGGAAGTGGGGCTCACTGGAACCGGCCGGTGCTAGTGGCTTGGGCCTTCTCGCTCCTTCTCAGCCTGCCCCAGCTCTTCATCTTCGCCCAGCGCAACGTGGAAGGTGGCAGCGGGGTCACTGACTGCTGGGCCTGCTTTGCGGAGCCCTGGGGCCGTCGCACCTATGTCACCTGGATTGCCCTGATGGTGTTCGTGGCACCTACCCTGGGTATCGCCGCCTGCCAGGTGCTCATCTTCCGGGAGATTCATGCCAGTCTGGTGCCAGGGCCATCAGAGAGGCCTGGGGGGCGCCGCAGGGGACGCCGGACAGGCAGCCCCGGTGAGGGAGCCCACGTGTCAGCAGCTGTGGCCAAGACTGTGAGGATGACGCTAGTGATTGTGGTCGTCTATGTGCTGTGCTGGGCACCCTTCTTCCTGGTGCAGCTGTGGGCCGCGTGGGACCCGGAGGCACCTCTGGAAGGTGGGTGTAGCCGTGGCTAGGGCTGACGGGGCCACTTGGGCTTGGCCGCATGCCCCTGTGCCCCACCAGCCATCCTGAACCCAACCTAGATCCTCCACCTCCACAGGGGCGCCCTTTGTGCTACTCATGTTGCTGGCCAGCCTCAACAGCTGCACCAACCCCTGGATCTATGCATCTTTCAGCAGCAGCGTGTCCTCAGAGCTGCGAAGCTTGCTCTGCTGTGCCCGGGGACGCACCCCACCCAGCCTGGGTCCCCAAGATGAGTCCTGCACCACCGCCAGCTCCTCCCTGGCCAAGGACACTTCATCGTGAGGAGCTGTTGGGTGTCTTGCCTCTAGAGGCTTTGAGAAGCTCAGCTGCCTTCCTGGGGCTGGTCCTGGGAGCCACTGGGAGGGGGACCCGTGGAGAATTGGCCAGAGCCTGTGGCCCCGAGGCTGGGACACTGTGTGGCCCTGGACAAGCCACAGCCCCTGCCTGGGTCTCCACATCCCCAGCTGTATGAGGAGAGCTTCAGGCCCCAGGACTGTGGGGGCCCCTCAGGTCAGCTCACTGAGCTGGGTGTAGGAGGGGCTGCAGCAGAGGCCTGAGGAGTGGCAGGAAAGAGGGAGCAGGTGCCCCCAGGTGAGACAGCGGTCCCAGGGGCCTGAAAAGGAAGGACCAGGCTGGGGCCAGGGGACCTTCCTGTCTCCGCCTTTCTAATCCCTCCCTCCTCATTCTCTCCCTAATAAAAATTGGAGCTCATTTTCCACATGGCAAGGGGTCTCCTTGGATCCGGGTAACGGTGGGTGTGGAGGCAGCACAGAGACATACACAGACTCCCCACACACACCCACAGTCACGTGCACAGCTCTGGAATCCATGGCGCAGGCAGCCAAGTCTTCAAAGCTGCAGGACCCCTGGGGAAGCTGTTCTCACCTCCAGCACCCACCTGCCCACCCGAGACAGAGAGCTGGCTCCCATCGGGGAATCAACACGAGGTCTTTATGAATCGCCACCCAGCCCTGCCAGGCATCTGAGCAAGGGTACCCGCCACCCAGCAGCCACTGATCAGCCTTCCACAAAGCTGCAGAAGAGGGCTTTCCCCAGCATCCTTCCTCAGCTGCCTCCAAAAGGGGCCTGGGCCAGGGCTGAGGGGCAGGCAGGATGTGGAGCGGGCATCCCTGTGTGCACGGCCCCATCCCACCTCTCTGCACAGGGTGAAGTGCAGGCACCCTGCACTTGCTGGACAGGGCTGGAGAGAAGCAAGGGGGCTGGGGAGAGTGGCCGGTCCAGCGGGTAGCCGCCGGGGGCACGCATCTCCAGCAGCGGCACCTCAGTGTGGCTTGGGGGTCGTGTCTAGGCCCTGGGGGTGGGAAGCTGAGGGTGAGGCTGGGGCCCCAGGGCCCCGGGAGAAGCCTTTGTTCCTGCCCAGGCGGCTGCTGGGCGGGGCCTTTGGGCTTCGGGGCCCAGGACTGGGAGAGGTGGTAGATGCTGGCCCAAGGCCCTGGCGGACAGAGGTCTTTCCCAAGAGCTCCTTAAACACAGAGTCCATGTTCTGTGCCACAGCCTAGCGGAGGGGAAAGAAAGGGAGAGTGACCAGTGAGTTCCCCCGACTGACCCTGCCCAAGACCCACCTGAGTTCCTCCCACTCCCAAAGCAAGCCCTCAGCCAACATCCCCAGTCCCTCAGCCTCCAGGTCACTCTCCCCCACTTTGCACCTGGCATCCCTCCTGTCCCTGTTGGTGTCTCTGTCACAGTCTCCTCTGAGGACAGCAATTCCTTGGTTTAGCCCGGAAGTGGGGACCCCCCTCTTCTCGCCCCCACTCTTTCCCTGGCAGAGATCACAGCCCCCTGCCCATGGCCTCAGGGACCGCCAGCGTGCGGGGACTCCCCAGTCAATGTCCTCCCATGGCGTCTCCTGGCTGCCCTGTCCCTGGCTCCCGCTCCTGCTCCTCCGTGTCTACCGGACCCTCCCTGGGCTCCCTGGGCCTGGGGGCTTGGCCACACCTGGGACACCCGCATGTTCTTGGGCTCTCTCCTCCTTGGGCTTAGCAACTGTCCCGCGGGCTTCCACGTTCAGCCCGACAGTGTTCACAGGGCCCATGGTACAGAGCACGGAGCAGGGTCCCCCAGGTTGTGCGCTTGCCAGGGCCACATCTTGAGCCTTCGCTCTGCTCCTTCGAGAGCCGCTGCTGCCCCACCCCAATCCCCAACCAGCCACCCCCTCCTGCCTCCCTGCCATCTGTCCCTTTCATCCTCCCTGGCGTGCCAAGCGCCTGCCATGGCACCGCCTGTTACCTAGCCCAGCTACAAATGCCAGCCTTGAATCTGCCCTGGAGTCCCTTGCCTCTACCAGGTAAACAGCCTTAACTCAGCCCTGCCACTCCCTGCTCTGAAGCTGAACATGAATCCCAACGTGCAAGCCAGGTGTCTTCTGTCCCTCTCATCCCTGCCTCCGTAGCCGTCCCTCTCCATCCCCACCCGCCCTCACATCTTTGCCTTCCTGCCCTCCACAGGCTCTGCCTTGGGCCTGTGTGTCTGGCGGCAGGTTCCCTTGAGCTAAGGCCAGGGAGGGCAACGACTGGAACCTCGAGGAGGGAGGAGTTTGGCTTCCAAGGGGAGGCAGAGATCCCCCAGGACAGATGTCCCTCACCTGCCACACACCCACTCTCACCTTATCCACCTCCACGTGTTGCTCTGGGGAGGCTGGGACCAAGCAGCGTCGTCTGTGTCCAGAGGGTCCCATGGCCTCAGGTGAGGTGCATGGCTCTGGCCTGCAGGACAGACAGGGAGCCTGGTGGGGGCCCTGGGAAGTCCCTGAGCTAGCTGGGCAGTGGCTCCTCCCATCCTGGGGTGTGGCCAAGGAAAGGAGGCTGGCCCAGTGGTCCCCAAGCTCCTCTAGAGCCTCTCCCTGTCACAAGCTGGGTCATTCTGTCACGTCCTCATCTGCCAACTCCTCCCACTCCCACTGGCCAAAGCCTGACCCCAGTCCCCTCTGGCCTAGAACAGCACACGTGTGGCCCCCTGAGCCCCGTCTTCTTGCTCACCGGTGGACCAGCTCCGATGCCAGGAGGCCCTCGGGACTGCTCCCAGACTCCCCTGCAGTCTGCAGCCCTGCGCCCACCACCTGCTTCTCCGTCCTGCGGTGGGAAGGACCGGCCTGTTTCGAGTGCTCCTTCCCTGCACGGGGTCCAGGGCCAGCAGCTCCGCGCCAGCCAGGAGTGGTCAGAGAGGCTCTGTTCTCTGGCCCAGCCCAGACCTTCAGAATCTAACTTGGGGTCGGGGGAGGGGTGGATGAAGGGGAGACTCCGGGAGCCCTGGGGCCTGAGGGCGCGGCTCACTCACCCGGCGGGCAGCGTGATATACTTGTGGGGGATGAGGCCCCGCATGCCGTTGTGCTCCCCCCGCCACCAGTCGCTCGAGGCCCTCTCGTGCAGCCGCAGTACGTCCCCCCGCCGGAAGCTCAGCTCCTGGGCTGTGCGGCCCGTGTAGGCAAAGCAGGCCACAGCCTCCACGACCCCCTCCAGGTCTGGGGAGGAGAGGGGGTCCAAGCTGTGGGAGGGGGTGTGGACACTAGGGTGGGGACAGGGTGGGGCTCTCTGCCCATCGCCCTCACCATCCTCCTGTGCGGGCATCTCGGCTTCCAGCTCCGGCTCATTGTCCGCCCCCAGGCTCTCCAGCTGGGCGTCCCTGAGGTTCAGGGCAGAGCGAGGCAGATGAGGGGGGCTCTTCTCCAGTGGACCCCCCAGTCCCCTCGGCAGCACCAAGGGTGTACCCCAGGCAGCTGGCGGAAGGCGGTGCCATGCACTTCTCGTAGACGGGGCCAGGCAGCGAGGTCAGGGGCGGGAAGACCCGATCGGGCTGCACTATGAGCGTCTGCACCAGCTGGTTCACCCGGCCCTGCAGCGCCACCGGGTCCTGCCCAGCGGGCACCGGTAGCAGCGTGGGCCCGAAGCACACGGCCAGGTTGTAGGGGTCCATCATGTTCTCATCGCTGTACTGGGCCAGGCTGGGGGGACACGCACATCACAAGCAGAGAGCCCGCACCCCGAGTCCCCCTGTCCCCTCGACCCCTGGCCCCCACCCCAGCACTCGCCCCGCAGCACTCACTGGTTGAGGAAGGTGAAGAGGTAGCGCAGAACCACCAGCACCGGCGCGGGCAGCCGCCACAGCAGGCGGCTCACGTGCTCCACCCTCTCCGCTGTGGCCTCCAGCTCTGTGGCCAAAGCCGCCCAGAGAGAGCCGCGTGAGCGGGGCTGCCCCAGCAAGTGCCCTACCCCGCCAGCCTCAGGCCCCAGCCTCACCCGAAGAAGCCAGCAGCTCGCCGAACAGGTCTGGGGGGAAGAGTGGGGGCTCCAGGCTCCGGAAGTAGAGCTTCAGCACCCCGGCCACCGAGTCCAGGTCATGGGCAGTGCAGCCCTCCACCAGTGGGTCCTCCCCTGCAGATGGGCGAGTGGTGCGGTAGGGGGAGGAAGCTGGTGACATCTGCCCGAGCCCCCACCCCCGCCCGCCCTGCCCGTCCCCACCTCTCTCGAAGGCATCACGGATCTCTGAGACCCGGAGCTGGGCACCCGATACCCGGAAGATGCCTTCATGCTGCAGGCCTGTGGGAGGACAAGGAGCTGGTGGGCACTGAGCATCTTCCCCAGCCCCTCCAGGATGGCCTCCCATGCCAGGTGCTGGGAACTGGGTGCTGGGTGCCAGGACATCGGGAGGGGCTGGGTCCTGCTTACCATTGAGGTTGATGAAGCGAATGCAGCTCTCCACCACCAGGGGCACAGGCTGGCCTGAGCTCTGGGGACAGAGGGTGTTTACTTCACCATGGACACAGCATGCCCTGTGTTGTCATTCAATTGCTTTTTTTTTTTTTTTTTTTTTTTGAGACAAGGTCTCACTCTGTCACCCAGGCTGAAGTGCACTGGCGTGATCTCGGCTCACTGTAGCCTCAGCTTCCTGGGCTCAAGTGATACTCCTGCCTCAAGCTCCCCAATGGTGGGATTACAGGCATGAGCCACCGCACCAGGCTGAGTGCTTTTATTTTCTCTGAAGAACACATCATCGTTGTCGGCACAGAGGCTTAGCACACCGTTTGTTAGATCCACTCGTAGGTGTCTGATATTTTTGATGAGGTTTTAGGCAGTGCCTTACGTTGTATTTGCAAATTGTTGCTGGAATATACAAATGCAATTGAATTCTGTACACCAATCTTGAATCAAGTAACATTTCAAAACTCAAGCTGGGTGTGGTGGCTCATGCCTGTAATCCCAGCACTTTGGGAGGCCAAGGGAGGAGGATCACCTGAGGTCAGAAGTTCGAGACCAACCTGACCAACACGGTGAAACCTCACCTCTACTAAAAATATAAAAATTAGCCAGGTGTGATGGTGCACACAGCTACTTGGGAGGCTGAGGCATGAGAATCGCTTGAACCCCAGCAGGTGGGAGGTGAAGGTTGCAGGGAGCTGAGATCGTGCCACTGCACTCCAGCCTGGGCAACAGTGCAAGAACCAGTCTCAACAAATAAAAAAAAAAAAAAAAAGAAAGAAACTCAAAGTGCTCGTTTAAAGAATCTGTTGATTCTTTTGAATATGCTACACGCATAACCACATCACTGAAAATGACGATATCAGTTCTGATCTTCTGGTATTCTCCATGCCTGGCCCTCTCTGATGCTTGCTTGCTTCTTTTCTTTTCTTTCTCTCTCTTTTCCTTCCTTCCTTCTTTCCTTCCCTCTCTCTCTCTCTCTTTCTTTCTTTCACTGGGATTACAGGCACGTGCCACCATGCCTGGCTAATTTTTGTATTTTTAGTAGAGACGGGGTTTCACCATGTTGCCCAGGCTGGTCTCGAACACCTGGGCTGAAGGGATCTGCCCACCTCAGCCTCCCAAAGAGCTGGGATTACAGGTGTGAGCCACCGTGCCTGGCCCCCTCTGATGCTTTCTGATCTCAGTATTAGTTTTCTGATCTTTCTTGCTTCCCCTTATTTCACTGTCCAGGACCCCCAGTACCATGCTGGCCAGAAGTCGCAGGGGAGAAGCTCTCAATATCTCGCCCCTAAAAATGCCGCTGCCCCAGGTTTTCTATACGTTCCCATTACTAGTTAAGGATGCTCCCTTCAATCAGCGGAGGCTATAGGGGAGCCCAACAGTGGCCTGGAAGAGGCCCACCCAGAAAAGGACAGTTGATGACTGATTGAGAGTGGAGGACCCTGGGATCAGGCAGCTGCTCCGGCCACTGAGGTGACCCAGAGCTGAAGAAAGATCAGCATGTACAGGTGGGCTGGCATGTGGGGCAAAGCTAGTACCTGGATAAACTTCTCCATGTCTCCCCCAAAGAGTCTCTGGTTATACTGGGAGCTGGGGCGGGGCTGGCGGCTCTTCTGGAATTTTCTCTGTGTGTACTGGGTCCTGCAGTGAATGGGAGCTGGCTCTGAGGGGGCCAGGTGTGGAGAATAGGGTGCCCCACCCCCCAGGCCAGCCAAGCCGGCCTCTAATTCTCTGAAGTTATTCCACAATCCAGTGCGAAAACTGGGGAAGTGAGGCCCAGGGGATTGGGCAGCTGAGCTGGGCCCCAGGAAGAGAAGAGATGGCGGACCGTCGCAGGGCCCCAGCCCTCAGGGAGGACTCACCAAGACACCTCCTGCTCCTCCTTGTCACCTGTGGGGTGGGAGAACATTGGTCTGCCTCTCGGGCCAGGGGTCTTCAAGGCATCCCAGAGAGAAAGGTGTGGATAAGAGCCAAGGACAGGCGGGAGGGGAGGACCGTGGGCTAGACAGGGTCCTGGGCAGGGGAGAGGCGGGGAAGGGGGCAGCACTGGGCCCACCTCGCTGAAGGGCCTCCTGCAGCTTCTCGTGCTTGGCCTGCAGCTTGGCGAGGATGCTCCGTCCACTCAGATACTCCTGGAGCTTCTGGGCAGCCCCAAGAAGAGCCCCAAGTGTTAGCCCTGGCTTGAGCCCCTCCCTCTGCCCCAGCAATGCCCCCACGGGTCCCGCCCACCAGCCCAGCCCTCCCCACCGTGAGGTAGAAGGTTTCGGTCTCCTGCTGCTGGCCGCGCCTCCGGCCCGCCTGCCGGCTGCCTGGGTCTGAGCTGGTGGACTTGAGGGACTCGGTGGAGGGGCTGGTCTGGAAGGAATCAAGCACATCCCCGTCATCCGAGGCCACCACCTCCAGCAGGGCCTGCAGTGTCGCCTTCAGAGTCTTGTTCACCTGCAGAGGAGACCACACCAGGGTGGTAAGAGGTGGGGGACAGGGAGGGAGACAGGAAGTCCAAGTCAGAAGGAAGGGGCCAAAGGGAGGGGGGCAGGCAGGGCAGCCACTTCCAACAGCAGGCTGTACAGGCTCCAGGCCCTCGTCTCCCTCTAACCCCCGGTGGGCTGCCCAGACCTCCTCTGTCTCAATGGTCTGTCGGTCCAGGCGGCTCTGGATGTTCTGGGCTCTGGGCAGAATCTCGTCCCGCAGCTCCATTTCAACGCAGATCTCAGCCACCTGCAGAGGGCGGCGGCCAGGGGGCTAAGGGCTGGGCTTGGGCAGTAGGTGCCAAGATCCCCGGGGCATAAGGGAAGCAAGCACCCTTTTGTGGCCTGGCGGCCGGGCACAGGACCACCAGCCCAGACGCTCAGCTGAAGAATGGCAGGAGTGAACACACGTGTCCAAACCAAGACTTGTCCACAGAGGTTCGTGGCGGCACCACTCATCCAACTGACGGATGGCTAAACTCAGCGCGGTCTACCCACAGAATGGAAGAGGATTCAGCCACGAGAAGGAATGAATCCACTTATGTGAAGTGTCCAGCCAGGCAAATCCATAGAGACAGGAAGCAGAGTGGGTGCCAGCTGGAGCAGTGGGGTGCCAGTGGGGCTGGAGAGGAGAACGGGGAGTAGTGGCTCCTTTAGGGGTGACAAAAATGTTCTGGAATTACATGGTGATGGCTGCACAACCACCAAATTGTACACTTTACAGTGCTGAATTTTATGGTATATGAATCGTACCTTAATAAAACTCTATTTAAAACAGAATGGTGGCCCGGCGCAGTGGCTCACGCCTCTAATCCAAGCACTTTGGGAGGCTGAGGCGGATGGATTATCTGAACTCAGGAGTTGGAGACCAGCCTGGCCAACACGGTGAAACCCTGTCTCCGCTAAAAATACAAAAAATTAACTGGGCACGGTGGCATGCGCCTGTAGTCCCAGCTACTTGGGAGGCTGAGGCAGGGGAATCGCTTGAACCCGGGAGGCGGAGGTTGCAGTGAGCCAAGATGGAGCCATTGCACTCCAGCCTGGGCGACAGAGCGAGACGCCATCTCAAAATAAAATAAAATGAAATAGAATGGTAAGGAAGACTGGGGTCTGAGACAGAACAGGGAGAGCCCAGCCCCACCTCTTCCAGGGAAAGGAGTGGACGGAAAAACTGCTCACTGTAACTGGGCAGACATAAATTTCCCTGTGGCAAGATGAGAGCAGCTTGCCTCATGGGCAGAGTGGGAGCCAACGCTTTAGAAAGGAAGGAATTACTCTTTTAAGCATGTAGACATCTAGAAAATTGACATTACAGTTAAAATTGAGAGTGAGGATTCAGCTGTGGCTAAACACTTGCCCTGCTCTCCATCTCCACCAAGCCCCGCCGTACAGGACTGCATGAAGGCGCAAGTCACAGAGTAGAAAGTAAGGCCATTTTGAGATGGGCTCCAACATGGCTGACCCTTGAGGACATGGGACTCAGTGAAAGGAGCCAGTCACAGAAAGGCCCGCACTGTAGGATTCCACTCCTGTGAGGGGCCTCAAAGGAGAGCCGTGAACTCTGTAGAGACGGACAGTGGAAGGGTGGGTGCCAGGGCTGGGGGGTGGGGAGTTGGGGTTGAACGGGGCCAGAGCTTCAGTTTGGGAAGATGAACAAGTTCTGCGGCTGGATGGTGGTGATGGCTGCACAGCACCGTGAATGTGCTTCTGCCCCTGGGCCGCACACTTACAAATGGTGAACGTGGTATGTTTTATGCTATGTGTATTCTGCCACACCTTTTTTTAAAAGTCCATCTAGGCTGGACTGGCTCACACCTGCAATCCCAGCACTTTGGGAGGCCGAGGCGGGTGGATCACTTGAGCCCAGGAGTTTGAGACCAGCCTTGGCAATATGGTAAAACCCTGACTCTACCAAAAATACAAAAATTACCCTGTCTCATAACCTGGTCTCAAAATAAATAAATAAATAAGTAGGTTAAAAATAATTGTTTTTAAAGTACAAATCTTAGCCACGCATGGTGGCATGCACCTATAGTCCCAGCTACTCAGGAGGAGGCTCAGGCAGGAGGATGGCTTGAGCCCAGGAGTTGGAGGCTGCAGTGAGCTATGATCACACCACTGTACTCCAGCCTGGACAACAGAGCCAGACCCTCTCTCTAGAGAAAAAATAAGTGTATGCATACTCTGGGGAACATTGAAATTTTATCCCTCCTCTAAACTCACACGATCAGCAGAAAACTAACAATTTGCTCTCTGGAAAGGATATAGCAGGGATTTTGGACTCAGGGACACTGGTCCCAGATGAGGAAGATGAGAGAACACAGCAGCCCCACCATCGGAAGCTGGCCTGGTCCTATCAGCCCGGCCTCAGTGCTGTCCTGCTGAACACCGGAAATGACCCAGAGCATCAACATCAGGCAAGGCCACTGTGTGACCTTGATGGGCGAAGACAGAAACAAGACCACTCTGCGATCACGCATGAGTGAGGACAAAATCAAGAACTTCTTCCGAGCCACAAAATCATCCCTCCATCCTGGCTAATGTAAGTGACTGTCACTTCCTTGCATCACTTCAGCCTCCATCACTGTCTCTTTCTAGATAAGATTAATCAAGACATCCAATCATACAATTACCCTGCTTCCAGAAGGCATCCAATCCAGGACCAAGCCCCACTTACCTGGGCCCTCCCCCAGATCCCCTAAGGCAAGCCCAAGTCCTCTAAGGCCTTTCCACTACCCTCTCACTGAGAGGCCCCAGGCTCCCCACGGAGCAGGGCTCCCTCCAGCAATGGAGATTATAGGGCTGTTCCTGCTAGGCTTTGGCTGGAGGGTGTGGAACTAAAACCAGGTAGTTCCAAGGAAATCCACACAGCAGAGTGAGCCCCCAGCCCTCTCACCCCCTCTCCTCCCTAGACAGGGTCAGAAGAGTTTCTACTGGGGAAACTGGCCGGGCCAGGAGGAAACACCACAGACACCCACATTTGTGGGGTATGTGTTCAGGCCTCTTCTTAAATATGAACTGATGGCCAAGAATCACCAAACAGACACGATCAGCAGAAAACTAACTATTTGCTCTCTGGAAAGGATATAGCAGGGATTTTGGACTCACGAACAAAAGCAAGAAAATAGAGCAAATGCAGGAACAGGAGAAAACAAAAAACATTTCAGGCCGGGCATGGTGGCTCACGCCTGTAATCCCAGCACTTTGGGAGGCTGAGGCAAGCAGATCACCTGAAGTCAGGAGTTCGAGACAAGCCTGGCCAACATGGTGAAACCCTGTCTCTACTAAAAAATAAAAATAAAAGGGTCGGGCACGGTGGCCCACACCTGTAATCCCAGCACTTTGGGAGGCCGAGGCAGGCGGATCACCTGAGGTCAGGAGTTCAAGACCAGCCTGGACAATATGGTGAAACCCTGTCTCTACTTAAAATACAAAAATCAGCCAGGCGTGGTGGCGGGCACCTGTAGTCCCAGCTACTCAGGAGGCTGAGGCAGGAGAATTGCTTGAACCTGGGAGGCAGAGGTTGCAGTGAGCCGACATTGCGCCACTGCACTCTAGCCTGGGCGACAGAGAAAGAGTCTGTCTCAAAAAATAAATAAATAAAATAAATTAAATTTAAAAAATTAAAAAATTAGCCAGGTGTGGTGGCAAGTGCCTGTAATTCCAGCTACTCGGGAGGCTGAGGCAGGAGAATCACTTGAACCCAGGAGGCGAAGTTTGCAGTGGGTCAAGATCGTGCCACTGCACTCCAGCCTGGGCGACAAGGGGGAAACTCCATCTCAAAAAAAATAAAAGCTTCAGAAAGATTCAAGAAGTACTGTATTCATGAAATAAGAATAAAGGGTTGGCCGGGCACAGTGGCACACCTGTAATCCCAGCACTTTGGGAGGCCGAGGCAGGCCAATTGCTTGAGCCCAGGAGTTTGAGACCAGCCTGGGCAACATGGTGAAACTCCCTTGCTACAAAATATAGAAAAATTAGCCTGGCGTTGTAGTGCAGGCCTGTAGTCCCAGCTACTTGGGAAGCTGAGATGGGAGGACCAGAAGGTTGCATCTGCAGTGAGCTGAGATCACATCACACCCCTGCACTCCAGCCGAGGGGACAGAGTGAGACCCTGTTTCAAAAACAAAACACAACAAAACAAAACAAAGAATACAGACATTTTCAGATGTGCAAAGTCAGGAAACCCTTGGTGAAGGTGTCACCAAAATAAGGGTATCAAACTAAGAAAGCTGCTGCCGTGGAATCCGGAAACAGAGCACTGGGCAGAAGTGAAGCACTCCAGACTGGAAGGCTCTGGGGGAGGGCGCAGAGGAGAAGGTTGACCTCACAGGTGCCTGGTGTGGAGGACAGTGCTGGGACGAGGTAGCGATCAACTCCTAGCAATGGGCATGTTCTAGCAAGCAGCATTCCTGAGGCAAGAGAGTTATAAATTCCAGAAGAAAAGGAAAAATTGTCCAAGGAAGGACATGTGATCCTAATACAGTACATGGCTCAGCTGCCAACAGTACCTGTTGTCATGGTGATTTAAACATTGAATGTTAATTTAGCCAAAAATTCTGGGATAAGCCCACTGGGAGAACAAGATGCAGGGAAGCGTGTGGTGGCTGTGAGAGATGCTGGTGGCACTGGGTCATCATTGGCCAATGGAAAATGGCTGCTTGACACCGGGAGGTGGGTGGCTGTTTCTGGGGGTGGGAGCTGGGAACGGGAGGGGTGGGTTAGGGAGCAGCTGTGACGCCATCGGAAGCCCTGGTGATGCCGGACTCTTCGTAAAGTTCCAAGTCGGCCCGAAAGGGGCCCAATGTAATCCCAGATCATTGACAATGCCCATCAGGATAAACTGCTGCAGGAAAAACTAGCTCGACGGAGAAGGATAAAGAAGCCCCATTCCATCTTACTGCCAAGTTTGTGTCACGAAATTTAAAAACACAGAGAAACCAGCCTAGAACAATGTATGGGCAGCTACACGGCTGCCTGCTGCACGGTTTGAACAGTTAGTGTCTTGCCCTCCTTGGCCATTGCGGGGGTGCACCCTTGGAGTGAGGCTGCAAATGGAAGTGGGACACTTCTCTAGCTGCCGCACTGCCTGAGACCATGGAGAACTTGGATTCCTGAGCAAAGTGTGGGTCATGCCACTCCACTGCCCACCATTACAGTGAAGGCCAGAGAATGCCAAGCCCAGCAGGGGGTGACCCTCACCTCATCCCCATCATGGGGGTGGTAGTCAAAGCGCAGCGGGGGACAGAAGACGGTAGCATGCACCTCGAGAACCTTGGCTTTGTCCCCTGGAGGATCCAGGGCCTCCACAGCTTCTTCCAGGCTGCCCAGGCCCTGCACTTGGGAGGCTTGGGTGCGGCTCTCAGCGGCCGTGTAGCTCCGGAGCACCTGCCCCAGGGCCAGGTGGAACCCTGTGTCACAGCACTGAGGAGGAAACAAGGAGATGCTTGGGTAGGTCCTGGAGCCACAGCTTCCCAGCCCCGAGGCACCAGGCACCTTTTCCCACCTGCCCACCAAGGACTCACGTCCATGAGGTCCAAGACGTCATGCAGGTAGTAGTTACTGACAGCAGCGTTGACACTAGCCAGGCTAAGCAGGTACTCGTTGCGCGCCTTTGTGCACTTGAGTTTGTGCTCCATGAACTTGGCCTGCCGCTACTCAAGACAATGCAAGCGTGCCAGGGTCACGCACGTGGCCAGCCCCTATCTCTAGCCTTTCATGTAATGCCCATCGCCTCCCCTCCCACTGTGGACAACTACACCTGAACTGGTCAAGCCCAGAAGTCCTGCTGCCTTCCCCACGCCACAGTCCACAGTGTGCTCAGCCCAGTGCCAGGAGGTGACTTGATTCCCCGGCTGTTCACCCGCCACTTGCCTTGGTTCGAGCCACAACATTCCCCACAGAAGTGGGGGATGACACAGAACTATTCACAGATACCTGATGAGTGGAAGGTGCGCACATGGCACCCCACCATGGAGGGTGCACGAGAAACCCAGCTTGGAGCCAGCACACAGGTGCACAGCTGGAAGCGGCCACAGGCCTCTGCGGGGGCCAGAGCTGAGGGGGAACGAGTACCCCAAAGGGTAGGGATAGATCATCAAGAGCCATGAAACAGAACCTGCTGGCACCTGGGTTCTAAAACTGGCACTCTATTTTTTTTTTATTTTTTTTTTTTGAGACAGAGTCTCGCTCTGTCGCCCAGGCTGGAGTACAGTGGTGCAATCTTAGATCACTGCAACCTCCGCCTGCTGTGTTCAAGTGATTCTCCCGCCTCAGCCTCCCAAGTAGCTGGGATGACAGGCACCCGCCATCATGCCCGGCTAATTTTTGTATTTTTAGTAGAGATGGGGTTTCACCATGTTGGCCACACTGATCTTGAACTCCTGACTTCGTGATCCACCCACCTCAGCCTCCCAAAATGCTAGGATTACAGGCGTGAGTCACCGCACCTGGCTAAAGCTGGCACGCTAACCACAGCAGCCAGGGAGACCTTCCCCCAACACAGCCAAACTCTGTCATTTCCCCTAAGAACACCTGAGATGCTCGACTCCCTCCTCTGCTCCCAGAGTCCCAGAGACCATGACTGTCAGCCACGCACAGCCTGGCGGCTCCATCCAGGCATTTCCCAGCCTCCCCACTCTCTGTACTGGGCTCACCTCGAAGGCCCTTTCTCCGTGCGTGTCACCCCATCACCCACCCTAAGTGTCTTCTTGCCCCCCTCTGAAACCTTACGGAATGGCTGGCAGAACAGCAGAGCTGCAGGGGCCCCGCTGGGAGCATGGAGAGGCTGCATGGGGCTGTCCAGGGCCAGGCAACTGTTTTCCCCACTCTCTCAGGCCCTGGGAGCCTTCCGTATGGAATCCCTGGAACCTGATGGCACTGTCCTGCCACTCCTGCCCTCCCCTGCACCCAGCCCTGACTTCCCCCTCAGCACAGCAGGTCCTAGTTAGGGCCCATGGCCCATAGGCCTGCGTCTGAGGTGCCCTCCAGGCCCACCTTCTCCACCAGCCTCCCTCCCTTCTTGAGGGAGCTCTTGCGGAGGGGCCCTGCCTCAGTGGCACCAGCGGTGGTGGTGGGGACACTCCGGCCTGCCCGCTTCTCCTCCTGCCGCTCGGCCTCCCGGAGCTTGGCCTCGGCATTCACGCTCTCCATGTGATATGCCTGGTACGTCTTCTTGGCCTGCAGGGAGACCCAAAGCAAGGTGGTGCTGGTGAAGGCCACGGCTGGGCCAGCCCCCAGCCCTCTACCCCTGCCCCTCTGGAACTTGGACCTCAGAGCTGGGCGATCCCATGTGAGCACTTAGCCTAACGCCCTGTGCCTAGGGAGAGAGGCCTTTGCCCCTAGGTGCGTGCTTCTCCCTGAGCCTGGCTTGGGGTGATGTGATGGTCTGGCGGTGTTCCTCCCCCACTGTGAGTGGCATTTCTCCCTGGACCATTGGGGCAGGCCCCTCCCCAGCCCTTTCCTCACCGTCTGGAGCTCTGAGACCACCTCCAGGAGCTCATCCTGCAGCTGCTGCTCCAGATCCCTGCTCTAGAGGCAGAGGCAAGGGTGAGCACGGCACTGCCCAGAGCGGCCCCGCCAGGCACTGGAAGCTCTGCCCAGATCAAGCCCCATCGGGGGGGCACACAGGTTCGCTCTGCCTGCTCCCCACCTGGCCTCCAGTGCCCTCCCAGCCACAGTGCCTCCTGATCCCAAAGCCTCGAACACTTCCCGTGGCCCAGGATGAGAGCCTCACCTTCTTGACCAGGCGCCCCACGTCCTCTGCAATGTGACTCAGGCGCTGGGCCAGGGGCCCGGCCAGCACCTCACTCAGGGCCGCGCTCTCCCGGCTCTGCTGCCGCGTGTGCTGCAGCAGCACCGCCCAGCAGTGCAAGGGCGACAGGAGGGACGGCTCCTTCCTGGGGGTAGAGGGGCACTGAGACCTGGGAGCGGAGCTTGGGCCCTGCCGTGGCCCCCCTGCCAGCACATCACCTACCGGAAGCTTTGGTGCTCCCGGCTGCTCCCCAGGCGGCCTCCACGGCTGGAGAAGCGCTCGGCCAGCTTTTCCAGGCCCCGGGAGTATTCCAGCTCCACCTCAGCGCGGCGCCGCATGAACTCTGCCAGCTCCTGCAGCAACTCCCGCCGCAGCTCGCCCTGCAGCTCCAGGCAGCGCAGCTGCTCGCTCAGCTGCCAGCGCATCTCTGTGGGGGGAACCATGGCTCAGGCCTGGTCAGCACGCCCTGCCTGGGTCAGCCAGGCCAGCGTGGGATGGGAGAGGCAGAGGCACACAGACCCCAGTCCCGTCGGCTCTGAGGGCTCCTTCGGACCCAGCCTAGGCTGAGGGCAAGAGCTAAGAGGGGAGGAAAGAAGCTAGGCCCCTGCAGGCAGATCTGGCCTCAGCTGTCCAGCCGACCTCTGCGCTGAGGCCAACAGATGGCCAGAGCCACCCGGTTGAGGGGGAAGGGGAAGGGTGTCCCAGAGAGAGGGGAGAGCCGCCCCAGCGCCAGCCAGGCACCTTTCAGTTTGGCTTCCTGTCTCTCCCTCGTTCCTGGAAAGCCTCTGAATGGTTTCCCCTGCGACTTCCTTTCCCGCCGGTACCCAGGCTCCGGGAGGTGGCAGCCTCCCTTGCAAACACACGGATACACAACACACAGATCACAGTGCTGCTCAGGGCAAGCCTGCAGCGATCTCGCAGTCTCAGTGGCTGGGGAAGCCTGCCCTCAGGCCCCAGGGGAAAGGACAGTCCACAGTGAGGGCTGGGAGCCAGGGAGAGCTGATCCGGCCTTGTAAGTGAAAGAATGGGGCAGGGAGCTAGCCCCCGTCTTCTGACCCCACTTCCCACTCCCAATCACCCCCCGCCCCACCTGTGCATTCCCCCACCCTGCAGAGAGAGTCACACCCAGGGCCCCATACTGCCGGCCTTTTGACACCCTATCACTGGCTTGATTTGGCAACGCTGCTTCCCCCACACAGGCCTGAAGCAAAGAAGTGCCTGTCCAGCAAGTTTAAGCAACCTGCGGAAGACACTTTTGCCATCTCCTGAGTGCCCGTCCCGAGTAAATAAGATGCTAGCTCAGCTTCTGGCCAGCAGGCTGCCCACCTACTCATCTCCATCCACATCCCCAGGGAGGGACATGAATTGATGTCTTCATTCAGCAGAATGTTGATTATGCACCCATTCTGTGGCAGGCACGTTTTAAATACAAAGGCAAAGAGGTTTGACCAAGTGTCTGCCCTCTTGGAGCTGGGATTGGAATGGGGCACGAACACATATCAGAATGCCCAGGAGTGATGGGTGCGGAGAAGATGAACCCACAAAGCAAGATCAGAGCCAGGGGTGGGTGGGGACAGGGAGGACCTCTTTTTAAAGGAGGGTGGTCAAGAACAAGCCGCATCGTTGGAGCAGAAGGCTGGAGCTGGCTGTACGTGGGCAGTAGGGGGAGTCCGAGAGACCGGTAGGGACAGATGGCACAGAGCCCGGGGTCTGGGCAGAGCTCCCAGCTGGACTCCGAGTGAGAGAGGAGCCACAGTAGTGGGGTGATGTGGTCCAGCTTCGTTTTCAGGGCCCCCTCACACTGCCAGGTGGAGCCCAGGTGGCAGCTACTGTGCTAGTCCAGGCAAAAGACGGCAGGATTCAGACCAGCAGCAGCGAGGGAGGACTCCGCTGAGAAGAGCTCAATCCCATTGGATTTCTGTCCCGCCAGTGACTTCCCAGGGGCTGTTGCATGGGGACCCTGTGGGTTCCGCCTGCCCAGCATCCCTACCTCCTCCCCTGATCTCCTATTGGAGAATGTCCCCTTCCTAGTCTCAGCCCCCTTGACTCCAGGTGCCCCAGCCCTGGCTGCATGCGTCACCCATCCCTCTGTCCCTCCACTCCCTGCCCCCACCAGACTAGCCAGGTGAGGGACCCAGGAGCCTGACCCTTCCAATTGAATTACTGAACAGGAGAGCTCTTCCCACCGGCAGATCAAGCTGGGTAAGTGGAAGCCTGGGGCACGGGACCTCCCGACAGAGCAGGGCAGAGCCCACGATGCCAAGTGAGACAGATGGAGAGTGTCTTCATCCTATCCGAGGCTGGCCTCCTGTGGTTAACTCGTCAGCTCCAAGGCCAGGTGGGGTGGGCGCTAATGCCATTTGAAATCAGGAGAGTCCTCACTGAATCAGTTTAACGTTTTGTTTTGATTTTTTGTTTTGAGACGGAGGATGTTGCCCAGGCTGGAGTACAGTGGTGCGATCTCGGCTCACTGCAACCTCCGCCTCCCGGGTTCAAGCGATTCTCCCGCCTCAGCCTCCCGAGTAGCTGGGACTACAGGGGCGCACCACCACACCCAGCTAATTTTTGTATTTTTAGTAGAGACAGGGTTTCATCATGTTGGCCAGACTGGGTCTTGAACTCCTGACCTCAGGTGATCCGCCCGCCTCGGCCTCCCAAAGTGCTGGGATTACAGACGTGAGCCACCACGCCTGGCCCAGTTTAACATTTTTTGATAAAAGTAAATTTCATTTCATTCCAAGAAAGGTGTTAGACAACTGCTCGCCTCACTGGCCCTCTGGAGCCTGCCCTGCCCTGCTTCCCCCAGAGGAATACAATCCCTGGGGACTTATGACAACTGAACAGTGCAGAAGGAACCAGCAGAGGGAACCGCTGCCTTTCTTCATCACTGCCGGCAGCAAAAGCTGACTGGAAGCCATGTCCTAGTCCAGATCCGGGCATGCACACCGGCTGGTGTTGAGCAGGCAACTTGTGAATTGCAAGTCGATTGCATTGGTGGCTTTCCTGGCAGAGCTTTCGGATCTCAGTTCAGACAAACTCGTCAGCACACCCTGTCCTGACCTCCCCCTAAACTAGGGCTGGCCCTCTTCCGACCCCTTCTTGGCACCGTGCACTTTCCTTCCCTTTGTAGTGCTTATTATCATAATGCAAAGTCTATGTCTCCCCCACTAGACCCGTGAGCCATGTGAGGGCGGGGTGGCCACTGACGCCATTTGAAATCAGGGGAGTCCTCATTGAATCATTGCTTTTACTCTGGGTAAAAAGCCAGGGCTGGAGGGGCTGGAGTCGGGGTTCTCTCTGGTACAGCAGTATACTCCCAGGGCCTGGGACAGCACAGATGTATAGGAAACATCTGGCAAAAGGAGAGCTGGAATCCATGTCTGCCTGAATTACAGAGCTGGGCCCCGGGCCCCACCAGCACTTCCTGTGAGCAAGGCATTTGGTCTCACTTCTGCTGACAAGCAAAACAGAAGAAAAGATGGTCTCCAAAACCACCGCTATGCTGACCTTTGAGAATTTAGGGTGTCAAGACAGTGACCCCACTTTGTAGAATGGTAGGAAGCTTTTCCAGGGTGTGGGATGCAGACCCAGAGCAAGTGAGGAACCCTTAGACAGTCGTGCTCGAAACCCCAACTTTTCAGTGTGAAATCACTGACCCATATTTGCTGACTGAAGTTTTCCAAGTCTTTCAGCTTCATGGCATTTTGGGGAAGCAGGATGGAGATCATTACCTCCATCTGAGCAAGATGATGGCGAGGCTTGGAAAGCTGGCTCACCCTGTGTAGTCACCTCAAGCTGGCTCTGGACACAGGCTGCCTTTTCCAAAGGAGGACTGGAGCATACTTTGGTATAAATTGCTTGCACTGAATAATGATGTTAGAACCTACATCTCTGGGTTCAAAGGCACTTCAAGGGTCATTGCATTCTACGTCCTAGAAGTTGCAGTGCTGTATGACCACGGGCAAGTCACTGCACCTCTCTGAGCTTGTTTCCGTAATTGGTAAAATGGAGTGATTGAGAGTGATATGGACGAGCTGCTGGCACTGAGCTGCTGCCTCTTTCCTTTGCAAGAGTTACCATGCCCTGAATAAGATGGGCACAAGCTATTGGCTAAGAATTTGCAAAGCTGATTTGCATGTGATTTGCACATGGGTGTTTATCAGAACCCAGAGGTTCAATTTCAGAAGGCTGAGAAGCCAGCCCTGTTAAATCTCTCAACCAAGACTCACTGCGCCAGCTTGACCCAGAGACAGTGGCCCTCGCCTCTGCTCCCCCTCAGTGCTAAAGGGAGGCAAAAGGTGCTGAAGCTCCAGGGACTGCAGTGGGGTTACGGCCAGGTGATCTCCACCAATCCACTCACCCGGACTCCCTTACTCACCCCCCAGCCCAATCAAGCTGGTTGACTTCACTGTAGCTAAAATACTGCCTTCTGAGGGGCACGTTGGTGCATCTGGCTCTCTTTTACCAGCGGCCACCAGTGTCTCCACTGAACCTTGGGTGAGAAGCGGTAGACCCAAGGAGGACAGAGACCAAAGGAAGGAAGACAGGAAAGAAGGAAGGGAAAATGGCAGGCGGTTGAGGCCAAATGGGCGTCGGGAGGCAGGCAAGGGGCTCAGGCTCCCTCCTCCACCCCCGCTCCAGAGGTCGCTGGGGAGAGCATCGGGCCCTGGGCCAGCGCGGGGACGCTTGGAGCTCCCTCACGACCTTGGGTTCTCCGCAGGAAACGGGCCGGGAGCGCCCGGCGCCCTCTCACCTTTGACTTGCGTCTCATACTCAGCCTGCAGCCCCCGCTCCCGCCGCAGCTTCCCGTGAGCGGCCATGGCGGCCTCGCGGCCGCGCCGTCGAACCCCACTGCTCCCACGCGGCCGTGAGCGGGCCCGGCGCCGGGACTTGGGGGCGCTGCGGCCAGCACCCTGCGCGGGCTCCGCCCAGCCCCGCCCCCAGCGCGGCTCCCGGTGGGGCGGGGCGGCCCAGGGCTGGCACTGCCCGCGAGGGGCTCCTGGGGGGGCAGGGCGCCCCTTCCAGCCCCACTGTGCCCCGGCCTTGCCGTCCCCTCCCATTGGGCCTGCACCTAGGCTGCCTTGTGCCCAAAGCCCCGCTGCCAAGCAGCCGGAGCAGGTGTGAGAGCCCCAACGTAAGCTGGCATCCCAGGCTGCCATCCCACCACCTCCAGAAGGCTGTCCCTGGTCACCACTGCCAGACTGTACCATTCACAGCGGGGCCGCTGGCCCACTGTACCAGTGGCCATGAACACCATTGCTGCCCCAGGCTCTGGACTCCCCCTGGGTTGCCTCCTTCCCCCAGACATCCGATGGGGTCCTCCCTTCCCAAGTCAGCCCCCAGAGAGGCCCAGGGAGCCCCAGGGAGCCTTGAGAGCTGGGGTGGGAAGTTCAGAGGGGAGGGGGAAGGAAGGTCAGCACCAGAGAGCAGAACCTCAGCAGCTGGCTGCCGTTCCCTCCAGGCCCCCTTGGTAGGGGAGGAGAGTTCAGCTCCGGTTCCCCTTCTGCTCAGCCCCACAATTTCCCCATAGGCGGTTACCACTTCCTGCTGCCGGAAGAGACTGCTCTGCCTCCCTTCCCCTGCAGCTGCACCTGCCCGTCATAGGCCTGAGGGGGGCAGCCCCCTCGGAGTGAGGTCTTAGCTACCCTGGGGGCAAGTCTTGGGGCCCCCCTCATCCAGGGGTGGTGGGGCTTTCCTCCACCCTCTACCACAGGGCAGCAGCTTTTCTCCGGGAAATCGGGAAGGCGGGAGGCGGGAGGCGGTTGACAAGCCAAGCAGACAACTGGCTTCAATTTGGTGGGAGGGAAATCCCTGGGGTATAGATGTGGGGAGAGAGGCAAGGCACTTGGGCACCAGGCGTGTGTTCCGAAGGCGGGCGTGGGGGCACTAGTGCAGGGGTACTAGGCGTGTGTGTGCACGGATGTCAGAGTCAGGCTCTGTGCAAATGCGGGCACACATGACCTTGACCTGCAGATCTGGGGAGGGGAGGCTGTGCGGGTACTTCCTGCCTTTCAACTGTGAGCAATTAATTCTCTTGCCCAGAAGGAAAAAAACACTCCCTCAGCTCCCCGCCCCCTTCTCCCAGTACCAAGGCCCTTCTCGAACACGTCGTCGTGTGTGTCTGCAGGACCTGGGGCTTCAAGGCCTGGGAGCTAGCCAGACCCAGGACCTGGACTTCCAGCAGCTGGTCTCGGAAGTACCGATGTTCGAGTCCTCCAGCGAGACTAGAGAGCCTGCGCCCCTGCCCACAGCGCGTACAGCCGCACCCACACTCCAACCTGCTCCTGGTCGGGAGACTCACACGTCCCACCGCTGCCTCAGGCCAAGGGGAACCAGGGAGCCCCGCCTCTCACTAGCTGGCCCCAACACATCTTGCCCCTCCATCCGAGCCCTGACTGGTCCCCAAAGGTCCCTCCACCCAGCAGAGCCAGCCACAGGGCTCAGGCAGGCAGGAAAGGCCTCAGCCGGTGCCTTCAAACGCTCTCTTCACTCCTTTTTTCACTCCAGAGCTATTCCTAGGATGCCCCATTCAGCCCGTACTTTAGGGCCTGAGTGTTGGGCCCTGGCTTTTAGGGCACTTGTTTGGCATTTAAGGCCCTGAACGCAACTGCCCCCTGCTGCTCCGTCTATCCTTCGCTCCATTGTTCCCCTTCAAAGCATCCAAAAGCCAGGCAGCCCGCAGAAGGCGCGGACCTGCCCGCATGGGGACGGAGGCTCAGCGGCCGACAGGCATCGGGCCCGCCGGGGACGGACGGCAGAGGGCGGGCCGGGTCCCATGGGCCTGGCCGGGGCGGAAGGAGGGCGCCGCGGGCGCCGTGGGAGCCTGGGACACCTCCCTTCCACCGGTGCCGGGGCGCGGCCGACGCAGTGCGCAAGCCCGCCCTTCCCCCGCACCCTGCGCGCGAGCCCAGTGCCGCCGGACCAATCAGAGCCTGGGAACGAACCTCGCCGCGGGCTTGCGAACCGGAAGACACTGCCGCCAGGCGCGGGGCGGGACAGGACTCCGCCTCCGGCCCATACAAAGGGAAGCCCACGTCTTAAGCCAATCAACACAGCCTCGCCCGAGCCGGGAAGCGGAGAGCTGTGGGCGTGCGCAGACGCGCCTTTCCGGCCCCGGCCCCGCCCTGCCGCGCTCTGGGCTCCGCTTCCACAGCTGCCGGCTGCCTGCTGGTCACGTGCGAGGCGCCAGCCAAAGAGAACCGAGCTCCAGGCCTGTGTGGCGAGTTTTCAACCCGGCGGAGGAGCAGTGTGCCACCTGCAGTAGCAGGACACAGAGAGGGCTCAGGAATACAGGGCCCGCCCAGGGACTAGGGACAGTAAATGATGGCTTTGCAGCCGGAGGGGAGGGAAGGGAAAGGAGGAAAGACACAGAAACGAGCGTTACGGTTAGGGTGACTCCATGAAAAACAGGATTTTGATATATATGTGTATATGTATATATATATGTATATATATATTTTTTTTTTTTGAGACGGGTCTCTGTCCCTGGAGTGTGGTGGCATGATCAGGGCCCACAGCAACCTCCACCTCCCGGGCTCAAGCGATCCTCCTGCTTCAGCCTCCCGAGTAGCTGGGATTACAGGCATGCACCACCACACCCGGGTAAGTTTTCTATTTTTAGTAAAGATGGGGTTTCGCCATGCTGCCCAGGCTGGTCTCCAACTCCTGAGCTCAAGTGATCCCGCCCACCTTGGCCTCCCAAAGTGCTGTGATTACAGGCATGAGCCACCGCACCCAACAGCCGCCCAGTTTTGTATTTTGCATGAAATTGTTAATGAGGGAATACATGGCTTTATGCATTTGTGTAACCCCATAGAAACTGTACAACACAGACAGGAAACCTACTGTAAACCATGGGCTGTAGTTTACAATAACTTATCAGTATTGGCGCATCAACAATAACAAATACACCAACTAATACAAAATGTCAATGGGGAAACGCGGGGAATTGTACTAAAAATAAATTATTTTCAAATGCAAACTCAGGTTAGGGAGTAGACTCAAGAGGTATCATGGACTCACTGACCATTAGGGTGGCAGGGGAGGGAGGACTCAAGGACTGTTGATGGGGCATCTGGCTGGGTCATTACTCAGACAGGACATTTGTAGATAAGCCCAATGAGCAGTTGGATGTCCACATCTGGAGCCCACGGGTATGCTGGGGAGCTGCTGTAGCCCGAAGCAGGTGTGATTAGGGAGAGAAAGTCTGAAGGTGAAGGTGGGAAGAGAACTGAAGGCCACCAAGAGTGGGAGCCCTGCTGTTGAGCTTTGAGCCTGAGCAGCCCCGGCTTGTGCCACAAAACACATTCAGCGTGGCCAAGCAGACCTCCAAGGCAGGGTCTCTCCCATAAGTCCAGGGCCTCCTTCCCCGGGGCCACAGCTGCTGAAGGTCATGAGACTAGGGAGTCCCACCTCCAAAGCTCTTTCCTTGTACTCGGGCCTGGCAGGATGCTCTGGGTCAAAAGGCCAAGGCTCACATCCCCACCAGAGGACCTGGAGAAACACACCCTCTAAATGTGCGCGCGCTCACACACAAAGTTCCCCAGTGCCACGGAGCGAATTTATTGTGAAAGCTCGTGGGGTGAGGAGGGGATGGGGCAGGCTCTAGGAGGCTGAGTCGGAGGCCTCTGAGCTGTCCTTGACATCTGTGCTCTCTGTGGTCTCGCTGACCTCGCTGAGGTCCTTGCTGTCCCCACCACTATCCTCGGCAGCCAGGCCCTTCTCCTCGCGACAGGCCTCTCCTGAGCTCGGAGGTGAATTGCCTTTGCTCTCCACCTTGTTCTCGATGGCACCCAGCACCACGTGCCTGCCCTTCTCTTTCAGCTCCAGGTGCCGCCTCAGCTGCCACCAGGAACCCAGGGAGAAGCGGGGGCAAAGAGACAGGGCCTAAGTTTCCAGACAAAGGGAGCCTGGCCCTGTCGCTGGCTGAGGAGAGGGGCATAGTGAGGCAGCAGGGCTAGGCAGGACACGCGGGACTGAGTGGGGACACCTGGCTGGAGCCCCAGTCCACCGCTACCTGGGCTTACCGACTACCATGGAGGCCCCCACGACAGAGCGCTGCCCCTTGACCAGCCCTGCCACCCGATGAGCCTTGGGCAGAACCCTGACTCAGAACTACCTTTGAGCAGGCAGGCCACCCACTGGTCCCTAGACCTCCCCACTTCCCTTCTAAAAGCCTCCTCCCTCTGCCTCTCCCATCACCCTCCAGGCTGCTAGGCAGATGGCCTCCTCTAAAGCCCAGCCTAGGAAACTGAGGTCGTGACTCCTGGCAACGTAGCCACAAGAGCTGGCATCCAAAGTCGGTCTCGCCTGCAGCCACTGTCTTGGGGCTCCTGAGTGCCGCCCCCGCTCGCCTTGCTTGGCTTCATGCAGGCGCTTACCTCGTCGGCCATCTGAGTGAGGTCCCGCTTCATGGCATAGGCGTCCTCCCCATCTGCATAGTATTTGGGCTCCACTTCACTGATCCTGGGGGCAGAGGGTTAGAGAGCAAGGAGGAAGACCTGTATCCCGGGGACACCCTCCTCCACTCCTGGTATCGTGGCTACTGGAGCAAGGTGCCATGTTTTCTCCCTGAAGGCTCCATCCTGAGACAACAAGTCCAGTGTGACCTGCCCTCTGTTCTCTCCAGCAAAGGCTCCAGGACACAGCGGCCCGCCCCACCCGTCCTGCCCCCGTTCTGTGTCCTTAGCCTGGATACTAAGGATCCATTTCTGCGGTTTCTTGTGAGCTGAAGCCCTGAATTCAGCCTTCCCCTTCCCTCCCTGCCCTGCGCCCTGTCCCTTACTGAGCTGCCTCACAACAGCCATCAGAACCCAGGAAAGACGGTGAGCCCTGCCTGAGCAGCTCTGGGGCCGTGACTACACTGGGCAGGTGTGTGTGCAGACTCGCGTGGCCATGTCCCTGGAAGGGGAGCTGGACTCAATGGCCTAGGCTGGCCCTGCCAGGCCTAAGACATGAGGATTGCTGACTTAGCTATAAAGCAATTCCCACCAGACATCGTCATCTGGGTCACAGATCCCTCTTGCCAGCATCCAGCCCAGAGGCCACCGCCCTTCCCAACAGTCCCTCTTCTTCATCCCCTACCAAACGGGCTGAGTGCAGTTAGTGTCCCTCCACAGGCAGCCCACCCCAGCTTCACTTGCAAGCACTTTTTTCCACTGTCTACTGGGCATGCCAACTGCCAGGTTCTCTCTAGTGTGCTAGGCACACGGGGCCTCCTGGTCCTCAGGCAGACCTCCCCCATCCACTAGGCTGCCTGGCCACTGGCCCTTCCTTCCTGAATGTGCATTCTCCTCGATTCTGCTCTCTCTTGGATTCTTCTAGGTGCTTGGTCATGCTTGAGTCCTGCTCCTCAGCATCTGCTCACGCCAGGGACCCACACCTCTCTATTCCCAAACATTACTAAACAGCCCGTGTGCCCTTCGCCAGCCTCAGCCATCATGGGCCAGAGCTCCTCCATCACAACACATGGAGCACGTTTCAGCAGGCAGGTGCTGTCTCCATGCCGGCTTTTCAACCATCAGCCGCCGAGTGAATGTGGAGGTATCCTGGCAGTGCTGGGGTCCACAGCCTCTTCCCCACAGCCGGCCCACCCCCGACCTGGAAGGCAACTCAGCCGGTCTCAGGTGCCCTGATGGGCCAGACCTGGGATCAACCCCAGCCCATTAGAAAAATCGAGATCTACTTACTGAAAGTTGAGGGTGTTGGAATAGAGGTGCAGGGCGGCCCGGTTACTGCAGGGGAACAAGGCACTGCTGAGCTGCACGGATTTGGCCAGGGAGGGGTAGCACGTCCAGGTCTTGCCCCTCCTCCTGGTCCCTCCTTCCCCCCAATCCCACTTCCTGGATCTTCACCAAAAGCTGAGGTACCCCAGGACCCCCGTCAAGGCAGTATCTCTCCCCCTCAATCCCCCTTCCCTCAGCCCGGCTTCCACCTCTTCCTGACATGCAGGGAGACATATTTGGCATTGAAGTTCTCTATCATGGCTCGAGAGGCCTGGTCCATCAGTTTCTGAGCCAGACCGAGGCGCCGGTGGGAACGCTTCACAGCCTGGTGGGAGAAGAGCAGAGATGGGGTGAGGGACTGGGACCTTGAGGGCTGCCCCAACTAACCCCCACTTCCACCCCCACCAGAGAGCCTGGGTGGACCTTACATACCAATGAGGTGATATGTCCATGGGGCACATCATCTGGGTCCTCTTCCCTGGAGAGGGAGAAAGGAGAGGCTGCAAAGGAGCTCAGTGTAGGCACAGCCACCTCCAGCCCCCCTGCCATTTGTAGAGTGGACATGCACTACAGCCCCCTAAGACCCCAGCTGGGGGAGAGCCGGGAGCCTCTTGGATCAGAGCAGCCGATCCTGCCACCCTCTGCTGCCTGAAAACCCCAAGCCTGCCGGGTGTGGGGCACACGCCTATAGTTCCAGCTACTTGGCAGGCCGGGGCAAGAGGACTGCTTGAGCCCAGGAGTTCGAGACCAGCCTGGACAACACTTTTTTTTGTCTCTACAAAAAAAAAATCAAAAAATTAGCTGGATGTGGTGGCGCATGCCTGTGGTCCCAGCTACTTGGGAGGCAGACATGAGAGGATCACTTGAGCCTGGGAGGTTGAGGCTGCAGTGAGCCATGATCATGCCACTGCACTCCAGCCTGGGCAACAGAGCGAGACCCTGTCTCAAAAAATAAAAAAAGAAATGAGCTGTCAACCCACGCAAAGACAAGGCAGAAGCTTAAATGTGTATTACTAAGTGAAAAAAAGCCAGCCTGAAAAAGCTGTATATAGTATGATTCCAACTCTGTGACATCCTGGAAAAGGCAAAACCATGCAAACAGTAAAAAATCAGTGGTTGCCACGGGTTAAGGAGAGGGAGGGATGAATGCGTGGAACACAGTGAAACTATCCTGCGATAATATGAAGGTGGACACATGTCATTTGGTCAAAACCATGGGGCTTACAACACAAAGAGAAGTGCAGTAATGTAAACTATGGGTTTAGTTAATAATAATATATCGGCCAGGCGCAGTGGCTCACGCCTGTAATCCTAGCACTTTGGGAGACAGAGGTGGGTGGAAACACCTGAGGTCAGGAATTCGAGACCAGCCTGGCCAACGTAGTGAAACCCCATTGCTACTGAAATATACAAAAATTAGCCAGGTGTGGTGGCATGTGCCTGTAATCCCAGCTACTAAGGAGGCTGAGGCAGGAGAATCGCTTGAACCCAGGGGGTGGAGGTTGCAGTGAGCCAAGATCACGCGACTGCACTCCAGCCTGGGCGACAGGGCAAGACTCCGTCTCAAATAATAATAGTAATAATAATAATAGTAACATATCACATTCATTTATCACTTGTCACAAGTGGACCACACAAATCCAACATGCTACTAACAGAGGAAGCTGGCAGGGAGGGGATGCTGAGGGGTGCTATAAGAACTCCATGTCCTTTCTGTTCAATTTTTCTATAAACTTTCAACTGTACTGAAAAGAAGAAGCCTATTCATTTTTTTTAAAGCCCACAGAGGCATCCACCAGACACGTGTAGCTTCTGTCTTCCTCCTTGGTGACTCACATTTTGGCCAGGACATACCCCACAATCTTCCCATTCTCGTCCTCAGCAATGTAAGAGAGCTGGTGACAGGAAAACAGAGTGAGAAAACTTCTTGTCGGAGCTAGAAGAGCCCTTTAGAGGGACACAAACTGGACGAGTGGCGAGTTGTGTGATGGCTCATGACCTCCGGGCTGAGTGGCTTGGTCTCCCCCTCGCCACACTGTGCCCTGCCCATACCCAGAAAGAAGACGCAAAGTGGGGATCCTGCCCCTATTCTCTGCTCCCTTCGGGCGCCTTCTTTTCCTTTGCCCCTGTCTGCCAGCTGAAAACACCCAGGACGCCACCGACCATACAGCCCCCTGGGCTCTGACAGACTTGTCCACTCCCTCCAAGATGGCCAGATGGGATTTTCCTCGGCCTGCTTTCCCCCATGCCCAAATTCAGAAGCTGCCCACCTGGGGCCAGGAAAGGCCATGGTAGAAGTAGTATTTCATCTGGTAGTTCTCGGGCAGGCAGAGGAGGTTGCAGTGCTGCATGTTCATTAGGTCCTCTGGCTGCAGGGAAGGAGGGCAGTGGAACGCGCTCAGTCTAAGGCGGCGGTGACCACGGGTGAGAAGCCTGCTCCCCGTCGGTCTGCTCGGCCCCGCTCCCTCGGGGCTGGGCAGGCACTGTGACGATCTGACTTTGCACAACGCCCGGAGCACAGGAACAGGAGTGGGCGCCCCGGAGGTCCCCGGAGCCCACCCAACGGAGGCCCGACATCACGCAAACAGGAGGGAATCGCAGCCCCGGCCCCGCGCCCCGGCCTCTTCGGCGGGCTGGGCCAGCCCCATAGGTCCAGCGGCCGCAGGCACACTCAGGGCCACCGGGCCGGGCTCGGCCGGGGCCCTCGGGAGCATGCGCGGCAGCCACCCGGCCCGGCGCCCACGCGGCGCGGACAGCCTCCCGCCCCGGGCGCTCACCCTCGCATTGCGGATGTTCATAACGGCGGCGGGGCTCGCGGGTCCCAGCGGATCGTGAAGGCGCAGTCAGCTGCCGCCGCGCTCCGAAGCGACGCCGGGACGGCCGGGGCTGGGACCGGAGCTGGGCTCGCTGGGCGACGGCGGAAGGGGCGGTGCGCGCCGGGCCGGCCACCGGCCGGAAGTGCACGGCCGCCGGGCCCGTCCTCCCGGCCGCTTGGCCAATGCGCGGGACAGGCCAGCGCACGGGGCGGGCCAATGCGCGGAGCCGGTCAGCGCGGGGCGGGCCTGGGGGCGGGGCGGGCGCTGCCCCGGAGCTGGAGCCGGCCCCTCCCTCGGCGCGACAGCCCCCCTCCCGCGAGCCCACAGACGCGCGCACAGCCGCAGGTGGAGCGGACTCAGCCTTTATTCCGCGCCTCGGCAGGCGGGGGTGGGGGCGGGGGAGGGGGCGGGGGCGGGGCGGCTCAGCAGGGCGCCCAGCATCTCCTCGCACATGGCTAGGCACCGCGGCACGTGGAAGCAGCCTGCGGGTAGAGGCGGGCAGGTAGTGAGGGCCGGGGGCAGCCGAGAGGCGCAACCCCTGCGGCCCCGCCCTCTCCCCCACTCACCTTTGAAAGGACCTCCCTTGATGGAGAGGGCCACCTTGCCCTCTCGGCTCAGGTAGCCAAACCATTCCCCGTACTCGGGATCGCGAAACTGGAATAACAGAGACAGTGACAGCTAGCGCCTGCAGGACCCGCCCAGATGCCACTGCATCGCTACCAGGGGTCAGAGCCTGGGTTGACCCCAGGTGACGTGGCTCCAGAACCAGCGATCTTAACCGCGACACTGCGTCCTCCACAAAGATGAAAGCAGGGGTGGGCGCAGCAGGCAGGCTACAACTATATAACCGACTGGGCAAGGGGATGAGACACTGCTAGATGGAATGAAAGAACTCTGCCCTGGGGTGTAGAAACGTTGTCTATCGGGCCGGGAGCTGTGGCTTGCGCCTGTAATCCCAGCACTTTCGGAGGCCGAGGCGGGCGGATCACCTGAGGTCAGGAGTTCAAGATCAGCCTGGACAACATGGTGAAACCTCATCTCTACTAAAAATACAAAATTAGCCGGACGTGGTGGCACGCACTTGTAATCCCAGCAGTATACTCGGGAGGCTGAGGCGGGAGAATAGCTTGAACACAGGAGGCGGAGGTTGCAGTGAGCTGAGATCACGCCATTGCGCTCCAGCCTGGGTGACAGAGCGAGACTCCATCTCAAACAAACAAACAAACGAACAAACAAACAAACAAAAAAGTTCTCTATTGTGATTGTAGTCGTGGTTACGTTGATTCAAAGAAACAAAGAACCCGGCCGGGTGCAAAGGCTCACACCTGTAATCCCAGCACTTTGGGAGGCCGAGGCGGGCGGATCACAAGGTCAGGAGATCGAGACCATCCTGGCTAACACAGTGAAATCCCGTCTCTACTAAAATACAAAAAATTAGCCGGGAGTGGTGGCGGGCACCTGTAGTCCCAGCTACTCGGGAGGCTGAGGCAGGAGAATGGCGTGAACCCGGGAGGCGGAGCTTGCAGTGAGCCAAGATCGCGCCACTGCACTCCAGCCTGGGCAACAGAGCCAGACTCCGTCTCAAAAAAAAAAAAAAAAAAAGGAAAAGAAAAGAAACAAAGAACCCTGATGGAGGCGACGACCTGTCATGAAACTCTTAAGAAGTGACTCCCTTGGAGCTCCCATTCCCGGCTTCACAGGCCTGTCTTCCAGTAGATGCACAATCTCATCTGACTCCTGTCCTGGCTCACCATTGGTCCCAAACTCATCTCCTCCTCCCTCTGCCCCTGCCCAGTGCCCATTCCACTCTCTTTCCTTCTCTCTCCACTAGCATTCCATGGGGCACCTGTCTCAGGGAGGCTTGTCAGTTCAGCCCCTTCTCAAAAGGATCATGGACTCAATTACATTGAAGTCCACTATGAAAATGTCTCTTTAAATGGTGGCCCATAAGAGTTGGTGTATTCTTCTTTGTAGGAAGTAAAACTAGTCCTGGGCTGGGCACAGTGGCTCACGCCTATAATCCCAGCACTTTGAGAGGCCGAGGCGGGAGGATCACTTGAGGCCAGGAGTTTAAGACCAGGCTGGGAAACATAGTGAGACCCCATCTATACAAAAAAAAAATTAAAGAATTAGCTGGGCGTGATGGCACACAGCTGTAGTCCCAGCTACCTGGGTGGCTGAGGTGGAAGGATCGCTTGAGCCCAGGAGGTTGAGGCTGCACTGAGCCATGATTGTGCCACTGCACTCAGCCTGGGCGATAGAGACCCTGTCTCAAAAATAAATAAATAAATAAATAAATAAATAAATAAATAAATAAATAAAAACTAGTTCTGTGTGTATTCATTCTGTCTTTTGAGTTACATTGTTCAAGTCCTTACTTATTTTTTGACTGCTTGACATGACACAGGAAGGTAAAGAAGAATTTCCTTCAATGTCTGGATTTTTGCCTTCTGTATTCTGTTATGTTGGTTGATGCATAATGACTTACCTGTTTTTTTGTTTGTTGGTTAGTTTTTTGGTTTTTGTTTTTTTAAGACGGAGTTTCGCTCTTGTCACCCAGACTGGATGGAGTGCAGTGGCGTGATCCCAGCTCACTGCAACCTTCACCTCCCAGGTTCCAGTGATTCTCCTGCTTCAGCCTCCTGAGTAGCTGGGATTACAGGCACCCGCCACCAAGCCCGGCTAATTTATTTATTTATTTTTTTTATTTTTTATTTTTTTTAATGGAGTTTTGCTCCTGTTGCCCAGGCTGGAGTGCTTCCCGGGTTCAAGTGATTCTCCTGCCTCAGTCTCCCCAGTAGTTGGGATTACAGGCACCCGCCACCACACCCGGCTAATTTTTTGTATTTTTAATAGAGATGGGGGTTTCACCATGTCAGCCAGGCTGTTCTCGAACTCCTGACCTCAAGTGATCCACCTGCCTCGGCCTTTCAAAGTGCTGGAATGGCAGGCGTGAGCCACCGCGACCAGCCCAATTTTTGTATTTTTAGTAGAGACGGGGTTTCGCCATGTTGACCAGGCTGGTCCAGAACTCCTGACCTCAGGTGATCCACCCGCCTCAGTCTCCCAAAGTGCTGAGATTACAGGCATGAGCCACCATGCCCAGCCGATTTACCTGTTGATTATAACTTTTGTAATTGTTTAATGTCATCTATATCTTATTAAAATGTATTCCTTCAATTTCATTTTTGAGTTAGAACTGGTGGCCCCTAACACACACTCTATGAATGCATTAAATATTAAGATATAGCTGCAGGTCTAACAACCCTGCTGCTTTGGAAGTAGTGACGAATATATGTGATACTTGCAGATGTCTCTCTAACTGCAATGCAATGTAAACACATCTGGATTTCTATCGGTGACAAAGCCAGGCACTTCTATTACCAATGTGGTTCATTGCCTCCACTCATAATGGCAGCAAATGCTAGTTTCAGTTAGAGGTTAGTACAAATAAAGATGTGATTCTCCGCCCCCGGTTTCGAAGCTCACAGACCCCAGAATAAGATCCCCTGCTATAGTCCTCGCAGTACCAGGGTTCACCAGTGGAGTCGGAGTCGTGGCTTTAGAAACGCATGATGAATCTTCATTCATTCACCACCCAGGCCTTGCCACCACTGGGTGCCATGCCCTTTCCACTGGGTGCCATGCCCTTTCCACTGGGTGCCATGCCCTTTCCTGTGTTCAGCAGCTCGAGTTGCCTCCTGGGCAGCAGTCAAGACAGCTTATCACTCTGCTCCTAGCACTTGGGCTTCAGGGAGCCCCTGGCTTGGTTTTCTTCCTGCGTCACCACTGATTCTTGTCTCCTTTGCTGGGCCCCCATTTCCCTTTTTGCCTCATAGATCTCAGCAGCATCTGTACTGTTTTTTTTTTTTTGTTTTTTTTTTTTTTGAGACCAAGTCTTGCTCTTGTCCCCCAGGCTGGAGTGCAATGGTGCGATCTCGGCTCACTGCAACCTCTGCCTCCTGGGTTCAAGCGATTCTCCTGCCTCTGCCTCCCAAGTAGCTGGGATTACAGGCACCCACCACCACGCTTGGCTAATTTTTGTATTTTTAGTAGAGATGGGGTTTCACCATGTTGGCCAGGCTGGTCTTGAACTCCTGACCTCAGGTGATCCACCTGCCTCAGTCTCCCAAAGTGCTGGGATTACAGGCGTGAGCCACCGTGCCCGGCCTTTTTTTTTTGAGACATAGTCTCGCTCTGTTGCCCAGCCCAGGCTGGAGTGCAGTGGTGTGATCATAACTCATTGCAGCCTCAAACTGGGCTTAAGCAGTCCTCCTGCCTCAGCCTCCTGAGTAGCTAGGACTACAGGTGTGCATGACACCCAGCTAATTTTTTAAAATTTTTTGTAGAGACCAGGTCTCGTTATGTTGCCCAGACTGGTTTTGAAGTCCTCGGTTCAAGCGATCCTCCCGTCTCAGCCTGCCAAAGTGCTAGGATTATAGACATGAGCCACTGTGCCAGGCAGCATCTACATTCTTGTGATACTGAAAACATTCATGGTGAGTCCAGATCTCTCCGTCTGAACTGGAGACTCAGGAATCCCACTGCTGCTCCACCAGACTGTGAACCCTCTGTCCCCACCAGCTCCCACCTGGGCCAGCCCTCACTGGCTGGGATGACAGCTACAGCTTCCTCTGCTGTCCCAGCTTCTGCCCTGTTCCCTACAGACTTCCCCCATAACACCCTCCCCTCCAAGCCCCAGGACCCAGGTAACAATGGAATCAGACCAGGCAGCTGGAGTCCGTCCCTTGCCCACTCTGCCTTTATCCTCCCGGGCTGCCAGGCCCCCCTGCTGTGCCACATGCCCCACCCTGCCCAGACTCCCAGTCCCTCAGACACACCCCTGATTGACTCGGCCCCTGCTCAGTGCTTCCCTGCTGCCACCCCATAGGAAAGAGCCCCCCCACAACCCTCTCCAGTGGTATTATTCCCACAGCTGTCACTCTCACCACCACCTAGGTCTGCTTGCTTACACTCTGCTCCTCCCGCCCCCACCACCAAAATTCGAGCTCTAGGAGGGCAGAGGCTTCTTCGTTGACTGAACGAACAGCACTGGGGCTCCGGAAACTCTCAGACCAGCTGAGCGACTGTGCTCAGCGAGGGGGCAAGAGCGCAGCCGGGCCAGACTCCCCCCATTCCCCCATTCAGCCTCTAGAGGGGACAAGGAGGCAGCTCTCACCTGGCGGAAGGTGTACTCAGCCACTTGGTAGAAGAGGCGCAGCAGCACAGGGTCCCCACTGTCACTGTAACCCATGAGGAAGGCAATCATGGCTTCACTGTGTGGCCACCAGAGCTTCATGGCCCACTCCAGCTGAGGGGAGAGCAGGGGCAGGCATCTCAGCAGGAAACTCCCCTCCGCAACTTTCCAGACCTGGCTGCGTCTCCATTGGCCCAAGCTACTGGAGGTGAATTGCGGGACATCTTTGGAAGTTCTGAAGGACCCCTCCCAGTGATATCAGCTTCCTGACCTGTAGATTCTTGAATAGACACCAGGGCCCCAGACGAATGGCATATATGTCTGAGCATCAGCGTTTCGCCAGCTCCCTGGTGGCCTCCATATGACATGGTGTCAGAGGTGTGTAAACCAGAGCAACTCCATCTTAAACAGGAGCTGGGTCAAATGAGGCTGAGACCTACTGGGCTGCATTCCCAGACGGCTGAGGCATTCTAAGTCGCAGGATGAGATATGAGGTCGGCACAAAATACAGGTCATAAAGACCTTGCTGATAAAACAGGTTGCAGTAAAGGAGCCGGCCAAAACCCACCAAAACCAAGGTGGCGACAACAGTGACCTCTGCTCGTCCTCACTTCCAACAGTTTACAAATGCCATGGCAACGTCAGGAAGTTACCCTATATGGTCTAAAAAGGGGAGGCATGAATAATCCACCCCTTGTTTAGCATATCATCAAGAAATAAGCATAAAAATGGGCAACCAGCCGGGTGCGGTGGCTCACGCCTATAATCCCAGCACTTTGGGAGGCTGAGGCGGGCGGATCACCTGAGGTCGGGAGTTCGAGACCAGCCTGACCAACATGGAGAAACCCCGTCTCTACTAAAAATACAAAATTAGCCAGGCATGGTGGCCCATGCCTGTAATCCTAGCTACTCGGGAGGCTAGGGCAGGAGAATCGCTTGAACCCGGGAAGCAGAGGTTGTGGTGAGCCGAGATGGCGCCATTGCACTCCAGCCTGGGCAGCAAGAGCAAAACTCCACCTCAAAAAAAAAAAAAAAAAAAAAAAAAAAGGCAACCAGCAGCCCTCAGGGCTGCTCTGCCTATGGAGTAACCATTCTTTTATTCCTTTACTTTCTTAATAAACTTGCTTTCACTTTGCATTGCGGACTCGCCCTGAATTCTTTCTTGGGCAAGATCCAAGAACCCTCCCTCTTCTGGGGTCTGGATCACGACCCCTTTCCTGTAACACTGGCACAGAAGCTGAGAGCAGGCCTCTAGGTTCCAATCCAGCCCCAGGTTACCCTCTAGAGAAGCAACCACCTCCCTGGGCAGAAAGCCTTAGAACAGCGTGGGTCACACATGGCCCTGGGCGCTCTCCCACCTGGGTGGGGCAGAAGTTATCAGCATCCTGGAAGTAAAAGAGGCCTCCGTGGTCAGGGTCCCATCCGGAGTGGAAGGGCAACAATAGGAACTTGTCAATCACGTGGGCTCGAAGTTCGGGGTCGCCTTTCCGAATGCAATGACGGAGCAGAAACCAGCCGGCTTCCAGCGTGTGGCCTGGTGAGGGGTGGAGTACGGAAGGGCGGGGGGCGGGGGGTGGGGTTGAGGGAGGGAACAGAGGGAGCAAAAGCCCCTGGCACCTCTCTGCTCCCTCCCTAACAATGAGCGAGGCTCTGAGCTCCCTGGCCCTGGAAGCCTGCTCCTCTGCAGAAACCCCCAGCCTTGGGAAGCCCATCCTCGCTCCTCTGCCTCCTCAAGGCGCCCCCGCCAGGCACTCCCATATCTGAAGCCCAGAACACAAGGCTCAGCGCTCCCCTCCTCCTGGGTGGCCCCCAGCCCACCCCGCCCCTCACCTGGGTTCTGCTGTCTCCCCAGGCAGCCAGGAAGTTCCTTGCCACCCTCTGACACATTCTCCAGCACAGCTTGTCCATCCCTCTACCGGGAAGGAGCAGAAGGGAATGTTGCCTCCAGCCCTTTCACCCACCCAGCCACCCAACTAGAAAGACCCAGCTCCGGAAAGCCCTTCCTCCCTCCCTCTTACCCAAGCCCCTGGACCTGCTGGCTTGGGTGGGCCAGGCTCAGAGGGGCATTTAAGGAGGGGCTGATTCACTCCCTTGGGCCTAGCAAGTTGTTGTTTTTTTTTTTTTTTTTTTTTTTTAGACAGAGTCTTGCTCTGTCACCCAGGCTAAAGTGCAGTGGCCGCAATCTCGACTCACTACAATCTCCACCTCCTGGGTTCATGCGATTCTCCTGCCTCAGCCTCCCTAGAGGCTGGGATTACAGGCATGCACCACCATGCCCAGCTAATTTTTGTATTTTTAGTAGAGACGGGGTTTCACTATATTGGCCAGGCTGGTCTCCAACTCCTGACCTCAGGTGATCCGCCCGCCTCAGCCTCCCAAACTGCTGGGATTACAGGCACGAGCCACCGCGTCCAGCCCGGGCCTAGGAAGATGTAATCCTCACTTCTGGCCTGATCCTCTCCAGCAGGGGAGGGTGAAACATTGAATGGGGACAGACAGGGCGGGTTTCACGGCCCAGAGGCCTGGAAGGGACTTGGGTGGGGCAGGAGGGGTCTCCTTCTGTCAGGGCTTGCCTGGGGCTCCGCATCCTCCCTCCAGCCCTCAGGCCCTCCACCTTCCCCAGGTGGGGACATCCCCGAATCTCTGTCTCTCCAGGTGTGTCGAGCCCCAGGGTGCCCAGGGGAGTGGGGGAGTGGAAGGCCTCCCACCACCCCAGCTCCCCAGGCATCCCCCACCTGCACGTGCTGCAGAATCCTCCGGGCGCACCAGTCCCCCAGCTCTGCGTATTTGCCCGCCAGCTCCTCATCTGCCTCCCCGAGCTGCTCCACCAGGTTCAGTAGCATCATGGGCACCGCCATGGGCTCCGCAGCCGGGGCCCCCTGGAGCTGGGGCCGGCCCAGTCCCGACGCGTCCTCCTGCACCCAGTGGACGATCTGATCCATCATCTCCACCGCTTCCGTCTGGGGGTGCAGGAGGCAAGGGGAGGCCCAGGCTGAGGCTACATCCTGTGCCATCCCCCTGGACACGGCCCTGGGGTGGGAGAGCCAATTCCTCTCCTGAACCCAGAGACACCTTCATCCAGGGCCTACTTGGGGCCTGGCACCCAGCGTCCAGTAGGGGCCAGTCAGATCCGCCCCACTCTGCTCCCAGTCTGGGGGTGCAGCCCCTTCCAGGCTGTGGGGTCAGGGTCTGGCAGCACAGGGAGCCCAGGGAGGAGGGAAGGGCCTTTTCCCAGTTGGGGGCAGGGCGTGGATAGGGCCCTCTCCGTCTGCGCCCCTGTGGGGGTAGGGGAGCGTTCAGAGGTGAAGGGGACTTGGCCCACAGATGGGTCCATGGGAGGGGACTTGCGTAGTGAGTGGGAATGCATCAGGTGGCCATGGCAGGGTCGCAGGGTGGGGTCTTCAGGGGCACCCTCCTCTCACACACCTGGTACCGCACTTCCCCTGTGGCTCTCCACAGCTCGTTCATGGCCATGGTGTAGAAACACTCACTGAAGATGGTTCGCTGCACCTTGACCGGGCGGCCGTCCCGAGTCAGCACAAAGGCACACTTCTTGCCAGGAGGTGCCACCCGGGCATACCGCAGCAAGAACTCACCACCTGGAGGTTGGGGGGTTGGCATGCCAGGGGTAAGGCCAGGACGCCCCGCACACACCACCCTTGAGCCTCCCCAAGTCCTTCGCTGCTTCTAGATCCCTCTAGGAACTCCGCACATGTGCCCTGTTGAGTAAACATGGACGGAGTCACTGGGAGATGGGCAGGAAGGGGGCACCTACCTGCTTTTGCTGCGTCCAGAAGCTGAGCATGGCGGAAGCGCTCGAAAGTGCGGTACAGGCGACAATACATCCATACCTGCGGGGTACGGGAGGGAAAGTGGCTTAAGTGGCCGGCTGGGGTGAGGTGGGGAGACCTTTGAGGCGATGGGCCGTGTGCCTGAGCTTCCAGGCTGGGAACACCATACCTGCCTCCCCTGCAGCCACACATACTTGAGGTCATCATACACCCGCCCCTCGCGGCCAAGGCACGTGAAGAAGCCCCTGTGGGAAGGCAGGGTTAGCAAAGTCTGGAACGGGCCTTGCCAGCCCCTCCTGCCCCTCTGGGGCCAGCAAATCTGTGAGGTGCCTGAGAGTGAGAAGGGGCCTCAGGAAGGGCAAAAACCCTGCTGAGGACTCCAGAAGCACGCCGAGTACCCGTGCTCCTGGTCGTGGGAGTGCTCCATCCAGAAAGCCACCACGCGGTCCAGCTCCTGCCCCACGCGCTCCTTCCAGGCCTGCAGAGTCTCTCGCTCTTTCTCCATGTCCTAGGGGAAATGGGGCTTGAAGGCGCAGCCCCCACATGGGACCTAGGCCCCCCCAGCCTCGGGAACCAGCCCTCAGGGATCTCCCCACCTCTGCACGGGGCTTCAGACGTCACCATCCCCGGGACCCTCCAAGACAGCACTCCCCCCAAGCACCCCACCACTGGCCTGTCGCGCTGGGAGACCCTTGCTCATCCCTCCTGCTCCTCTAGGAAGCCAGACAGAGTTGGTCGCGGTCCCGTGACTGTCACTCAGCTGACACAGCCGCGCCCGGCTCACCCTCCCCCTCCTCTTCAGGGTTCCGCTGGGCCTGGGGCGGGGCTTTGAGCCCGACCCCCGCACTTGTTCCTGCCGCGACCCTCCACTCGAATGGGCCAGTCCCTCCAGGGCCCCTGCTGGGAGCTCTGGTCTCAAGATCCTGCTTGGTGGGAAAAGCTGGGATGGCCGGAGGGTCTGGGATGAGGGGGAACGGGGCTGCCACCCACCCCGCCCTACACCAGGGGCCCCGGCAGGGCGGCTGAGGGCCTTGGCCCTACCAAGCCTGTGGGGCAGGGGTGCAGCAGGACAGGGAACAGCTAGTGGGCCTGAATGCAGAGGTCCCTCTGACCTGTCACCACACAGGGTAGACAGGAGGCAAGTTCTGTTTTTGTTGTTGTTGTTGTTGTTTGTTTCTTTGTTTTTTGAGACAGTGTCCTGTCGCCCAGGCAGCTCACTGCAGCCTTGACCTGCCAGGCTCAAGCGATCCTCCCACCTCAGCCTCCTGAGTAGGTGGGACCACAGGTGTGGGCCACCATGCCTGGCTAATTTTTGTATTTTTAGTGGAGACAGGGTTTTGCAATGTTGCCCAGGCTGGTCTCGAACTCCTAAGCTCAAGCGATCCTCCTGCGTCAGCCTCCCAAAGTGCTGGGATTACAGGCGTGAGCCACCGCACCCAGCCTAGCAAGTCCTCTCTTTTGAATCAGTTTGTCACCAACTACCTCAACAGTCAGTAATGGGCAGCCATTGGCGCTAATTTTTTTTTTTTTTTTCCCAAGATGGGGTCTTGCTCTGTCGCCCAGGCTGGAGTGCAGTGGCATGATCTTGGCTCACTATAACCTCCGCTTCCCGGGTTTAAGCAATTCTCCTGCCTCGGCCTCTGGAGTAGCTGGGATTACAGGTGCCTGCCACCATGCCTAGCTAATTTTTTTTTTTTTTTTTTTTTTTTTTTTAGTAGACGGTTTTTCACCATGTTGGCCAGGCTGGTCTCAAATTCTTGACCTCGTGATCCACCTGCCTCGGCCTCCCAAAGTGTTGGTATTACAGGTGTGAGCCACCGCGCTCGGCCTTGGCACTGACTTCTTTACACAAGTGACACAGCTCTAAGGCCAGACAGTAACTGCAGGTAACAGCCCACACCCCCCTTCTCTGGGCCTGTTTTCCAGCTGCCCAGATCTGTCTGTAGCTCTATGACTGACCCGATGATGCTACAAGGCAGCTGGGCTGAGGTGGTTCCTACCTTCCAGGCCAACAGTGCACAAAATGGGTTCCAGCCTCTGGGCGTGGGTACTGCACTGCTGGTCTTTGATGCCACAGTGGCTGTCTCAGTCCCTGCTGCAGGCTGACCCACCCAACCCCAAACAGTTCCCCTTTGGGGTGCTTGGTAATGAGGCTGATGCCCTGGCAGCTGGGGAGGCATCCTCTGTGTGCTCCCACCCACCCTCGGCCTCGGCTCATGCTCAGGGGATGAGCTTTGTGCCCAGCCGGGCTGTATCTACCTGCCCTGCTCACAGGCCTGTCATGTTCACATTCATGTCCAGCCTCCCTCCTGCCTCCCCAGACTGAGTGGTGCCCTCAGACGGAAACGCGGTATTTTCAGATAAACACCAGAGGCATGACTGATGTGGCCCTTGCCTTGTGGAGTGTGATGCAGCCGCGGTGAGACAAGTGAGCTGAAGGAATGCGGAGGGTGGGTAGCCCCACAGGTGCCAGCTACAGAAGTGGGGTAGGAAGAAGCCTTGTACCACCCCCACCAGGCGAAGCGCCCACAACGCCATTTGCCAAAGGTATGGCAAATCCGCAAGGCCCCTCGGTTCTGGGGCCAGCCCCATGTGGCCCCTGGCCTCCACCAGCCCCAGCCATGACTCCTACCGCTCTGCTCTGAAGGACACTTTCCCACCCCTCTCCTTGGGCCTCTGCGAGGCTAGGCTCCAAGGCAGGTCACAGTTGGTGCGGTGGGTAAGACAGAGCCATGGCTCCTGGTGTCAAGCCCTGGCCAGTCTGCTTCCCCCCACCCCCACATGACACAGCAGACCCCACAGGACAGAGGCTTCCCAGAAGAGGTCGCATTCGACAGGGCCTTGCACACACACCCATGCCACAGGTGGAGACACGGAGGCTTTGGTTACTCCAGGAGCTTCTGGTAGCGGAGTGCCTGGGTGCTCTGAGAGGAAGGCTGGGCAGTAGAGGTGTGTAGGGGAAACAAAGGCAGGCGGCAGGGGCTTGGAGGGGGCGGGGAATGCAGGTGCGCCAGGAGCACCAGGCCCCAGAAGCAGGGTGTCACTCCCCTCAGACCCGCCTAGGCCTGTGCTGCTCCGGCCACCTTGCCCCGGAGCTTTCTGGGCCTCCTGGTACAAATTCAGCCCACGGGATCCCAGCTGTCCTACCGACCCAGCTGCTAGGTGGTCAGTCTGGATCACAAGCTCTTGCTTCTTCCCCTTGGGGGCATGGCTCACATTTAAGAGGAAGCCAGAGGAAGGGATCCACCTCTGCAGTACCCGTGGTGTACTTGACTCAGCCCACCTCCCCCCAACCCACCCAAGGAGGCTGCCGCTGGTGACCTGCCAGGCCCTTGCCCCATCCTATCCTCTAGTGCAGGAGGGGAGGGAGGGAGATCTGGGCCCCAGACACAGGAAGTCAGCAGCAGCTGCCCAAGGGGCTCTTTGGCCCTTGCCCTGCAAGGCAGCTACCAAGCAACCTGCTGGACCCTGGTCCGACTTGGTCCAAAGACCGGAGGCCACAGCAGAGGCCTCACTCTGGGGCCTTCTACGCTTTCACCAGAGCTCAGGTCTCCCTCCAGGGGGCTCCCGTGAGCCTCGGGCAGGTCTCAGCCTTCCCGCTCAGGCTTCCTGAGAGGATGCCGGGACACAGTGAGACACCTAGTGGTTATTTCAAAAAAAGTCTTTTAATTGTTCAAAATAGCACAAAACGACATCGCACTATGGTAATATTGAGTCACAGGGGTTACTCTACAATAGTGAACGGTGTACTCTCCTCAGAAACAAATCAATAGGCGCGCGAGAGAAGGGATGGGGTAAAACAACAGGACCAGGTGAGTGGGCTCCAAGGTGACTAAACGTGACATTTTCCACAGCGAAATATACTATAATACAACAAACCAGAGGCCCTGGAGGACACAGGCTGCTGCGTCTCCAGGCAGAGGTCGGTAGGGGAGGGCTGGAAAGATTGGCTGCTCGGTTCAAATCCTTCTGACTTGCTGGCAAGCCTTGCTCCTCGACAGAAGTTTGGGGTGGGGGGCAGAAAACTCCAAGCAGATCCCCCAGCCTCGGAGCCTGGCCTGAGTTCCATGCTGCACAGCTGCTGCTGGTGGCCTGCTCCATTGCCCTAGCCTCCCTTGTGGGTGACACTACACAGTCACCCTCCCAAGCTGCCTCCAAGGACGCCTGGTTCCCCTCCATTCTCCACCCTTTCCATGACGATTTGGGGGAGGTGGAGCAGTGGCTGCGGAAACCAGCAGCCCTGTTTGGGAGGCGGTGCCGGTGGTGCTCAGGGAGGGGGCATGGGGAGAGCTGGAAATCCAGGACAAGGAGGCCCCAGCCCTCCCTCAAGCTCCCCTAGGCTCGACCCTATAGATGCGGAGTGATCGCCCATGAGGAATGAGCTGTCCTTCCTTTGTTCCAGCGGCCTGAGGACAGGCAAAAGGGCAGAGGGCAGGGGCCAGCAACAGGAAGTTGGGCTGGGTGGCAAACAGCAGGCCCCTCGTGGCAGATTTCACACCTCTCCTGCCCTGGCTGGCCCCAGCTTTTCCTCCAGAAAGATCCCTGCCAAGAATTAGCCAAGAAGAAAAAAGTAAAAAAACAAAAACAAAACAAAACAAAACAAAAAAAAGAGAAAAGAAAAAAGATTACACATTCTGTACACAGCTAACAACAACAAAAAAGGGACAAAACCCCACACGCTAAAATTACAATGAAAGTGTGAACTTCACCAATTGCAACCTAAAAAACACAACAAATGCAGCAGTTGGCAGTGCGGCCTGCAGGGAGGTCTGCACAGGCGCTGCCCAGGCCGCCGCGGGGCTCCTTGCCCCTTTTTTCTTTTTCCTTCTTTTCTTTTTTAAAATGGGAAAGAAGAGGGGGAGGGTAGAAGAGGTGGGAGCACAAAGGCCTCTGAGAAAATGTGTAAGCTTCCTGTGGGGTCACTGAGCAGGGTGGGCCGGGGGAGCCTGAGGAAGGGAAGTTAGGTGACTGGAAACACAAGGGGAAGAAAAGAAAACAGAACCAGACACCCAGGCCAGGGTGCCAGGAAAGCCACTCTGGGGAGGGCCAAGAGGGACGCCTTTCCTCCCCTCCATGCCTGCCCCCGACCTGGCCCTCAGGAACGCACAGCCTTGGGAGGGCGGAGCTGGCTGTCCTCAGCTCCGCCTTCCCTCCCCGCAAAAGTCTCTCCCCAGGGTGGGCGGCAGCGGGGAGGAAAGGAAGCGCGCTCCTCTCTCTGCTTTCCCATCTGCCTCTGCTTCCTCCCAACAGCAATGGTAAAATGTGCTTTCTTTAGATTATTTTAAAAACAGAGAGAAAGAGAAAGGGGAGAGGAGTGAACAGCGGCTCGCGAGGGTGAAGTGCGAATGCTGGGACGGGGTGGGAGGGGTGGGCCCTGGCGGGTGTTCCTGAAGCAGGGGGGTCTGGAGAAGAATCCAGGGGCTAGTCAGCTTCCTCTCACTGACCATCGGCCTTAGATTTCTTTGGAGCAGATTTCCTTGGAAGGCAGAAAAAGGAAAGAGAAAGTTAGTGTGGGCCCTGCACCACTGGAGGCCCTGCTGGTGCAGGGCCGGTTAGGGGCCCCCAGTCATTTGACAAGAGGCTGAACCCAGCTATTTCCACCCCTAGTCTCAGAAGGTTCCCGAGAGGGGCTTCCTGCTTACATTTCTGGAGAGGACATGGGCCGCTTGTTGGCTGGCTTGGTGCCAGAGCTGTCTTTACTGGTTTCTGGAAGGAACGGGAGAGATGCGTGAGCAGCATTGTGACAGAACGAGAGCAAGGAACACATGCGCCCTGCCCGCCTGCAGAGTCTCTTGGTGCCACATGGCATGACCCGCAGCTGGCAAGGGTGGGGCGCCTGCCCTATGGGTGGTCACCTTTTACGCCACTCCTTGGGACCAGAACACGACACCACTCACTCCCCTCTGGACGTAGGTTAGAAACCCACTCAGCTCAGCTCCCACCTCTCACTGCCCTCCCAGGTCCCAGAGCCCCAGGGGAGCTGGAGCAGGAGCATGACCTGACAGGAGGCAGGCTGGCCTCCATCCCTCACCTGCTGCACTCCAGGGACCTGGGACGTGCTGTTTTCGGGCCTGGAAACCTACACTTTCCCGCCAGCCCTCTCACTGCTTGTCCCCTCAAACATCCTGGGGTGGCGTCCCCTGCACCCCCAGGCCCGGAGCTGGGTCCCCTGCTCTACTTGATGGCCACCCCCGTGGGGGGCTGTGTGCGCGCCAAAGGAAGCAGGGAGACGCCGCACATGGGAAAAAATCTCAGATGGTGACAGTTCCTCCTGCTGCACCCGGCTTCCTGGGCCTTCCCTGTGCCTGAAGAGCTCCACGAAGGACACTCACCCTGCAGCCACCTCACTTGTGTGGCCGGGCCATAGCCCTTCTCATTGCGGGCGGCGATGCGGAAGATGATGGCGGGCTTGGTGGTGTAGTCGATGTGGGCGTTGGAAAGGCTGGAGGACTGCACCAGGCAGGAGGGGCTGGGCCCGCAGTACACCCGCATGAAGGCCAGCTGGGCCGGGGTGGAGCTCTTGAGCTCGCCCCCAGCCTGTGAGCTCTGGATGGCCAGGTACACGGAGTACTCGATAATCTTGCCGGAGGTCACAGAGGGTGGCTCCCAGGTGAGGTGAGCACCATCCGGACTCTAGAAGCCAGGGGGTCAGAAGGTCAACAGAACAGGCTAGAGGCTTCCAGAACTGACTAATCATGGTTCCCATAAGCCATTTTCTAACACAGTAGAGATATTCCATGTGGTAGTTCAAGGAGCTTCAAAGAGATCTTCCCCCAAGTGGAAGGACTAAGACAAACTGGGACTCAAAACCTAGCTCTCCTATGCCCCCCCCCGGCCACCTCATGTGCTGAGGCAGGCAGAAACCAACCAGGGACAGACGGCCACCCCACAGCAAGACTCACTTTGCTGATTTTAATGGCACAAGGGGCCCCTGGGAAACCAGGCAGGCACGTCTTAAAGGCTGAGATTTCGCTGAAGGGCCCCCGGCCACAGGCATTGATTCCGGCAACACGAAACTTATAGGCTGTGCCTGGCTGCAGCTCCTGCTTCTTCAGCTGGTTATAGTCAGGGACGGTGCCCAAATCATCCTAGGAAAAGAGGAGTGGCATGAACGCCACTGTGGAGAAGGCAGCTCTGGGCCACCCCAGGAACACTGCAGGTCCATGGTAACTATGGGCCAGAGGGAAAAGAGGTCAGCGGTGGCTGGCCCCTCACGGCAAGGAGGGACGTGGCGAGGCTGACTGTGGCCCGGTACTGGCGGGAAGGAACCAAAGCTCTCCTTTTCTACTGCTTCAGGGGGGATGGTCTCTGCCCACCTTCCTCAGGCTTCCTGGCTACTCAGCTTGGCCCAAAGATGGAGGAGTTTCCTGTAAGCCCCGCTCAGGGTGGTGGAGCCAAGACCCACCCACCTGAGGACATCAGCACCTGGGGACACTTACGTCTGATGGGACAGCATCATCTGGTGGCAGGAAATAGTGTGTCACCATTACATTGGTGCCCTTAATGACTCCCACATCAAACCACTGGTTTTCCTTCTTCATGGGGGCTTTGCTGGGTGGGGGCGGCAGGTCTGGCTTCTGCAAGACAGAATCGGTGCGACGAGATCAGGCCCTCAGCACCTAGAGGCAGTGCTGCCCCCCAGGCCACGGACTCAGGAGCCCCAACACACCCGACTCACCACACCCAGGGACTCGATGCCATTGGCCACTTCGGTCAGGGTAGCTGCAGCCTGCAGCTTGGCTGGGCTGGCCACCACAACCGGCTGGGGGGCCACAAATGTGTTGGATGGAGCCAGGCCTAGGAAGAAAGAAGGTGTCAGCGGGAAAGACTCGGGAAACCTGGCTCCCAAGTGAGACCGAGCCTCCCGTCCTGCCCTCACCTCCCTGGGTGCCCCCACCACCCCAGCACCAATTCGCCCTCAGTCGCTTACTCTCAGTGGCCGTTGAGGGCAGCAGCGCCACAGTGCTGGGGACCGTGCCGGCCAGCTCATTGAGGCAATTGCTCTCAATGGCTGGGTCGTTGAGACTGTCGGCAGGGGCCAGGGCCTCAGTGGGGAGGTGGTGATGCTGCTGCTGGGCCTGGGCCTCCTGCAGCTGCTGCTGCTGCACCAGGGCAGCCAGCTCCTGCTGTGTCAGCACAATGGGTATGGTGGTGGCCTGGCCCTCCTGACCCTCGGCCGACAGGTGCCCCAGCTCCGCCTGAGTCACGGTTGCTGCTGCCTCGGAGGTGTCCATGGGCTCGCCGGTGCCTGCTCCAGGGTCGAGAGAAACACTACTTACTAGGAAGGCTGGCCAGAAGCGGGCAGCCCGGGCGGAGGCCCCCAAAGCCTGTCCTAGAGACCCCGTCCACCTCCTACCGTGCTCCACTGTAGGCTAAGCCCTGGCCGAGGGGCCCTGCCTGTTTCCCAGGCGCTAACCCCAGCCAGCCTGTTCTACACGGCAGTCTCTACTACTTGGCCTGCCTGGGGTCCCCTGTGCTCGTCCTCCCCATCACATCTGGCTCATGCCACCCTCGAGGGAAATGGGCTCCTCTTCCCAGGCTGTCTCCGCGGCCTATTGCTCCCCCGAGCGGCCCGGCTTCCCCAGGGTTGCACCGGCACTCACCCATGACGGCCTGCTGCGCGGCCTGGAGCACCGCCTGGATGGCCAGGGCCTGGGCTTCCTCCGTGGCTGCGGCCTGGGCAGCTGCTTCTGCAGCAGCCGTCACTGCCAGCTCCTCGGGGGTGAGCCCCGTTACCATGAGGGTGGTGGTGCCAGCTTGGGCCTCGGCCATTAGCTCTTGGGGAAGTGATAACTGGTCTACTTCGGACTGTGTGGGTGGGGGTGGCTGGACCACCACAGTGGCCACCACCGCAGAGCCGGCAGACTCCTGGCCCGAAGATGGCTCCCCTGTGCTGCTCAGATCCACGGCGGCCGGGAGCTCAGGGGTCTGGGAGGCTGACAGGACCTCGGCGGACTCCCCCATCAGGGCTGTGGAAGCCGACTGCAGAAGCTGCCGTGGCGGCAGCTGCTGGCGAGGACCTGGCGACACCTGGAGTTCCTCTGGGGGCTGCAGGATGTCAACAGCAGAGAAGGGCATGTCAGAAGTTTCTGTGTTGGCTATGGTCACTGTTATTTTGGCCGGGATGGGGACTTCAGTAGTCAGAGCCCTTGGGGCAGTCTCAGTCATTGATGAGATCTTCTAGAAAGGGAGAGAAGCCCCTGTCAGAGGGGAGGAGAGGGGCCAGAGCCAGGCAGCAGGGCTGAGAAGCAAGCCAGCCCTCACCTTTCCTTGTGGGCCTAAGTTTTCATTCTTGATGGGCCAGCTCCAGCCCATGTTAAATAGGGAGGGGACAGTGGTTCTCTGACCAGCATGAGGAGAAAGGCCCTTGAGACCCCCGGTCAGGTTTAACCCGTCCTCAGTCACCCTGGCCTGGACAAATGGGCACTCAGACCCCCGCCATGTCTTATACAGGCTGCGGTGAAGTGACACGCGATGAGAACCAGTCCCAGAAATAAAAGCGCCCCAGAGATGCGGGGGACGGTGAGGCTCCTGCCTCCTGCCGCAGCAGGCACCGAGGCTGCCCTTTTATGGTCCGGAAAAGGGACCAGGAGCGGCCCCATGCCTGGTACAAGAGCGACATCTGGCGTCTGAGTGTGGAACTGCACGGGCGTAGGCCGGGAAGGCGGGGAAGAACACGGCCCCCTGGGCTCTTACCGGCACAGAGGGGCCCGGGACCGGTGTGGACTGCGTCACGGTGGTCACAGCCCGCGTCAGTGTGGAGGACACGGTTGTCGTGATGGCACTGGAGCTGGTGATGTTCACGCTGTCGCCCTGGGTGCTCTCCACCTCTCCCTGATCGCTGGCAGCAGGTGGGGGGTCTGTGGGGGCGACAGGCAGGCGGCTGCTCAGCAGGAGCCCCCCCGGCCTGTACTTGGCTTGACCACCACAGGCTTCCTCTACCACCAAGGGGAGGGCCAGATAAGGCAGGACAGGCTCCTGGAGACCTCTGTCTGCTTCAGGTACAGCCAGGACGCCCCAGCTCTCCCCACTGGTAAATTGGGTGCCAAGGAGCCTGACTGGTGGACTCTGGACGGACCCCCGCCATCGTTGTCTTGGCCTTTCAGCCTGGGGGGCTGGGAGACCATGAAAGCCAGGCTGGCCACCTTCACTTACCTTGGTTTGAACTCATGTTGGAAGTGACAGTGGTGGCCGTGTGAGTGGTGCCCGTCTCGTGGGTCTCACAGGGGGGGTTGGAGCACACCCTCTGTGTTGGGAAAGGAGCCAGCAGCGCGGTGCCAGCCTGGGGGGTGACGCTGGGTGCCGCCGCCACCTCTAGGCCAGACTCCACGGTCCTGTGGGAAGAAGTGGCGTCGGGAAGCAGGGCACCCACGCTGACCGACATGGTGGTGCCAGTGGAAGTGGTCTGGTGTGTCTCACAGGGGCGACCAGCAGGGGGCTGCTGCCCACCCTCGGGCTGGCCCGTGCCCCCGTTTGAAGTAGCGGTGGTGGCCGTGTGGGTGGTGCCCGTCTCGTGGGTCTCGCATGGCGGGTTGGAGCACACCCTCTGGGCGCTGCCTGCATTCGAGGTAGTGGCGGTGTTGGTGGTGCCTGTCTCGTGGGTCTCACATGGTGGGTTGGAGCAGACTTGGGTCACGGTGGCCGAGGGGCACAGCAGTGCCTCCAGGGCTGTCACAGTCACTGTGGTGCTGGGCGAGCCACCCTGGAGGCTCTCGCACACAGGTGCCATGCGGGGCTCCCCAGCACCCACGCTGGAACGGGTCATGGCAGCGGTGCTGACCGCATGGCTGTGGCGCCCCGCAGGAAGGTCCTTAATGCTTGGGCTGCTCAGCCTGACTTTGCTGCTCAGAGGGGCCAACTGCACAAAAGCAGGGCTGCGGCCCCCGGGCTCCCGTGCCATGCTCGGCCCAAGGAGTGGGCCGGCCGAGCACGGGGCCCCGGTGGCCATCACAGTCATGGTGGTGCTGGTCGCGCTGGTCTGGCGGGTTTGGCACTGGGACTTAGAGCCCTGGGCTGCCTCCAGCGCCCCAGTGGCCACACTGATCCGGATCACGGCAGGGGTGCCAGCTGCACAGGCCCGACGGGCATCTCGCTGGTGGTTGGCGCCGACGCTCGACATGGCTGTAGTGGCAGTGTTGGTGGTGCCCGTCTCGTGGGTCTCGCAGGGTGGGTTTGAGCAGCCATGCTGCCCGGCCATGTTGGAGGTGGCGGTGGTGGCGGTGTTGGTGGTGCCCGTCTCGTGGGTCTCGCAGGGCGGGTTCGAACAGACTCGGACCACGCTACCATTCTGCTGGCCCACAGTCGAGGTCACAAGAGAAGCAGCTGCCTCCTGTCTGTCACAGACGAACTGCACTTGGGTGGGCTGGGGGTGTCCCCCAAGGTTAGCCACAACAGTAGTGGTGGCCGTGTTGGTGGTGCCAGTCTCGTGGGTCTCACAGGGTGGGTTGGAGCACACCAAGGTGACAGTGCCAGGCTGCACATCACCCTGGCCTGAGTCGGCGATGGTAACTGTGGCGGTGGGCTGTTCTGTAGTCGGGGAGGCCAGAATGGACACAGGGAGGTCATGCACAGGCTGGGCCTCCACCCCACTAGGTGCCGTGATCAGAGTTACCTGGGTGGGCTGGGACACGGGCTGGGGAGACACACGAGGAGGAGAGTTAGTGCTGCAGCTGGCTGTCTGCCTGTCCCTCCCACTGTCCTGCACTGTCACCACACAGGCTGGGACCACTGACCACTTCTCAACGGCCCTGGCAGACGTAAGACCCACTCACCCCTGCCCCCAAGACACTGACTTGCTCAGAGGCCAGGGAAGAGGCACCACTTTGCCTCAAAGGCAACTGGGATGAGGAAGAGGCTGTGAGGACAGGGCAAGGGGAAGGCAGGAGGCTGGCTGAAGTCAAGTCCTTTGTCAGAGAATGGAAATCCCCCTCAATGCTCAAAGGCCAACAACAAACGTTTCACCGTTTTCCTTAATATGTATGAACAGAACACTGCACACACATGCAGACGAGCTGCGGCGTCCTGTAGAACACTGCGAGAGGAAGAACCCGGTGTTCAAACACCAGGCATGGCCAAACCATGACAGCCAAACCACGGACTATGACACAGGGACCATGTGACACCAGGGAAAATGCCCCAGGTGAGGAAAGGCCTGCCATGGCTGCACCCGGCAGCAGCGCAACACCAGGAAGGAAAGGCCTGTGGACGGACGGCGTGAGCCTCACGTGCTTCCACTTGTGTGGGGTCCCTCGCCCACACGTGGCCTCAGGCCCTGCCCTACCTGCATGGTGATGGTTGGGGTTGTGAGCCCGCCTGCCGCTGTCAGCGTGGTCTGTGCGGCCGACACAGTGATGGCAGTGGGGTTGATCACCTGGCTTGAGAGGGTGGCAATGGTGCCCAAGGTGGTGATGGGCGTGGCCAGGGAAGCACTAGTGCTGTGGCCCCCCGCCCCGGCAAGGCTGGTGGAGACGGTGCCTGTCACTGTGCCTAGGGTCGTGACACCTGAAGGAAAGGAGGCAAGAGTTGGGCCAAGGCTGCTGCTGTCTCCTTCCCAGCAGCTCCTCCTGCACAGGCTGGGGCACTCTGGAGCTGCTTGCATAGAAGGCTCGGGAGAGAGGAGCTGCTGTGCCACCCAGCTGTGCCATGGGGATTGAAGGCCAGCCCTGCTTCGTTATAATCTAGGGGTGGCAGGGGACCTGGCCTATGGGTACACACCTGTGGTGCCTTTCACAACCAACGTGGTGACGGCTGGCTTGACGGCGGAGACGGTGACGGGTGTGACCAGGCGAACACCCCCCATGGGCACAGTGCGGAGGATGGTGCCTGGCTGTCCCGGGGCCCCCTTAAGCACCACCTGGAACACCAGAGGAAAGTGCCACCAACGTCACCACCAGGCTGGTAGATGCCACCGATGCTGCCCCTCCCAGGCCTGTCGGGAGGACCTGCGTGGCGTGCTGGGGTGGACTGCACTAGGACACTGGGCTGAGAGACGGCTGGGAGTGCCTCACCTGGGTCACTCCCTGCTGCCCGTGGCCAGTGGCAATTTTGGGGACAGCAGTGATGATTTTCGCAGGTGCTCCAGTTCCTGAAGTCATCACCTTGGTGGTGATGATGGTGATGGGGGACTTGATGCCAGGACTGCTGGTCACACCTGGATGGGAGAGTGGGGCCCAGGGGAGACAGGCTCTGTGAGGGCTGCCCCTGCTGCCCCTAGACTATAATGAACATCCACAAGTCACAGCCATAGCCCTGCCCATCTCCTCACTACCCTTAGACACAAAAGGCAGCAAGGAGAAGATAGAAAAGGGTAAACTAAACAGAAACACAGCACGCCTTATAACCCGGACTCCATTTCCCCTCCAGTGAGGACTTGCAGACACTCATATGTCGGGGGAGGCCCCTACCCGTGGCGCCCGCCTGGGTGATGATGGCCGACATGGGGATGGTTTTGATGATGGTGGTCGTGCCGGGCTTGGTGGTACTGGGGGAGACGCTGCTGATGCCCAGGATGGTGGGCTTGGTCCCCGCCCCACTGGCCTGCGTGGTAGTGATGATGGTGGTGGGCTTGCCATCTGCTGAGGTCACCAGCTTCAGGATTGTTCCCGCTGGCAGGGGCCCTTTGGTCTGAAAGGGGGAAGCAGGTGCATGAGCCGGCATCACTGCCAGGAAGGGAAGTGTGGTCTGGCTACTCTCCGCCGGCAGCCTTGGCGGCTCAGGGAATGTTCTGGAGGCTGTGGGCGAGGGGAGTGAGCAGCAGAACTTGCTGAGCCATGTGTGCTCATGGGATCTTCCATGGGCAGGGACATGAGTTCTTCCTGTGGCCTGGCACCCAGGCCCCCACTCTTGCGTATGTGCAAAGACTGAGAGCTCACCTGGATGATCTGAGTCACAGGACCCGTGGACGCCTGGCCTGTGACTGCTGAAGTCTGAACTGGTTTGGTCTGGACCACCGACATCACTTTGCCCAGATTGGAAATCTAAAAAGGAAGGGATGGAGCAAGGAGTGATCTGGAAACCAAACAAGGGCATGGCCTGGCTGAGACTCTCCTGGAGCTGGCCCAGGGCGGCCATTCACCACTGGCAGTGGCCGTAGCCTGGCAGCACCCATCACTCACCAGAGCACTGCCTCCTGGGACAGAGATGGGGCTCTTCACCAGGGTGATGGTCTTGGTGACCCCGCCCACAACTGTGGTCACCACCTGGGCTTGCTGGGCCACTGTCACAGTGCCTGACTTGTGCACTGTGATGATAGGGCGGGTAGACGTGTTGGTGGCGGAGGAAACCGATGTCCCCACCTGGGCGGCTGCAGTCTTCAGCATGCGAGTGGCAGGGTTGCTCACCTGGAGGAGGCAGAGACGAGTGACAGGCCAGGCAAAGAAAGCGATGGGGAAACCACCCAAGATGTCCACGGTGGGCCCATAGCTCCTGCCTCAACACTCACCTTCCTCCTCCTCCTGCTCCCAAGCCCAAGAACAGCTTGGTTCCCCCTTCCTTTAACAGGCAAGGGAGGAGGCTGAGCCTGCAGCTCTCACCTGAGGCCATGACGCCCCTAATGGAGACAGCTTATTCTGCAGCCCACGGTCCAACGGCTAACTCTAAAGCCCGGAGGGAATGACTATGCTTGTTTGACCACAGTGACAAGCCCCGGAAGACGCTCACCATGACTGGCGAGGAGGCCACCTTCACAGTGGCTGGGAGGGTGGTAGTGCCAGGTGTCACAGCCATGGTCTTCACGATGGTGGTACCCGCTGGGACACTCAGCACCGTGGGTGCCGAGGAAGGGGGGATCTTCTGGGTGGCAGCGGCCGCAGCGGCCAGTGCGGCCATCCCACTCATCTGTGGGCTACTGCCAATCACCTGCAGCAGGCACGGGCATGTGAGGCCAGGTCACAGGTGCCACCCACCTCCCTGCTTGGTGGACCTCACCGGAACCTGCCCAGGGGCTGCCCTGCTCTTGGGAGCCTCATCCCGCCAGCATGGCTCAGCTTTCTCTACTGCCAGACCCCGCTCTCCTGGCCCCAGACACAGAGGGCTCCCACCACCCACCATGCACGGCAACCCCCGTGGCAAGAGGCAGCTGGGAGCTCTGGATCCTTTCTAAAGACCAGAGTCAGGTCCCGTTGATTCTCATGGGCCTGTGGCAAGCCCAGCTGGCTAGATCCTCCTCTCAGGCTGCAGGACAAGAAAGTCCACGTGGCAAATGCTCTTAGGATCAGGCAGCAGGTTAGGCCTTCTAGGCATTAACCTATTAATTCCCACCATGACCTCGCAGGAGCGTTTCCCCATCTGCACGTCCCAGGAGGGAAAGGTGTGGGGTGCGTGGTACCAGAGCCCGAGAGGGATGTGAACCCCTCAGTACACTTGCAACTTAATCCACTGGATCAACAGGAAATCCCACCCGCCCCAGTGACCACTCCTCACCGTTCCCTGGGCACTCTGTGTTGGCACAACCATCCGCACTCCGGCGGGAAGGGAGGTCACGGTGACAGGGGCTTTCCCAGCCTGGCTGGCAGGTCGCATGGTGACCAATGGAGTTCCTGTTGTAGCCTGAGGACCGGTCACTTTGAGAACAGCAGGGACACCTGATGAGAGAAGGGGCCAGCCGTCAGCCATCACCTTCTGCACGATGTCCCCAGCCCCTTTGCAGGCAGCCCTGAGCCACTTCTGTTGGCCTGCTTGTGTGGGAGTCTGGCTCTTCTCTGTGCCCTGAGAGTGACCATTTCCACAGGTGGGGCCAGGCTTTAGCATCCCCCTACAACCCTTGGAGACAAGCCCAAAGCTCCCGGCTGCTGGCCTGCTGTCTAGGCTGCCGTCTCGCAGCCCCTACTTGGCCGCTGCCTCTCCCCGGAGGCTAGCCCCCTACTTTCAAACGTCCCTGGTCCCCTGGCTCACCTTGAGTCCTGGCTGCGGTGGGCACAGAAATGGAGCTGCCAGGCACCGTTGGCAAGACCTGGATGGTGGTGGTGGTCGGGGGTGCGGGGGCAGCCTGGGGCAGGAGCGTGATGCCTACTTGGGTCAGCGGCTGCACAGCAGGTGCGGCTGCTGCTGGGGCAGGGCTCTTGGGAGGGTTGGCAGGCACAGATGGGACCGGATTGGGTGTAGGGGAGGTGGCAGTAGCAGCCGTGGCAGGAATGTCATATTTCTGGAGCTGGAGAAGGTAGCTGTCGGCTGTTGCCACTGCCCCCCAGCTCACCTCCAGGGAGTTGGTGTTGGCGCGTACCAGTTGTACTCGGGCTGGGGGTGGTGGCTTTTCTGTGGGAGAACGCAGTTGGTGAGAAGGGGCGGGAGGCTATGGGAGGAGGGGAGTCGGCTGGGCCGGGCCTACCTGTCTCTAGGTACCAGAGGTCCTTGCAGCAGACCTGGTTGTTCCAGGCCTTGCGGTAGCCGTCACGCCCACTCCAAATGTACAGGCGGGTGTTGATGGCGACTGCGCAGTGGCCAGCCCGAGCACGGGGGATGTTGTCCTCCAGTGTATCCATCAGGATGGTCTCCCAGGCCATGGTATCTGGGGGAGGGCAGACAAGGGAGGTCAGCAAGGAGGATGGAGGAAACCCGCCACCCCTGGTTGCCCTTGGTTCTTTTGTTGTCAAGGATGGGAATTAAAATCAAGAAGTTATTGGATTATTACATTAAAAACAACAAAACAAAGAAACCCTTTGTGGCAAAAAGCAACACAAAAAATAAAATTACAAACCACCAACGGCCAACTAAGAAAACCATGAGAAACACAGTCAGAGGTTTACCTCCTTGCCCGTTAAAGAACACTACAACTCACAGAAAGAGACGGCAATGGGAAAGTGGTTTAGGGAAAACGTGATAGAAAGATCTTAAGAAAAAACACACACTCTCACGCAAAAGAAATCTAAACTTCAACCATCGGCGCCTGGCATTTTTATTTTCAGGCCCGCAGCAGCTGGGGCTCAAGGTGAGCCGGAGGGGGAGCTTCGGCCACCCATCAGGCTTGGCAAAGAGTGGCCTGACCATTCCGTGAGGGCACCACTGGAGGCGCCTACGTGGGCACAGCCTCTGTGCAGGGCAGTTCAGCCGCATCGGACAGCAACCCTACTTCTAGGTTTTCACCCCTAGGATACACTTGCACACGGGTGGAGATGGTGCAAGGATACTCACGGAGCGGCGCCTGTACAAGTTACAGCAGCACAACCGCAACTCGAAGGAGGCTGCTGCGGGGCAGGGACGTGGAGTGATCTCCAAGATACGGCGGATGAGAAAGGCCAGGTGTGGCACTGCGTGCGCCAGGCTGCCACTGTTTGTTTTTAAAGGGACCTATGGCTAATGCTCAGATATGAAGAGCCCCTGCAGGGTGGACAGGAAACCACCCACATGGCTGCCTCTGAGAAGCAGAACCGGAGAACCGGGAGGAGGGAAGGAGGCCCTGCACCGTAGAGGCTTTTGCACTTTTGGATGTTGGGCCATTTGGATGGAGAGCTCATTCAAAAAACTCAGAGGCGGAACATTGCTTCAGAGAGCTCTGCCCACTGGATCCTTCCAGTGGATTCCAAAGGGAGCCGGGGGCCCAGCTTGCTCCCCGCACACCCCACACAGCTCTTAGGCTGAGAAGGGCCAGCCTCCTGCAGCCTCCCACAGGCCACTCGGAGCCCGAGGAGGCCATACCCAGGTTGAGACAAGCCAGCGTGTTGGTACACTTCCACTCCTTCTCGTGTGTGGCCACTTTGACGTCATCCATGACGAGAGGCACCCAGCCACCAAACACGTACATTCTGGGAGTGAGGAGGGAAGAGTGGGAAAGGATTGTAGAGTTGGTGCCAAGCTAGAGGCCACCTCTGCTACCCCAGTTCTAGAGCTCAGTCCTCTGGCTCTCCCCAGGAGAGTCCCCAAGGATGCGTGAAGCCTCCTGACGTGGCCCTCTCCTGCCTGGTGGCTCAGCCCTCAGGAGAACTGTGTCACCTCTACCACATAAAAGTGCCGTTCAGCTCATCTAAAGCTCACCTTCATGTCCACAGTTTCTAGGTTCCCTTTAGGACCTGGACATCCACAAAGACACCCAGGTGCTTGCACAGAGGACCTAGAACACTCTGTACCTGATAGGGCGGAGCCTCACAGGCCCGGGGAGGGTCTCAGACTCAGCTTGTGTGTGGCCCTCTCCCCCCTGAATCTGTCTTTCCTTGGTCCCCCAGGGTCGTAATGGAAAAACAGGGCTGCCAAATGCCAGCCCAGCCAGAAAGAGGCATCCTCAGGCCTTAGGGTCTGACAGGACAAAACTGAGTGAGAGCCCTTCGGGGGAGGGGCCACGCCAGTCTAGAGAAGAGAGACGCAGGTGAGCAGCCACTTACTTATTTCCGATGGTGGTTGCCGAGTGGAGACTGCGAGGAAGAGGCGCCACCCCGCTGAGACTGGGCTTATTCCACGTCAGGGTGTCTGCAGAGAGACGGAGGGGAAAGGGTTACACAAGGTAGACTGCACACAGGTCGTTCCCTGGATTCAAGCTAGCTCAGGAAGGTAGGATCTGTCTCAGTGAGAGAATTCCATCCCTGGCTTCCCTATAGCCTACGGCAGGCCCTCTGACTGTTGTCATGGTAGCTAGATTCCTGTGTTACCCAGGCGGTTTCGACCAGGCTAGCAATAGCGCTCCTTCAGGTACATCCTGAGCACCTGCCCTGAGCCAGGACTGCACTCTGTGCTGGGGGAGGAGTGGTGGGCACACCCCGAACTCTCCATGAAATACGTTCACCGCCATAACCACCTTAGGCTACAGACATTTTGGCAAACTGTTGGAAAATTCTCTCACGGGAAACTGCTTCTTTGGAGTGCCGACTCTGATCTATAGGACAACATCGCCATCTCCTCTCTCCCAGCTGAAGAGGCCTCCGGAGATCCACAGTTAGTAATCTTTCCCAGCCACTCCTGATACCACCACCTGGTGACCGGCCCAAGCAGTCCCCGAAGGCCTCACGGTTTACCGGCATCCAATGGTACCACAGCAGTCAGACCAGGATGCAGCACTCCACACAGTCTGACCACTGACGAGTCAAGAGGGACTAATGCTACCCGGATCCAGAGAATTCCATTCTAGAAAGCCTTAATGACTTATTCTCTTATAAGCCCGCAGACCAATTCAGCCCACTCAGCCAGCACAGGGCAGAGATAACAGCCCCAAACCTAGGGACGATCCAGGGTTCCCCACCCTGGCCCACCATGACAAGAGGAAAGCACGAAGTGGTATGCTCCAGCTCCCTAAGAGCCCCACCTCACCATACAACAGCGCCACCCACGGGGCCAGCCAAGAGGCAGACCCGCTTTGTCCCATGGCTGCTGGGGTGCTACCACCCTGCTCACCAATATCTAGGGTCCACAGGTCCCCCAGCCTGCAGCCACTCATCCCGCCGTAGATCACCAGCTTGGACTTCTTATTGTCTTTTTCGGTGTAGACCACGGCAGTATGTGACTCCCGGGGTGGTGGTAGGACCCCGTAAGTGATGGGAATGTCCCAGGCTACCACTCCAGAGCCTGGCCGTAATTCCAGGATATATAAGTCATTCAGGTACCTGACGAGGAAAGATCAGTTACGGCAAGTCTCGACTCCTCACGCCAGAGGCTTCGCTGGATGGCTATCAGTGAGTGGCAGCCTCCCCAGAACACAAAGGGGCTAGGGCTGTGGGAGCTCTGAAGTTCTTCTACCCTAGCTCTTGAGGAAGGGGCTGCCAGAAGCTCCCTAGGATGAGTCCAACTGGAACAGGGGACACAGGGTGGGTGAGGCTGCACAGCAGCCCCGAGTCCAGACCCAGCAGCAGGCCCCCGCCATGCACACAAAGCTGGGTATTATATGAGGGCTCCGCAGAGCAAGAGGGGGCGCTGGCTTGGGACTACCTCCAGACAGAGAGTCCTTGGCCACGGGCCTTGGAAAATACCCATCAGGAAACTTGTAGGCAGCGGAGGCTGAGAAGGAACGCGAGCAGCTCTAAGCCGACTCCGAGAGCTGGGCCAGCCCAAGGCAAAGTGGCTTCCACCTCCAGCTTGGCCCTCCTCCCACGAGGCCTGCTCAGGGTCAGTAGCGATTTTGGAGCCCGAAAGCTCCTGAGAGGGCATCCGGTGCCGCTCTCTCATTTACAACCCAGCACGAGAAAGGGACCCGGCCACGGGGCTCTGCTGCGCACATTCTTTAGGACACCATGGAGCCCTGTGCATGTGAGAGCACACCCACCCGGGGGGTTCCAGAGAAAAGGACCAAGCCTCACCTTGGAATGTTGTTCTTTGGGTCCTCGCTATCATTGGCCAGACCCCCAAACAGGTAGCATTTGTTGCCCACAAGGGAGAAGCTGTGCCCGAGTCGAGGACACGGAGGGGGCCCGTTTTTGGGCGTCTTTGCTTTGAGTCTCTTCCACTCCCACCGGCTCGCCTGCAAAATCAAGACCTGGAGACTGAACCGTGGGATGAGAAGGCCACCACTAGGGACCCGGGGCAACTTGTGGTGGAGGAGGAAATGGCCGGGGGTGAGCGAGGTGCCTTGCTGGAGCAAGAAGGTCCTGGGTGTTGGTCCTTGCTGCCTTCTTCTGAGGTGGGCCAAGTTCAGAGCAGCCTTGGCAGACTCTCAAGCGTCCCTTCCACCTCCCGCTTGCCTCAACCCTGAAGCCACTACCGTCAGGTCACATGGGGCCAAGGAGGCAGAGTGAGAACCTGGGGCTGCTTTACCTGGAGTTCGTAGAGGTCATTGCTGTATTTCCCATACTCCACCATCCCACCAAACACCAGGAGGCGAGTCCCGTCACACACGAAGCCATAGGCTGCACACCCAGGGGGAATGTCCCCCCTCACGGCTGGGATGAACCACTGGTTGGTTGCTGGGGAACAGAAGGAGGCAGAAGTCAGAACACCCGGGAGCCCCCATTCCTCTCATTCCCCAAATGTGCCAGCCGTCAAGCTTGGTGAGAGGGGCTGAGCCAGCACCATCCCTGCGGGCGCTCTAGCAACTCCAGCTGCGCTACCTGGGCCATCTTCCAAACCCCTCGACTTCAGGCCAGTGCAAAAGAGCCTGTGACCACCCTGCTTCTCGCCAAGGTCATCTTAATGAGCGGGAAGTTACTGTGCAAGATCCCTCATCAGCTACTGGGAATCTAGCCACTGCCTTCCTTCCCTAGCACTCAGTGATCAGACATGAATTTCTCCCCAAAATACCCTCTTGGTGGGCCTGTGCTCCTCCTCCCTGGAGCCCACATTTTTGTCCCTTCATCACAGGGTCAGGACAGCCAGAGCCCAGAGCAGCACTTTCAAGTGGCCAAAACAGTGACCGCTGCAGGCTACGAAGAGCCATGGGGATGAGACCCGGCCTCTGCTCTGACCTCCCGGACTTCCTCTGGTCTCCTAGGTGATGGTCCACCAGCATCCCTCCCTGCCCCTGCTGCCACACCTATGGTACTCCAGAACATTCTTGCAAGCCAGAGGCAGCAGTCTCAGCAGAGCTGTGACAGAAGCTTCTCAAAAGCTCATGAGGGTGAGGCGACCACCAAGAAAGAGGGAAATCAGACCTTAGGCACTGCTTTGCTTCCACAGGATGGCACAGCAGCCTTCAGCTGGGACCAGGCCCCTCCCTCATGTCCTCAAACTTGACTCCCCTCACACCTGGCAGGCCAGGGCTTCCCCGAAAACCTCCTCCTATGAGGGGTCCCTCAGAGGATTCACCACACTCTTTCCAGAAACCCCAAACTGGGGGCCAGGTGCAACCCCGACTCTGTGCCTCTGAGCTGGCCTGGGTGAGATCTCAGCAAGCAGACGGCAGAAGGAACTGAGGCCCCTCCACATGACTCAAGACGCAAGATGGGTCCCCCAGGACGTGACAGGGCATGGGGGGATTCCTGTGGGGTGGGAAGGCTTCCACACAGGGATGCTGTGATATTGTGATATAATACAGACTATTCAGTTTGGTGGCCAAAAGTGTTGTGAGACCATAGAAGAGGAAAAACAGTGTTTTTTTTCCATATTCAGGTGTGCACCCAGGGCCAGGCGGCTGACCATGGTTGGGAATGCATGCCCCACTGCACTCTGGTCCCACCCAGTCTCACACTGTCACCCCCAGGGCTCAATGCGGAACCGTGTGCAAGGCTAGCCCTTATCCAAAGCACAACTCCCAGCCTGGGTAGCACAGGGAGACCCCGTCTCTACAAATAATTTTAAAACACTGGCTCAGTGTGGTGGCATACACTTGTGGTCCTAGCTACTCAGGAGGCTGAGGCGGGAGGACTGCCTGACCCTCAGAGTTTGAGGCTGCAGTGAGCTGAGACCGCACCACTGCATCCCGGCCTGGGCAACAGAGCAAGACCTAACCTCAAAACAAACAAACAAACAAAAAAAACAGAAAACCCCACACAGCACAACTGTACCACCACCGCTCCTCCTGAGGCGAGAGCACCCCCACCCCGCTCTCCAGCACCCACTCTGCGGGTAGGCTTCGAGCAGGCTGACAGCCTCTGCAGCCATTCAGCTGAGTCACTGGGCCTCGGACATGCCGAGCACTAGAGCTCCCCTGCCATTTCCCTAAAGCAGAGGGACAACACCTGTGCCGCCCGCATGTGCAAGCTCGGATCCTGGCCCTCTGCCTCTTTCTCATTCCCAGTGCAAAAACCACCCCAGAAAAGCAAGAGCTGCCAAGGCCAACAGCCTTGCGCACTGGAGAGCCGTCCTGACCAATCCCTGGAGGGAGCTCCATGCAAGCTACCAGGGTAAACGCATAACGAGACCTAAGGCTGCCTGGGCCAACTGCTCTCGGTAGGTAAAGGGGCAGAGCCCAGGAGGGCAAGCGACACCTGAGGTCACAGCGTAAAACAGAGACAGAGACAACAGCCCCATCACTGACTTGAAGCAACCGATCTGTGCCTTCCCTAGGGTCCCATGTCCAGGCAGCCACCCTCACTCCCCTGAGCACCCTCGTGGTCAAAGCCCACAGCTATGGGGCTGCGGGTCAGAGTTTGGGACAAAGCTAAATGGCACGTGGGGTCAGTGGGCAGCTTTCCTATCACACGCTGATCAGTGAGCCGGTGGGCCAGGCCAGAAGCGCCCTGTGATATCTTTGGGGATCCCGCTCACCAGATCCTTCTACAGGACCCAAGAGGTGCTGATCTCATTCTAGAACACTCCAGGCAGGGCAGGGGCCCTCCCCACCCCCGTCAAGAGAGGTCTGTCAGGGAGCACAGCTCCTGGTGTGACGACAAACCTGCGGCTCCTCATCTCACCCACGAGTCCTGGTTCCGCCCCCTGAAAGCACACGAGCAAGCTCTCCTCCCTTCTCCCAGCTTTTCAATGTGACAGCTGCTCTCAGTCACCCCTGAATCATCTGGGGGGTGTCATGTAACCCAATCCTTGGGCCCCTCATCCTGGAAATGCTGGCTCTCAGCTGGGAGGGGAAGGTGGGGAAAGGACCCTGCACTAGATGAAGACCACTCCAGCTCCCCTCTCCTGAGCAAGGCTGTGCCCCGGCCTCTCTGTGTTTCATCAGCTCCCCCAACCACTTCATGCTCTGCAAGCTCCATCCCTGGTTGCCACTGTCCCATCACCACCTAGAGACTGGTGCCCATGCAGTGAGGTGGCCGGTCAAGTTCAACGAGCTGCCTTCCTCTCTGTTCTACCTGTCACATTAGAGCATTTCCTGTGTGGCATACGACGTGCTGGGAGGCACAGAGGACACCGATCTTGTGCTCATACTCCCAATGGGGTAGGAAGGCTGCATGCCCCCCTCCCACGATGAGACAAACACCCTAGAAGAGCTCTGACCAAGCCGGGCCCTTGGGAGCACAGAGCAGTGCGACTGCTGGAGAGGGGAGGACAGGAGTGGAAAGGGCTTCTCAGAAGAGGTGACGTTTCAGCCGGGCCTTGAAGGGTGAACAGGATTTCCCGACAAATGAAACTAGCAGGGCCAATCAGGAAGTGACTGCAAGAGTCTAGTAAGAGGAGAGGAGGGCTTGGTGTGGAAGGGGACACATTTGATGCCTGCCCAACGCAATGAACAATTAGATACAGGGACAGAGGAGAGAATGGAGGCATTTCAAAGGTGATGGGCCCCAAAGACAGGTGGCAGAACGGCCTCTATGAAGGTTTGCACTCCCGCCCAACTCCGCCACCAGCTGGGAGGGCGACCCTGGACCTGTCACTTCCCCTCTTGGACCCCAATTTCCTCATCTGCAGAAACAAGGAAGTAGTTCCACTAGGTATTTTCCAAGGCTCCCTCCAGCTCCAAGAACCTATGGACATTACAGAGCCACCGTAGCCAAAGCTCTCGCTCCCCCACCCCCCACACCTGGCAGCACTCTGAATCCTTTGGCTTGCCACATGGAACTAAAATTCCCTAAGGACAAGCACAGTAGCTACCCTAAGAGCTCTCAAAGCACACACCCCCTGAAGCTTTCTTATCCTAGCAACGGGAACCCCTTCCAGATCAGCTCTCTCCAAAGGTACAAGGCTTTTTGAGGACTGATCCCGCAGAACTGCAAGGGGCACAGGCGTGAGAATATGCCCTGATCTCATCCCAAACACAACAAAAGAAGACAAGACAAAGGTGACGAGGCCGGGCTGGCGGGAGGGGGCAGAAACCCCGGTGAGGAAGAGGGCTTCAGGTCTGCCAGCTGCTCTCTCGTCTGAGGAATTGCCGATGACAGTTTCCAAACTGCTACCCTGGAGGATCCCAGAGCTTCATTTTAAGCAGCCCTTTGGAAGGCAGGCTACCCCTCTAATGCACAACCTGTCTTTGCAGACTGGTAATGAATTCATGCCAAAGTGGTCAATTCATTTTAATAAACTAATGAATATGCAGAGGCCCCAGGAAGCCAAGGCAGCAGTGGTGGTGGACTCTGGAGCCGACTGTAATTAGGCCCCTGCCCTACTTTCTAAAATTGCATTTCCCTGCCAGGGAGCCTGCTCCAGGCCTTATGAGAAGAAAGTCGGTCCACAGAGTGGAGAAGGTGCTGCTCATGGTGACGGTGCCTCTATAAACAGCCCCACCACTGGAGAAGCCTTAGCTTACTGAGCTAATTCCTGCTACTGCAGCTGCCTGGGCTGGCGCGGGGCACCACCAACCACCAAGCGCCCCCGCCCGGGGGCTGCTGAGAAAGGCCCTGCTCCCTGGAGGCAACAGGTGCTGAGAGACCTGGAACGAAAAACGGTCACAGACAACCCACCAGCCTTTCAAAGTCAACGTGGTAGGTGGCGATAATCTCCGAGATGTGGAGAAACCAGCACTTTCTGCCTTGGGGGGTGGGGAAGGAAGCGGCACCCAAGAGCCCAGCTCCAGCCTTCCCAACTCCCTAAACCAACTTTCTCCCTCCAGGCAGCTCCAGCTTCCCACCCCCAGAGCATCGAGGCACTGGAGCTCAGCCAAAGAACAGCAGCCTCTCACCGCTCAGGACACAAAGCCCACTCAGCGAGGGTTTGTCTGCAGGGCCACCACCGAGGCCAGGGGATCGCTAGAGCCCCCAGGAGAGAACGGCCGCGGAGCAAGGGGTTAGTGCTGGGAGCCGTGCCTGCCACTCAGGACTAGGGCATCCCAAGGCCCTCCCCCAGCCGCCTGCAGGGGGCTTTTCCCTCACCCAGACTCTTCCAGCTCTTGCCTGGGACCGAACTCACCCTGACCCTGCCTTCTGGGCAAGGCCAGGGTCCTGTGGGCCAACGGGCAGTCAGTAGGCAACTTGGGAACTGACCCTTGTGCTAGGGGCACAAAACGGGCCAAGTAGCCACCAAGAAAAAGGATGCCACAAAGCTGTCGTGGACAGCAGCAGGCTTTCTGCCCTAGAGACTAAGCAAGGCTACTAGGCAGAGGCAACAACAAACGGCCCCCACGAAGGCCGTGGTGCATCAGCCATACCTGAAGAGAGAGGTTCCTCCCCTTCCCAACTAACGGGCTTTGGGTTTTGCAGGGAGGCAGAAGAGCGGGTGGGGTAACCCCCTGGATCCGCAGAAGCGGGGAGACACACGACTACGCAGGCCGCTGAGGGGTAACTGGAATTCAGCTTGTAAACCAGAAGGCACCAGATTAGGAGAAGGGGCGACTTGGAAAGAAATGCTGCAGAAGTAAACGTGGAAAGGGAGAGGCGGCCCTGCCGCCGGCCCGTCCTAGGGGTCCCCAAGGCTCCGGCATTACCCGGGTCGGCGGATGTTAAACTCTGCGTCCTAAGAGCGCTTCCCTTCCCTCCCTTTTTCGAGAGACAGAGAACGAATCTGTAATCTAGAAATGGTCATTTCTCCAGAATGGGCACTCGAGATGAGGGAGAGCTGAGCAGGCGCAGGAGAAGGGAGGGAGGGAGGGAGGGGAGCTCTGCCTGCGCCAAGGGGACACATCCGCCCGCCCCAGCCCCAGCCCCAGCCCGCTGGGTAACGGTGTGGGTCTGAAGTCACCACCGCTGGCGACAGCCCCTCTCCCTCACCAGTCGGACTAGGGGCTTTCTTTTAACTAACGAAAACCAATCCTCAAACACGGGAGAGACAAGGGAACGGGGAGAAGATCAGAGAAAAGCACTGAAGCCCGGCACAGCAAAGGGGAGGGGCAAGCCGATCAGTGGGGAGGGAGGGGGAGGAGGGGAGAAGGGGGAGGGGGACGGGGAGAGGGGAGAAGGACGGGTAAGGGAGGAGGGGAGAGAGAGAGGGAAGGGTAGAGGGTGAGGGAGGAGATGGAGGGAGGGAGGAGAGGGAGGGAGCAGATGGAGGGAGGGAGGAAAGAGGAGGGAGAGGGAGGAGATGGAGGGAGGGAAAGAGCCGAAGACCCAGCGGGCTTTGCACTCACCCGTGTTGTACACGTGCAGTTCGTCCACTATTCCCTCGTTGCCGCCGCCAAACACCACGATGAGCTCCTTGATGGCCACGGCGCGGTGGCCGTGGCGGGGCCGTGGCACCGGACCCGACCAGCCCACCACTCGCTTCCAGCGGGGCTGCAGAAGCACCGCTGGCAAGTTGGCGGGCGACACGGCCGAAGCCATAGTTCCGGGAAAGGGTGCGGTGGGGAGAAGTCAACAAGCGGGAAGGGAGCCCCTCAATTCCTTTCACACACCCCCTTTCGTCTAAGGCAGCTCTCACGGAGAAGCGGTTTCTCACACAGCGGTAGACGACTCCATGGAGGCCGCCATCTTAACTGCCCTCCTTCCCTTTGGCTCTTCCCTTTCTTCTCGCTCACCCCGTCTCCGCAAGAGCCGCCCGAAACTGTCGAGCGCCTAGGCTCAAGAAGCTGGAGGCCGCTGAGTCCCGTCGCCCCGACTACTTGTCCGGGCGCTCCCGCTTACAAGCTCGGGCGGGAGGCCCTGGGAGCCGCCATCTTGAGCCGCCTCTCTCTCCTCCCTTCCTCAGTCGTAGCCCTCCCCCGCCGGAAATGGCGGAGCCCCGGCCCGGTTCCCACACCCCCAAGTCCCCAGCACTGGCCGGCTTCCGGGGCGGGTGGAAAGGAGCCACAAGCGCCGCGGTCGTCGCAGCCCCGCCGGCGCTCAGACCACAATTGTGGGAGCCGCCATCTTGAGACCGTCCCGCTTCCCCGCCCAGCGCCTTAGTGCAGCCGCCGCTCCCGAAACAGCCTCGACACACCTAACGAATGGAGGCGGGCCGGAGGCCGGTGGAACCAGCTCGAGCTCTCGAGGGCCGTTTGGGGGCTCGCGCCGTACGGCTTGTGAAGTCTCGCGCCTCTCCCCTTAGTCCGCCTCTGCTGCTCAGGCTGCGCCTGCCGCCGTGGGAGCCGCCATCTTGAGACTAGCTCCCCGTTCCCCCCTATTCTCTTCCTCCTAGGTCAGTTCTTCCACTGCACACCAAACTCAAGGCGGTGTCCGATCCTCACTTCCCGCCTTATGACTCCTTCCCACAGGAGCCGCTTCAAAGAGCTAGAGTTAGGCCCCGAAGCGGCAACTGTACGGCAGAAGAAGCGGTAACGGCAGGGCGCTCATGCCTCCTCCCTGGGAGCCGCCATCTTGTGTGAAGAAGTAACAACTAAACATGGCGGCAGCGGCGCCGGCGGTCGGGCGAGGAGGCGGAGCCGGGTGACGTCACCGCTTCCCCCCACTCGCCCTCGCACCGCTTCGCCCCTGGGCCCAAGCCTCTTAAAGGACCCCTGCGCTGCCTCGCGGCGGGGGTGGGGGTCGGCGCTGCCGCGCGCTGGGCTAAAGCTCGAGTCGCGCTCAGATCAGGTGCAGGCGCAGGCGCGCCCCGCCCCACGGCCCCCCCACCGGGCGAGCCTCCACGCCTCCGCCCTGGGAGCCGCCATCTTGCCACTTCCCCTCGCCCGGCCGTCCGCGGGCGTCAATAGCGACTTTCAGCACAAAACAAAGATGGCGGCGGCGGCATCTCGGAAATGCCCGGATGAGACTGCTAACCCCTCCGACGCGCTCGGCCCCGCCCCCTTGGGAACGGTCTCTCGGGTTGATAAGGGACGCACGCCCGAAGAACTGCCTTTAACCAGCACTGGGGACAGCGGCACGCAGGTGGCCGGGGTTGGCGAACAGCCACTGCAGCCGCGCCTGCGGCCGGGAAGCGAGCATTTTCGCGCCCTGCACACCCAGCAGCCGCAGGAGGCGGCCCGAGGCGCGCCGCGGGGGAGCCGGGGGCGGGGCGACAGTGGGAGGCGACGCAGCCGAGCGCCGGCGCCCGGGGGTGGAGCCTCCGCCCGCTCCCAGGCTCCCAGGCTGCGGGGCCCGCCCTCGGGCGCCACCGCCTCCGCCCGCGCCGCAGCAAAATGAGCCGGGCCGCGCGCCCCAGACCGCCGCGCGCTCGGCCGCCCCCACTGCCGAGAGGCCCGCAGTCGGGCCGGTGGCGCACGAGCCGGGCGGGCGACCGCGGGAGGCGTCCGCGTCATCTCGCGTCACCTCGCCCCGCCCGCTTCCCAGGCTTCGAGTCCCGCCCTGCGCGCAGGCGCACCGGCGCTGCTCGGATCCTCCCTTTTCGGAGATTTGAATTTCCCCCAGCGAGGCGAGTGAGGCGAAATACCCGTATGGTGATAGCTGGCCTTTTCGCGCCAATACTGTAAGTGCTCACCGCAGCCCTGGGAGGTGGGTCCCGGCCTCGCCCCCACGTTTCGCCTCCTCTAGGAGGCCGCCCGGGCGCGGCGGCGGCGGCGGCGGCGGCGGCATCCGCCCTGCCACGCGCAGGCCGCAGCGCGGGGACCCAAGCTGCTGCCCGGGAGCGGCAGTCGCCAGTAGAAATGGACAGACCGGTCCTGTCAGAGCCTGTGGCTTTTGTTGTAAACGTCTAGAAGTTCAGTTAAATTACAAGATCTACCAGATCTACCGGCGGGCAGAATTATTACTTTGAAGTTACTGAAGTTATGCGTCCTGCTGGAAGACCTTGTAATTTAATGCGTTAGTAAAGAAGCACACGTCACCCTCTCACACATTTTCAACAATATTTTTAAAGTCGCCTCTCAACATATTACATGTATTTTGTAATCGTCTGTGTTTTAGTTCATGCAGTTGGAAGTATCCATTTGAGAAGGGACAAAGAGAAGAATTCTTGCCTGTCTGTGCCACCACCTGCTCTTTGTGACCTTGGCTAGTTACCTCACATATGTCCCCAAGTCCCCCACCCATGGTAAATAAGAAAACTAAGGCCTGATGCGTTGGCTCATGCCTGTAATCCCAACACTTTGGAAGGCTGAGGTGGGAGGATTGCTTGAGCCTAGCCGGGGCAACATAGCGAGACCCGGAGGCATGGTGGCACACGCCTGTGGTCCCAGGTACTTGGAACGCTGAGGTGGGAGGATGGCTTGAGCCAGGGAGTTCAGGGCTGCAGTGAGCTGAGATCGCGCCACTGCTCCAGCCTGGGCGACAGAGCAAGACCCTGTCTCAAAAACACACACACACACACACACACACACAAAAGCAGCTGCTGGTTTCCAAGGGCCTTGCCTGGAATCAGTCCAGAAGCTAAATTAATGTTAATTGATATTCCTTTATCCACAGAAAGACAGCAAGAAAGGTCATGCGGAGCGGGGGACATAACTAACCATAAATGCTAAAGGCCTGGAGGTGACAGTGCCTGCTGTTTAAACGCGTGCGGGAGAGTCTGGGGCCTTTAGCCAGGAGATTGTCAGGCTTCCCAGGGCTTCCCTGAAAGACCCCAGACCCAGGGGCCAGTGCTGTTGAGGTGTTGGCTTTCCCATGCCAGGCGCTGGGGGAAGCTGTGACGAGATTTGAGTGTCACATAATAAGGATCATGGCAATTCAAAGGTACAGGGAAGCTAGGCTATAAGGTAACCAGCTCGGTTTTCCTGGGGGTCTTGGACAGGTGCTTTGATTACATGGTCACTGTCAGCCCGTACCCCCGGTCAGATAGACTGAACCCCTGCAGCCGGAAAGAGGAGTTGCTTTCCATGCCCTTCCTGGAGTTCTTCCTCGATCAAGTTGACAGTGTTTGACTCTTGTTCCAGCTCTCCGCCCTGCTTGCTGGCAGGCAGGAGGGTCAGACTAGCATGGGTGCCATGGGGCCCTAGGTGGGTGCAGGGAAGGACCTGTAGACGCCATGCGGGGCCTCAGCTGGTGTCTCAGCTGGAGTCAGGAGCTGAACGGGGAAGTGCCTGAGAGGAAATGACAGCTGAGTCAAGGGCAATGGCCAGGCGAAGTGGGCAAAGGGCTTCCAGGACAGAGCTGGGCCTGAGGAGCTCACAGGGCTGGATGGGGATGGCACTTTAAGTCTGGCCAAGACTTTGGGACATGATCCAGGACATGGAATGGGAAGCTGGTCATGGAAGGGTGGAAAGCCAGGGCAGACATGATCCCATCCAGGGCTGCTCAAAGATGCTGGGGCTGCGGTGTGCACACCCCTGGACCCAGAGGCTTTTTTGACTGGGAGGACGGGGCAGGAGGAGTTCGGGTGCCCCATGCTGAGATGGCAGGCTTGTGTGAAGCAAGGACGTATGGAGTGATAGTGAGGACTGTGGTTCCTGTGTGGCAACACCATGCTTCAGAGGGCAATGGGGCACCCACATGCCAAGCCTGGTGGCCCTCCTCAGCAACGGAACTCCAAGGCAAGAAGGCTGAGAATGAGGCCCAGGAGGATGCGGTGGGCCCCAGGACCTGCTTGAGAAGTGAAATAGCAAACAGGACTGGTAAAAGGGAGCAGAGGTGCTGGCTTTGTTCTTTAATATAATTGAATTGAAATTGAGCAGGGCTTCACTGGGCATCTGAGGAAGAGCAAGGAATCAGACCCTGTCCCACCCATTTGGGGCCTAAATTGCAGTAGGGCAGATGGACATTGCACCTCAAAAATAAACAGTGCTTGTCACATGAATCATTTGCAAATATTTTCTCCTATATTGTCTCTTCATTGTTGATTGCTTCTGTGCTGTGCAAAAGCTTTTTACTTTAATATACTCCCATTTGTCTGTTTTTGTTTTTGTTGCCTGTGATTTTGGGGTCTTAGCCATAAAATCTTTCCTGGAGCATTTCCCCATTTTCTTCTAGTAGTTTTATTTTATTTATTTTATTATTTGTATTTATTTATTTATTTATTTTTTGAGACACAGTCTCACTCTGAAACCCAGGCTGGAGTGCAGTGGCACAATCTTGGCTCACTGCAACCTTAGCCTCCTGGGATCAAGCGATTCTCCTGCCACACCCTCACAAGTAGCTGGGATTACAGGCGCATGCCACCACCCTGGCTAATTTTTATACTTTTAGTAGAGATGGGGTTTCACCATGTTGGACAGGCTGGGCTGGAACTCCTGACCTCAGGTGATCTGCCCGCCTCAGCCTCCCAGTGTGCTGGGATTACAGGTGTGAGCCACCACACCCAGCCTTTTTTTTTTTTTTTTTTTTTTTTTTTTTTTAAAGACAGAGTCTTGCTCTGTCGCCCCAGGCTGGAGTGCAGTGGTGTGATCTTGGCTCACTGCAACCTCCTCCTCTTGGGTTCAAGCATTTCTCCTGCCCCAGCCCCCTGAGTAACTGGGATTACAGATGTGCGCCACCACGCCCGGCTACTTTTTGTATTTTTAGTAGAGACGGGGTTGCACTGTGTTGGCCAGGCTGGTCTAGAACTCCTGACCTTAAGTGATCTGCCCGCCTCAACCTCCCAGTGTGCTGGGATTACAGGTGTGAGCCACCGCGCTGGCCTCTTCTAGTAGCTTTATAGTTTCAGGTCTTACTTTTAAGTCTTTAATCCATGTTGAGTTGATTACTGTGTGTGGTGAGAGATAGGGGCCTAGTTTTCATTCTTCTTCACATACTTATCCAATTTTCCCAGTGCCATTTATTGAAGAGACCATCCTTTCCCCAATGTAGGTTCTTCGTGCCTTTGTACTACTTATAATAGCTAAGATATGGAAGCAATCTAAGTGTCCACCAGTGGATTGATATGTAAAGAAAATGTGGTATAGATACATGATGGAATATTATTGAGCCATTTAAAAATAAACTGTTGGCGGGCGCGGTGTTTCAAGCCTGTAATCCCAGTACTTTGGGAGGCCAAGACGGCCAGATCACCTGAGATCAGGAGTTCGAGACCAGCCTGGCCAACATGGCGAAACCCCATCTCTACCAAAAATACAAGAATTAGCCAGGTGTGGTGGCAGGCGCCTATAATCCCAGCTACTTGGGAGGCTGAGGCAGGAGAATTGCTTGAACCTGGGAGACGCAGGCTGTGGTGAGCCGAGATTGTGCCACTGCACTCCAGCCTGGGTGACAGAGCGAGACCCTGTCTCAAAAAAAACCAAAACCAACTATAAAAAATAAAAAAAATAAAAAACTATTGGCTGGGTGCAGTAACTCACGCCTGTAATCCCAGCACTTTGGGAGGCCAAGGTGAGAGGGTCGCTTGAGCCTAGGAGTTTGAGACCAGTCTGGGCAACATAGCAAGACCCTGTCTTTCAAAAAAAATTTAAAAATTTGCCAGGCATGGTAACATGCCTGTGGTCCCATTTACCTGGGAGGCTGAAGTGAGAGGACCACTTGAGCCTGGGAGGTGGAGGCTGCAGTGAGCTGCAATCACACCACTGCACTCAGCCTGGGAGACAGAACGAGACCCTGTCTCAAAGAAATAAACAAACTAATAAGATAAATCTTGTTATTTGTGGCAACATGGATGAGCCTAGAGGACGTTATGTTAAGTGAAATAAGCCAGGAACAGAAAGATAAATATTGTATGTGTTAATTCTTATGTAAAATATTTAAAAAATCAAGCTCATGGAAATAGAAGCATAGTGGGTATTAGAAGCTGGAAAGATTAGAGAGTAGGGAAAGATTCGGAGGAGTCGGATAACAAATACAAAATGCCAGCTTCATAGCATGAATGGATCCTGCTGTTCTGCACTGTAGGGTGAGCACTGTTAACTACAATTTCTTGTGTATTTTCAAAAGACTATAAGAAAGGATTTGGAATGTTCCCAACACAAAGAAATGATAAATGTTCCAGGTGATGGATATGCTAATTACCTTGTTTGATCATTATACATTATATACATGTATCAAAATGTCACTCTATATGCTATTAAAAATAATAAAATAGGCTGGGCACAGTGGTTCACGCCTGTAATCCCGGCACTTTGGGAGGCTGAGGGGGACAGATCAGTTGAGGTCAGGAGTTCAATACCACCCCAGCCGATATGGCAAAATCCCATCTCTACTAAAATACAAAAATTAGCCGGGCGTGATGGCCCGCCTGTACTTCCAGCTACTCGGGAGGCTGAGGCAGGAGAATCGCTTGAACCCGGGAGGCGGAGGTTGCAGTGAGCCGAGATCCTGCCACTGTACCCCAGCCTGCCCCACAGAGCGAGACTCTGTCCCAAAAAATAAATAAAATAGGCCAGGTGTGGTGGCTCACGCCTGTCATCCCAGCACTTTGGGAGGCCGAGGCGGGCGGATCACTTGAGGTCAGGAGTTGGAGACCAGCCTGGCCAACATGGTGAAACCCTGTCTCTACTAAAAAAAATACAAAAAATTAGCTGTGCATGGTGGCGGGCGCCTGTAATCCCAGCTACTCAGGAGGCTGAGGCAGGAGAATCTCTTGAAAACGGGAGGCAGAGGTTGCAGTGAGGCAAGATCACACCACTCCAGCCTGGACAACAGTGCAGACAGTGCAAGATTCCGTCTCAATAAAAAAATAAAATAGGCCAGGCACGGTGGCTCATGCCTGTAATCCCAGCACTTTGGGAGGCCGAAGCAGGTAGATCACGAGGTCAGGAGTTGAAGACCAGCCTGACCAAGATGGTGAAACCCCGTCTCTACTAAAAATACAAAAATTAGCCGGGCTAATTTTAGTTGTAATCCCAGCTACTCAGGAGGCTGAGGCAGGAGAATCACTCAAACCCCGGAGGGAGAGGTTGTACTGAGCCGAGACCACGCCACTGCACTCCAGCCTGGGCGACAGAGCAAGAGTCTGTCTCAAAAAAACAAAATAAAATGAAGTAATAATAAAATAGTGCTAAGTGGTCTGCATATACAGATACTTTTTTTTTTTTTGAGACGGAGTCTCATTCTGTCGCCCAGGCTGGAGTGCAGTGGCACGATCTTGGCTCACTGCAACCTCCGCCTCCCAGGTTTGAGCGATTCTCCTGCCTCAGCCTCCCAAGTAGCTGGAACTACAGGCATGAGCCATCACGCCTGGCTAATTTTTGTATTTTAGTAGAGATGGGGTTTCACCATATTGGCCAGGGTGGTCTTGAACTCTTGACCTCAACTGATCCACCCACCTCAGCCACCCAGAGTGCTGGGATTACAGACGTGAGCCACCACGCCTGGCCACTTTTTTTTTTTTTTTTTTTTTTTTTGGGGGGGAGAGGGAGTTTCGCTCTTGTTGCCCAGGCTGGAGTGCAGTGGCGTGATCTCGGCTCACTGCAACCTCCGCCTCCCGGGCTCAAGCGATTCTCCTGCCTCAGCCTCCCGAGTAGCTGGGATTATAGGCATGTGCCACCACACCTGGCTAATTTTTTGTTTTGTTTTGTTTTGTTTTGTTTTGTTTTGTTTTGTTTTGTTTTTCTGAGATGAAGTCTCACTCTGCCGCCCAGGCTGGAGTGCAATGGCACGATCTTGGCTCACTGCAACCTCTGCCTCCTGGGTTCAAGCAATTCTCCCGTCTCAGCCTCCCAAGTAGCTGGGATTACAGGCGTGCGCCACCACGCCTGGTTAATTTTTTTGTATTTTTGTAGAGACAGGGTTTCACCATGTTGGCCAGACTGGTCTGGAACTCCTGACCTCAAGTGATCCACCCGCCTCTGCCTCCCAAAGTGTTGGGATTATAGGCGTGAGCCACCGTGCCCGGCCTAATTTTTTTGTATTTTTGGTAGAGACGGGGTTTCACCACATTGGCTAGGCTGGTCTCAAACTCCTGACCTCAGATGATCCACCTGCCTCGGCCTCCCAAAGTGCTAGGATTATAGGTGTGAGCCACTGCGCCTAGCTTTTTTTTTTTTAGAGATAGGGTCTTGCTCTGTGGCCCATAGCTCACTGCAGCCTCCATCTCCTGGGCTCAAGTGATCTTCCTGCCTCAGCCTCCTGAGGAGCTGGGACTATAGGTGCACCACCATGCCTGGCTAATTTTTATTTTATTTTTTAAATTTAATTTTATGTATTTTGTGTAGAGACAGGGTCTCACTTTGTTGCCCAGGCTGGTCTCAAACTCCTGGACTCAAGCAGTCCTCTCACCTTGGCCTTCCAAATTGCTGGGATTACAGATGTGAGCCACCATGCCCAGCTACATATGCTTTTTGATGTATAACAGGGTAATGTCCAGATAAACCCATCATAAGTCGAAAATATAGGAACTGGACTTTCAACTTAAGAGGGGTTTAGCTGGGTGCAGTGGCTCACTCCTGTAATCTCAGGACTTTGGGAGGCCAAGGCAGGAGGATCACTTGAGGCCAAGAGTTCGAGACCAGGCTGGGCAACATGGTGAGACCCTGTCTCTACAATTTTTTTTTTTTTTTTTTTTTAGATGGAGTCGCGCTCTGTCGCCCAGGTTGGAGTGCAGTGGCGCGATCTCAGCTCACTGCAAGCTCCGCCTCCAGGGTTCACGCCATTCTCCTGCCTCAGCCTCCCGAGTAGCTGGGACAACAGGCGCCCACCACCACGCCTGGCTATTTTTTGTATTGTTTTAGTAGAGACGGGGTTTCACCGTGTTAGCCAGGATGCTCTCGATCTCCTGACCTCGTGATCCACCCGCCTTGGCCTCCCAAAGTGCTGGGATTACAGGCATGAGCCACCATGCCTGGCCCAAAATTTTTTTAACAAAAATTAGCAGGGCAGGCCGGGCGCTGTGGTAGGGAGGCTGAGGTAGGAGAATGGCGTGAACCCGGGAGATGGAGCTTGCAGTGAGCCAAGATCGCACCACTGCACTCCAGCCTGGGCAACAGAGCAAGACTCCGTCTCAAAAAAAAAAAAAAAAATTAGCAGGGCAAGGTGGTGGTATATCCCTGGTCCCAACTACTTGGGAGGCTGAGGCAGGAGGATAGCTTGGGCCCAGGAGGTGGAGGCTGCAGTGAGCTGTGATTGTGCCACTGCACCCCAGCCTGGGCAACAGAGCAAGACCCCCGTGTCTAAATAAAAATACCCAGGCCATGGCAGCAGAAAGCAAGGAAGAAGCCACGTGGAAGCCCTCCTGGCGCTTCTTCCAGGGAGGTGAGCAGAGAGCACCTGGGGCCAGGAGGCGGCATGCCTGGGTTTCTGCTCCTCCTCACTGTAACTTTCAGCCAAGTCAAACTGCTAGAGTTTCAGTTTCTTTATCTGTGAAATGCCGGGGCTGGCACAGATGGTTTCTAAGATCCCTCCCAGGCCTGGAACTTCTAAGCGATTAGGTCAAAGGTGAGCTAACCGGGCTGGGCACAGTGGCTCATACCTGTGAATCCCAGCACTTTGGGAGGCTGAGGCGGGTGGATCACTTGAGGTCAGGAGTTCAAGACCAGCCTGGCCAACGTGGTGAAACCCCAACTCTACTAAAAATAGAAAAGTTAGCCGGGCATGGTGGTACACGCCTCTAATCACCGCTACTAGGGAGGCTGAGGCAGGAGAATCACCTGAACCTGGGAGGCGGAGGTTGCAGTGAGCCAAGATTGTGCCACTGCACTCTAGCCTGGGCAACAGAGTGAGACTCCGTCTCAAAAAAAAAAAAAAAGGTGCACAAACCGAGGCCCAAGACAGTTAAGGTGCAAGATCACATGGTTAGTAAGTGGGAGAGCCAAGGTTTGAACAGTCTGGCATCAGCTGACCAGGAACTGGAGCCCACCCTTCTCTCTCCCTGAGCCCGCCTACCCGCCCACCCTCTTGAGTGCGAAATTTATTAATATGGAAGGGAGAAGAGCTTTAATGATTGGAGTCATTTTCAGAGCATTAAAGCTCTTCTCCCTTCCATATTAATGTATTTCTCAGCTACTAGGGCTCACTTACAGCACCAGTGGCCCCAAAGCAGTTGACAGTCAGTGGTAATTAAATTGTCTCTCTGGTTCTGTGACTGAAGGAGACAGAAGGCTTTATGGTGGCCTGAGGAAAGAAGGTGATTTGGGGCTTGGCACTTCAGGAGAGGGCAGGCGAGTGAGCCAGGGAAGCTGGCCTGGGAAGCCTGCGGGTCACCCCCTTGCCTCCCGGCCTGGTGCTTGAGTGGCAGACGGTGAATCCTCCTCCTCCTCCATCCCCCACCTTGTGTCAGAGGCCAGAGCTCGGACTCCATCTAATGGTCTCTAGTTCAGCTGGGTATTTGGTGAAAAGGGCTTTGGGGCTGGAGACGTCCACTTTTATAACACACTGACATGGGAAGGCGCATTCTGAGTTGTAATGACAGAGCTAGACAGGTCTTGTCTGTAGATGCAGTGGCTTTAAGGAAACTAGGACGATGGGCAGGATTTTCCTAGGTGCCAGGAGAAAGGGGTGATAGAGGATTCTAGAGGCTTGAGAGAGTCAGTGTGCAGCGGTTTCACTCTGATTTGCTTCTCCAGTGAAGATGGTTGGTAGCTCCTGAGGCCGGGGGTCAGGAACATGGAGGCGGTGCTGGGGACGGTTTGTTTTCTAACCACACTCCTTTTGTAACCACAAAGGAAAAAGGCAGAACGTTCCTCCGCTGGCGCCAGCCAATCAGCAGGACTCCTGCCTTCCTTCGGGGCAAGGTCGCAGCATCTGCCTCGGAAATCACGAAATCACGGGGCTTCTTTCTGCTGGCTCAGCCGGGAGGCCCAGAGTGTTCTGCAGAGGCTGCGTATTGAAGGCTGCTCTCTGAAGCTCCCTGCCCCAGGTCACGCCGCCGGTTCCAGATGAATCCAGAGTGGGGGCAGGCCTTCGTGCACGTGGCCGTGGCCGGTGGCCTCTGTGCCGTGGCTGTGTTCACGGGCATTTTCGACAGTGTTTCCGTGCAAGTGGGCTATGAGCACTACGCCGAGGCGCCCGTGGCCGGCCTCCCTGCCTTCCTGGCCATGCCGTTCAACTCACTCGTGAACATGGCCTACACGCTGCTGGGGCTGTCGTGGCTGCACAGGGGCGGCGCGATGGGGCTGGGTCCCCGCTACCTGAAGGACGTGTTCGCAGCCATGGCCCTGCTCTATGGCCCCGTGCAGTGGCTGCGCCTGTGGACGCAGTGGCGCCGTGCCGCGGTGCTGGACCAGTGGCTCACACTGCCCATCTTTGCATGGCCCGTGGCCTGGTGCCTCTACCTAGACCGCGGCTGGCGGCCCTGGCTGTTCCTCTCTCTTGAGTGCGTCTCCCTGGCCAGTTATGGCCTCGCTCTGCTGCATCCCCAGGGCTTCGAGGTCGCACTGGGTGCTCACGTGGTGGCCGCTGTGGGGCAGGCGCTGCGCACCCACAGGCACTATGGCAGCACCACCTCGGCTACCTACTTAGCTTTGGGGGTGCTCTCTTGCCTGGGCTTTGTGGTCCTCAAGCTGTGTGACCATCAGCTCGCACGGTGGCGTCTCTTCCAGTGCCTCACAGGCCACTTCTGGTCCAAGGTCTGTGACGTGCTCCAGTTCCACTTTGCGTTTTTGTTTCTGACGCATTTCAACACTCACCCAAGATTCCATCCCTCTGGCGGGAAGACGCGTTGAACCCAGGGAAGAACCTGCTGAAAACCGATGACCCCCAGCATTGAAATGGACTCTGAGATGGCAGCGTGGTGCCAGTGTCAGACATCCTGTGTGTGATGATATGCACTGATCACACAAGACTGCCCTTTCCTGAGAAGCTGCGGGCTTCGGTGTGGAGGGGTGGAGTGCTGTGATCTCGACAACTTACTTTCAAAGACATAAAGCACAGATCTCCGCACAGGGGATGTGTGTGTTCCTGATGTAATTTGCATAACTTTTCTGTAGTTTGAAATGTTTCCAAATAAATATTGGCAAGGGGAGTGGAAATGACACCAAGAAGCCCCTCATGCTCATGGTTGGACAGAGAGCGATCGTCTGGAGTATCTTTGGGGTGTCAGCTCTGGGTGTGGACTGGCAGCAGTGAGGCAGGCCAGTCAGTGGGGTACCAGTGAGTGTCCTTAGAGGCGGCTGGATTCAGGGAGACTGAGTCACACTAAATACGTGCCCAGCAGACTGATGGGGAAATCACTCAATTATCCCCATGACATCTGTGACTGTTAACTGTAGGCAGGTCACGTGAGAGCCACATCACCTCAGATCGTCTGTGGAACCAGGCAGTGTGCATCCAGATGAGGAAACACACAAATGTCAAAAGTTGAACTCTCAACAGAAAGTTGCTTTGTGGGTCTCCCCTCAGAGCCAGGGTGTGGCTTAGATGCCCTTAGTGGCTACAGTCTGAGCAGTCCCCACCTGCCCGTCACCCAGGTCCTTGCGAACCAGTCTGCTGACAGTATCGTCAGGCACTGTGCTGGAGGCGGCACGTGCTTCTCATGCAGGCAACAGTTTTTGAGCCCTCGAGCCCAAGGCCCAGACTCTCTAGTTTGTGGTCAGGATGCTGGGTCATTCTTAGCCGCAGCCAGAGAGGCACTGAGGACTCCGTGCCACCCTCTCTACTCCCGGGACAGTCCTTCCTGCCGGTCACTATGTTACTTAGAGGCCTGCCTCACCTCCTTTCATCTGAAGGCATCTGGTCTGTAAAGGGGACTTCCTTTTTTCGAGACAGAGTCTTGCTCTGTTGCCCAGGCTGGAGTGCAATGGTGTGATCTTGGCTCACTGCAACCTCTGCCTCCCGGGTTCAAGCGATTCTCCTGCCTCAGCTGCCTGAGTAGCTGGGATTACAGGCACCCACCACCACGCCCGGCTAATTTTTGTATTTTTAGTAGAGACGGGGTTTCATCATGTTGGCCAGGCTAGTCTCTAACTCCTGACCTCAGGTGATCCGCCCGCTTCGGCCTCCCAGTGCTGGGATTACAGGCATGAGCTCCCGCGCCCGGCCTGTAAAGGGGACTCCTGAAGACAGGTAATGTCATTTAACTCAGGGGCTCTTCATCCCAGACTCCATAGTCTTGTCCCTGGAGCCTTAAGTACTAAGGAGGGTCTGCTTTAAGCCCACAAATTAAATGGAGAAGTGACCAGCTCCAAAGGTGAGGGCAGAGGAGAGAGGATGCCCTGTCCCTGCCAAATGGCATCTCAGCATGGGCCACCCATGTGCACCTGCTCAGTGCCCTCGAGGTTGGCATTCGGCCCACGACTGTGATGACTGAGATGTTTCTGGAACTGGGCACCTGGGCTGGATGTTCTGTCCTGGCTGGCTGAGCACATTGCCACCAGGTAAGGACCTGGGGCAAATGGCAGGACCCGACCCAGGGCTTGGGGCCTGGGGGTGGGGCACGTGGTTGGCAGGGGAGAGCAAGGACAGCACCTGCTTGGGAAACAGCCTGGTTCCATTTGAGGTCGTCTCGAAAGCACCATGTGCCCTAGAAGAGGGAAGAGGCTGCACACATCACCAGAGAGGCCACCCTTACTTCACAGAGGCTGGAGGGAGGGCGAAAAGAAGGCGGGCTTCCATGCGGGCTCAGAGACAGGGTGGGGGCAGGCTCTTCATCCAGCAGTGGGGGATCCCCTTTTGTGATTTCTCTGTGAGTAGCTGTTTCCCTCATTGACAGAGGACTGCTGGGACTTCATGCCACACCTCGCAGCAACAAGCACTCATCACGATTTTACTTTTTCTTCCTACCAATACCTGTGTAATAAACAGCCCTGCGAGCCTCCTGGGTCAGGCGGGGTCCCACGGGAAACAGGTGGTGTGCCTAGATTGGGGTGATTCAGGGCGGTTTTGTGGGACACCTGGAAGAGTGGACCCCACCCAAAGGAGAGGCTTATGTGGAGGGGACACCTCCAGAGGGGCAGGGACTGCAGGAAGCCTGGCTCCGCTCCCTCCCTCTCCTGCCAGAGTTGCCAGATTATACGCCAGGCGATGAACAATGGTTTTGCACAAGCGTGTCTCAAATGTTGCATGAGACATTTCTCCTACTAAAAAAGTATTGTTTACCTGAAATTCAGATTTCACTGGGTGTTCTGATTGTTATTTGCTAAATCCAACAACCACGTCCTGAGCCAACACAAGCAGAGCCAGAAGCCCCGGAACCTGCGCAAGGCAGAGCAGGTGGCAAAGAAGGCTCCAGGCAGGCCCCGGCCTGGAACCTGCACTCCCCAGGCCCTTTTTGAAATTAGTGTTTCTCCAAGTATGGCCAGTTGCCATTAGTCACACAGCTTCCTGCATCCCTTCCTGCCCAGGCGAACCCCCCTTCTGGGGCCGGGACCTCAGAGTGCCTCAGCCCTGGCCCGGGGTTTGCGGATTCCACCAACCCCTGAGCCACTGGAGGAAGGAGGCTGGCGGCTGTGCCTCCCTCCAGCTCTGCAGTCCACGGAGGAGCTCGGCCTCGCCCAGGGGGATTGGCTGTCAGGGCCGCCGTTGCCGTTACTGGTCTTGGTCTCAGTCTCGCTGCTCCACTGCGTCCCCAGCACAGCTGGGGAGCCAATGGTTGCCAGATGGGGCCTCTCCCCGACCTTTGACCTAACGGTTTAGAGGTTCCAGGCCTGGGAGGGATCTTAGAAACCATCTGTGCCAGCCCCGGCATTTCACAGATAAAGAAACTGAAACTCTAGCAGTTTGACTTGGCTGAAAGTTACAGTGAGGAGGAGCAGAAACCCAGGCATGCCGCCTCCTGGCCCCAGGTGCTCTCTGCTCACCTCCCTGGAAGAAGCGCCAGGAGGGCTTCCACGTGGCTTCTTCCTTGCTTTCTGCTGCCATGGCCTGGGTATTTTCTCCCCACATAAAATAGTTTTAGGGCCTGGCGCTCTGGCTCACGCCTGTAATCCCAGCACTTTGGGAGGCCAAGGCGGGTGGATTATCTGAGGTCAGGAGTCCGAGAGCAGCCTGGCCAATATAGTGAAACCCTGTCTCTACTAAAAATACAAAAAATTAACCAGGCATGGTGGTGGGTGCCTATAATCCCAGCTACTCGGGAGGCTGAGGCAGGAGAATCGCTTGAACCTGGGAGGCAGAGGTTGCAGTGAGCCGAGATCACGCCACTGCACTCCAGCCTGGGCAACAAGAGCGAAACTCTGTCTCAAAAACAAACAAACACACACACACACAAAAATAGTTTTAAGCCCGGTGCAGTGGCTCACGCCTGTAATCCCAGCACTTTGGGAGGCTGAGGCGGGTGGATCACCTGAAGTCATGAGTTCAAGACCAGCCTGGCGAACATGACAAAACCCCATCTCTACTAAAAATACAAAAATTAGCTGGGCATGGTGGTGGGAGCCTGTAATCCCAGCTACTTGGGAGGCTGAGGCAGGAGAATCGCTTAAATCCGGGAGGTGGAGGTTGCAGTGAGCTGAGATCGTGCCATTGCACCCCAGCCTGGGCAACAGAGTGAGACTCCATCTCAAAAACAACAACAAAAATAGTTTTAGGCCAGGCGCAGTGGCTGATGCCTGCAATCCCAGCACTTTGGGAGGCTGAGAAGGAAGAATTGCTTGACCTCAGGAGTTTAAGACCACCCTGGACAACGTAGGGAGACCCCATCTCTACCAAAAATAAAAAAAATTAGCTGGGCTTGATGGTGTGTATTTGTAGTCTCAGCTACTCAGGAGGCTGAGGTGGGGAGGATCACTTGAACCCAGGAGATCCAGGCTGCAGTGACACAGTTGTAATAAGATGGCATCACTGCACTCCAGCCTGGGTGACAGAGCAAGACCCCATCTCAAAAAAACAAAAAAATTACAGCATAGGGCACACACTATCATGCATTCGCTTTTCTGGGCCCCATTTTGGCTTGGTGACGTGCCAAGGTCTGCTAGAAACTGCACACACTGGCCCGGAGCAGGCCCTTCTCCAGTTAGGTCTCAGGAGTGGGATTGTAGGGCTGAAGGGAACTTCAGTTTCAAATCCCTGGAGTGCTTTTCCCAGTGACGTTCTTGATTCACATCTCTAGCAGCAATGTGAGAGGCTTCTCCGCCCCCCACCAGCAAATGTCAGGGTGGGTGCATTTTCATGGTGTGCCAATCTGATGAGGGTGACATGAGATTTCATTGTGACTAACTCAGACCCCTTCCCCTCTCTCACCGACCCCCCGCCAAAAGTAGTGTGTGTGCATTTTTGAGACAGGGTCTCCCTGTGTCCCCCAGGCTGGAGTGCAGTGGCGCAATCATGGTTCACTGCAGCCTTCAACTCCCAGGCTCAAGAGATCGTCCCACCTCAGCCTCCCAAGTAACTGGGACTATGGGCGCAGGCCACCATCCCTGGCTAATTCTTTTGTTTTGTTTTTGTTTTTGTTTTTTTGAGATGGAGTTTTGCTCTTGTTGCCCAGGCTGGAGCGCAATGGCGCAATCTTGGCTCACTGCAACCTCTGCCTCCTGGGTTCAAGCGATTCTCCTGTGTCAGCCTCCCGAGTAGCTGGGATAACAGGCATGCGCCACCATGTCTGACTAATTTCTGTATTTGTAGCAGATACGGGGTTTCTCCATGTTGGTCAGGCTGGTCTTAAACTCCCGACCTCAGGTGATCTCACCTCGGCCTCCTAAAGTGCTGGGATTACAGGTGTGAGCCACTGCACCCAGCCTCCCTGGCTAATTCTTAAAAAAAAAAAAAAAAAAAAGAAAATTTTTTTTTAAAATTACTATGAAATGTATTATTTGTTATTAAGTTACAAATTTTTTTTTTTTTTTTTTGAGACGGAGTCTCGCTCTGTCGCCCAGGCTGGAGTGCAATGGCGCGATCTTGGCTCACTGCAACTTCCGCCTCCCAGGTTCAAGCAATTCTCCTGCCTCAGCTTCCCAAGTAGCTGGGATTACAGCTAAAATTAGCCCGGCTAATTTTTTTGTATTTTTAGTAGAGATGGGGTTTCACCATGCTGGCCAGGCTGGTCTCGAACTGACCTCATGATCCACCCGCCTCGGCCTCCCAAAGTGCTGGGATTATAGGCATGAGCCACCGCGCCTGGCCAGAGCCCAGCCTAATTCTTACATTTTTTTTCTAGAGATGGGGTCTCTCTGTGTTGCCCAGGACCACACTCCTGCCTTGCCCTCAAAGTGCTGGGATGACAGGCATAAGCCACTGTACCCAACCTCCTCATTTTGTCCTCGGACTCCTGGGCTAAAGCAATCCTCCCACCTTGGCATCCCAAAGTGTTGGGATTACAGGTGTGAACCACTACACCCAGCCTATTGTTTGTCTTCTGAAGATTTATGTGGTCATGCATGTCTGTCTTTTTCTTCGTAGCTTTCGGGGTTGGTCTTCCTTAAAGCAGTTTTCTGAGTGTCTAGGTAACACTTGTCTGTACCTCAGCTAACTTTGTTAAATCTCAGCATCGCCTGTAGCTGCTTCAGATGTTTTTATTATAACATTTTCATTATAAAATTATTAGATAGTTAAAAATTATGTTTATAAAGAAAACAATGCGGCTGTCACATTGCTGACATGACGGTTTACGTAACTATAGTGAAGTAGTGCACTTGGTGAGGGAGGGAAATGCCAGCACGCTTGGGCAAGGTGCCTCATTGCAGCCTGGGAGAACGAAGGTGGGTGAGGCATTTCCCTCCCACGCCGAAGGCCTCCGGGAATAGAAATACCGGGTAAATATCCACTGGCCAGTTCGTATCCTCCAGTGGGTCATCATGTGATTGGGGAGCGCTTCTTCCCATTCAAAGGGGATCTTTGGGGACCCGGGTTTATGGAACCCTCTCTGCGTTGGTCCTGGGGGCTGCTTCTCTGTTCAGTGACCCTGTGACTGGAGGGCACTGCCTTGGCCCGGCGCGTGGCCATCTTGTTCCTAGGGTCACTGGAGCCTGATTGCTGTGGTGGCACGCCAGGTCCTTCAAAGCTTTCATGTTTTTATTTTATTATTATTTCTTTTCTTTCTTTCTTTCTTTCTTTCTTTCTTTTTTTTTTTTTTTGAGACTGAGTCTCACTCTGTCGCCCAGGCTGGAGTGCAATGGCGCAGTCTCAGCTCACTGCAACCTCCGCCTCCCATGTTCAAGCGATTCTCCTGCCTCAGCCTCCTGAGTAGCTGGGATGACAGGCATGAGCCACCACGCCTGCCCTATTTTATTATTATTTTAAATTTTATTTTAGTTTCGGGGGTACATGTGCAGGTTGGTTCCATAGACAAATTGCATGTTGTGTGGGTTTTGTGTACAGATTATTTCATCACCCAGGTATTAAATAGTAAGCCTCATACCCAATAGGTGATTTGTTTCTGTTTTTCTAGCCTTTCCTTCCATTGCCGGCCTTTCACTTTGATCTTTGCTGTCTGTTTCTCTTTGGAACCGCTGACTTCTGGTTTTGCTCTTGCCTCTTCTCGGCCCCACTTGACCTCCACTGGGGCCTGGGCTAGCTTGTGTGTGCCGCCACCATCTCGGCCAGCTCAGGTCTGTTTCTTTGGAAGATTCTGTGCCCCTCCCATGCCTCTCCTGCATGTGGCCCATGCACAGTAGTGTGTGGCTGCCCTCGCCCTTGTGTGTGGGTTTTTTGTTGTGTTGTTGTTGTTTTGTTTTGTTTTGTTTTGTTTTTGAGATGGAGTCTTGCTCTGTCACCCAGGCTGGAGTGCAGCGGCACAATCTCGGCTCACCGCAACCTCCTCCTCCCAGGTTCAAGTGATTCTCCTGCCTCTGCCTCCTGAGTAGCTGGGATTACAGGCGTGCACCACCATGCCCGGCTAATTTTTGTATCCTTAGTAGAGATGAGGTTTCAGCATGTTGGCCAGGCTCGTCTCGAACCCCTGAACTCAGCTGACCCACCCACCTCGGCCTACCACAGTGCTGGGATTACAGGCCTGAGGCCCTGCTCCCAGCCTCCTTGTGTTTCTCTACGTGCACATTGTGCAGAGCCTCCCCACCCGGCTGGACGTGACCGATGGCACACGTCCCCAGTCTCACGCTCCTGTGCACGCCTCTTGGTGCCTATGTGTGAGAGCTTCGCATTTCAACTCGAGTAGAATTTGCCAAATCCCTTGCCAGATTGGGGGCAGAGCTCCTCAACAGCACTTGATGTGGTCACCGGGGTGATCTGCTGATCTGACAGGAGTGAGTGACAGTTTCATTTTGTCCTTGTTTGCCTTTTTCAGCTTAAAATCGAGGTTGCCTCAAAACATTAAACATAGAATTCCCATAGGGTCCAGCAGTTCCACTGCTGGGTATAGGCACAAAGGAGTTGAAAGCAGGAGCTTGAAGGGATGCAATTCACAGCACCCAAGAGGTGAGAGCTGGCCAAGTGTCCATGGATGAATACATAGATAAACACAATCTGCTTTATCCACACAATGGAATATTATTCAGCCATGAAAAGGAAGGGAATCCTTACGCAGGCTACCACATGGATGAACCTGGAGGACATCATAATTAGTGAAAGAAGCCAGGACAGAAAGTACCTGATTCCACTTTTGGGAGGGACCTGGTGTCGTCAGACTCAGAGACACACCACAGGATGATGGTCGCCAGGGTGGGGAGAGTGGTGGGGAGTTAGTCTTTTTTTTTTTTTTAGACGGAGTCTCGCTCTGTCGCCCAGGCTGGAGTGCAGTGGTGCAATCTCGGCTCACCGCAACTTCCACCTCCCGGGTTCACACCATTCTCCTGCCTCAGCCTCCCGAGTAGTGGGACTACAGGCGCCCACCACCACGCCCAGCTAATTTTTTTTGTATTTTTAGTACAGGTGGGGTTCACCATGTTAGCCAGGATGGTCTGGATCTCCTGACCTCGTGAACCACCCGCCTCGGCCTCCCAAAGTGCCAGGATGACAGGTGTGAGCCACCGCGCCTAACCTGGAGTTAGTCTTTTTTTTCTTTCTTTCTTTTTCTCTTTCTTTCTTTCCTTCCTTCTTTTGTCCTTTCCTTTCTTTCTTCTTTCTCTTCTTTCTTCTTTCTTCTTTTTCTTTCCTTCCTTCCTTCTTTTCTTTCTTTCTTTCTTTCCTTTCTTTCTTCTTTCTTTGCTTCCTTCCTTTTCTTTTCTTTCTTTCTTTTCTTCCTTCTTTTCTTCTTTCTTTGTTTTTTTCTTTCTCTTCTTTCTTTCCCTTTCTTCTTTCTTTCCTTCCTTTCTTCTTTCTTTCCTTCCTTCTTTTCCTTCTTTCTTTTCTTTCCTTCCTTCCTTTCCTTCTTTCTTTTCTTTCTTTCCTTTCTTTTCTTCTTTCTTTCTTCTTTCTTTCTTTGCTTCCTTCCTTCTTTTCTTTTCTTTCTTTCTTTCTTCTTTCTTTCCTTTCTTTTCTTCTTTCTTTCTTTCTTTCTTCTTTTTTTCTTTCTTTCTTTCTTTTTTTTTTTCAGAGACTCACTCTGTCACCCAGGCTGGAGTGCAATGGTTAGTGCGATCTCAGCTCAGTGCAACCTCTGCCTCCCCGGTTCAAGCGATTCTCCTGCCTCAGCCTCCAGAGTAACTGGGACTACAGGTATGCACCACTGTGCCCAGCTAATTTTTTATATTTTATTTTATTTTATTTTATTTTATTTATTTTATTTTATTTTATTTTATTTTTGAGATGGAGTTTTGCTCTTGTCGCCCAGGCTGGAGTGCAATGCACGCTATTGGCTCACTGCAACCTCCACCTCCCAGGTTCAGGTGATTCTCCTGCCTCCGCCTCCCGATTAGCTGGGACTACAGGCCTGCACCACCATGCCCGGCTAATTTTGTATTTTTAGCAGAGACAGGGTTTCACCACGTTGGCCAGGCTGGTCTCAAACTACTGACGTCAAGTGATCCACCCCCACTCGGCCTCCCAAAGTGTTGAGATTACAGGCGTGAGCCACCGCGCCTGGCCTCTACTTATTTATTTCTTGTAGAGATGGAGTCTCACCATGTTGCCCAGGCTGGTCTTGAACCCCTGGGCTCCAGTGATCCTCCTGCCTCAGCCTCCCCAATTGCTGGGATGGCACACATGAGCCACGGGGCCCAGCCTCCTCATTTTGTCCTTAATATCTGCTTGTAACCACCTCAACTCAGAATACCTACCAAAACTTAGTTTGGATGTGTTTCCCAGGTTGCAATCCTCAAATTTGGCCCAAATACACTCTCCTTGTATTAATTTTACCTCAGTGTGTTCCTTTAGGTCGACCTCATAAAATCTGGTATGGGTAATTCTGCAGAGCCACTCCCTCACCACCGCTGTCTCGGGCCATGCTGGCTAGCAGCGATCGAGGGCTTACTGTGGACGAAAGTCAGTTTAGAGAAGTTGAATGGCCAAGTTCACAGCAGTAGGAAGTGGCTGCGGTGGGCTTTGCCCTGGGGCTTTGGACTTTGCCTGGAGCTGCTCCTCACTCATTCCAGGAAGCTCTTGCACCATGACCGCTGTGACTTGGGATCCAAATTTCAATTGAAAATATATTTTTTTCAATTTTTTTCATTTTTAAAATTTTTTTAGAAACTGAGTCTGGCTCTGTCACCCAGGCTGGAGTGCAGTGGTAGGATCACAGCTCACTGCAGCCTCAACCTCCTGGGCTTAAGTGATCCTCCCATCCCAGCCTCCTGGGTAGCTAGGAGTATAGGTGCTCACCATCATGCTCAGCTAATTTTTCTTCTTTTTTCTTTCCTTTTTCTTTCTTTCTTTTTTTTTTTTTTTTTTTGTAGAGGCAGGGTCTTGCTATGTTGTCCAGTTGTCCTGGGCTCAAGCCATCCTCCCACCTCAGCCTCCCGAGTTGCCAAGATTACAGGCCACTGTGCCTGGCCCGATGTTTTTTATTGGGGTAAAATACATAATAACATAAAATGTACCATGTTAACCAGTTTTGTGGTTAGTTAGTTCAGTGGTGTTACCTACATTCGTAATATGGTGCAACCAACATCATCGTCCATCTCCGGAACTCTTTTCATCCTTCTAAACTGAAACTCTATCCCCATTAAATGCTAACTCCCCAGTCCCCCTCCTGCAGCCCCTGGAAACCACCCTTCAGGTGTGCCACAGGTCAAATGTGGACACAGGGAGGCCACTGCACCCGGCCCTCAGCATCTGAACTTCCACCCCTGCTGCTTGAAGCTCTCCATCTCGCCGTCCAGACAGGCTGCCTTCCCCGCTGGCTCTGTATAGGATGCAACCCCAACAGGTGGAGAAGCTCAGCCCGCAGCACCCACACGGAGCCGAGATGTGCAGGTTGCCGAGCCGGCCCCGCTGGGGGGGCTTCTGCTGGGACAGACATAACAAACAGCAGATGTAGCCCCCTGCCGAGGACTTCAGATTGGGAATTGTCAGAGATTCCGGAGATTGTCAGATTGGATGGAAACCCCCACTTCCAGCATATGCTGTTTACTAGAGACACACCTCAAACATATGTCCATGGAAATATTACATGTGAAAGAATGAATGCTAGGCAGTTACTACCAAAAGCAAGCTGCCATGGCTATATTAACATCAGACAAAATAGGCTTTGGGACAAAACAAAAACAGTTTAGGAATGATGTTAAAATAGGCTCTACATATCTTAAGCAAAAGTTGACAGAACTCTAGGGAGAAATAGGCACATGAAGCATCGTAGAGGGAGGTTTCTTTTTTTTTTCTTTTTTTTTTTTTTTTTTTTGAGACAGAGTCTGGCTCTGTCGCCCAGACTGGAGTGCAGTGGCACAATCTGGGCTCACTGCAAGCTCCGCCTCACGGGTTTGAGGGATTCTCCTGCCTCAGCCTCCCAAGTAGCTGGGACTATAGGCGCCCGCCACCACGCCCGGCTAATTTTTTGTATTTTTAGTAGAGACGGGGTTTCACCGCGTTAGCCAGGATGGTCTCGATCTCCTGACCTTGTGATCCGCCCGCCTCGGCCTCCCAAAGTGCTGGGATTAGAGGCGTGAGCCACCGTGCCCGGCTTGCAGTTTTCTTTTTTAAAATGTTTATTTCTATTTTGTGATTCAAACTGAGGATCATCTTGCTGCAAAGAAGTTTTTAAGTTGATAAGAAACTGCTGAACAGTGATTCAAAGTGGCTGTGCCATTTCACACTCCTGCTGGCCGCGTGCGAACCTTTCATGCACTCCGCCTCCTCACCAGTGCTCCCTGCGACCAGTCTTCAGTGACAGTCATTCTGGGTGCGATTTTATCTTGCATTTCCCCATGAGAAATGGGCATCTCTTCCTATGCCTCAGTGGGGAGAACCAGAGACGGGGGCAGAAGAGGGGCAGGAGAAGGCAGGGAGGGTGGTTGGAGGAGAGAGCATTGGGTGGGGGTGGCAAGTGCTGGAGGAGGGGGACGGGGAAGTGGGCCCTTTGCTCTTGAACCATTTTAACCCCAAGCAAGGTGCATTCAGGGTTTGGGCAGGGGTCTGGCCCTCATGTCACCAGATCCTGAGTGACTGTAGGGGCCTCTCATCATGTCTTCACTCCTGGACTTGCTGGCTCCAGGTGAGAAGACGTGGACACTGCTGTGGGCTGCAGAGGTTTGGGGGTGTGTGTGTGTGTGTGTGTGTGTGCATGTGTGTGTGTGTGTGTGTGTGTGCGTGTGTGCGTGTGTGCATGTGTGCGTGTGTGTGTGTGTGCATGTGTGTGTGTGTGCATGTGTGTGTGTGTGCATGTGTGTGTGTGTGCATGTGTGCATGTGTGCGTGTGTGTGTGTGTGTGTGCATGTGTGTGTGTGTGTGTGTGTGTGTTTGAGACAGGGTCTCACCCTTTCTCCCAGGCTGGAATGCAGTGGCGCGATCTCGGCTCACTGCACCACGGACCTCCGGGCTCAGGTGATCCTCCCACTTCAACCCCCTGAATAACTGGGACTACAGGCGCACGGCCCCATGCCCAGCTAATTATGTAATTATGTCACTTTTCATAGAGACGGGGTCTCCCCATGTTGCCCAGGCTGGTCAGGAACTCCTGGGCTCAAGCGATCCACCCGTCTCAACCTCCCAAAGTACTAGGATTCCAGGCCTAAGCCACTGTGCCTGGCCTTCAGGGTTTTAAGGAACAGTTTCATTTCCACAGTGGGGCGGCTTGAGAAGTAGGGGCACCCCACCAGCAGCTGAGCAGAGAAGAAATGGTGGCTATCAGACAGCCCAGGCCTAGTGAATCCTCCAGTGAATTATTCCTGGCCTTTAAGAGACAGGTAATTCCAGCGAGGCGCAGTGGCTCACGCCTGTCATCCAAGCACTTCAGGAGGCCGAGGTGGACGGATCACGAGATCAGGAGATCGAGACCATCCTGGCTAACGCGGTGAAACCCCGTGTCTACTAAAAACACAAAACATTAGCCGGGCGCGGTGGCGGGCGCCTGTAGTCCCAGCTACTGGGGAGGCTGAGGCAGGAGAATGGAGTGAACCCGGGAGGCGGAGCTTGCAGTGAGCCGAGATGGCGCCACTGCACTCCAGCCTGGGCGACAGAGCGAGACTCCGTCTCAAAAAAAAAAAAGAGGTAATTCCAGGGTTTCAAAGAAAGTAAAGTTTCCAGATGTGCTTTATGAAGCCAGAATAACCTTTGTCCCCCAGGAGAATGTTAGTGTCACAAAGACAGACTCTTGTGGGTCCTGCTTGCTTCTCCGCTCTGAGTCCACAGCGGTGTCTGGCACACAGTAGGTACTCCTGGGTGACTCACTGAATCTGGTTGCAGACTTGACACACACACACATGCACACACGGAAAAGTATCGATACTGCTGTTAAACACTGGTAGGCATTTCTAAAATAAAAACATTAGCTAATATCATCCAAAAGCAGATCAAGGCATGAATATCCAGGCTGGGCGCGGTGGCTCATGCCTGTAATCCCAGCACTGTGGGAGGCTGAGGTGGGAGGATTGCTTGAGCCCAGGAGTTTGAGGCCAGCCTAGGTAACATGGTGAGTCTGTCTCTAAAAAAAAATACAAAAGTTAGGTGGGGATGGTGGTGCGAGCCTGTGGTCCTAGCTACTCGGAGGCTGAGGGAGAATTGCTTGGGCCTAGGAGTCTGAGGCTGCGGTGAGCCATGATCACACCACTGCACTCCAGCCTGGGTGACAGAGGGAGACCTGTGTGAAAGGAAAATAAATCTTGGGGCCCCCAAATCACTCAGCTAAAGGGAAAACTCAAGCTGGGAACTGCTTAGGGCCAACCTGCCTCCCACTCTATTCAAGGCCACTCCTCTGTTCACTGAGATAAATGCTTATTGGATTGCTTCCTTTGGAGAGGCTCATGAGAAACTCAAAACAACACAATCATTGGTCTCTTATCTACCCATGACCTGGAAGCCCCCTCCCCACTTCAAGTTGTCCCTTTCTGGACCAAGCCAATGTTCATCTTACATATGTTGACTGATGTCTCATGTCTCCCTAAAATGTATAAAACCAAGCTGTGCTCTGACCACCTCGGGCACATGTCGTCAGGACCATCCTCAACCTTGGCAAAACAAACTTTCTAAATTCACTGAGACCTCTCTCAGATATTCAGGGTTCACACCTGACTCTTAAAAAAAGCAAAGAAGTGAATAAACTATAACCAAATGTACACAACATATTGTTATTAACCATAGTCACGATGATGTACAACAAATCTCTTGAACTAATTGGAATTCCTCCTAATTGGAATTTTGAATCCCTTGGCCAACATCTCCTCATCCTTCCCTCCCCACCCACCACCCTGCAGCCCCTTTATGAGTTCAGCTTTTTTATTTTCTACATATCAGTGAGGTTGTGTGGTATTTGTCTTTTTGTACCTGGCTTATTTCATTTAACATAGTGTTCCCCAGTTTCACCTATTTTGTTGCAAATGACAGGATTTCCTTCTCTTTTATGGCTGAATGGGATTCCGTTGTGTACAGATATCACACTTTCTTTATCCATTCACCCATTGATAAACTCTTAGGTTGATTCCATCTCTTACCTGTTGTGAATAGTGCTGCAATGAACACGGGAGTGCAGGTATCTCTTTGACATGGTGATTTCAAATTTAAATATATACCTTTAAATATATACCAAGTAGTGAAATTGCTGGCTAATACGGTAGTTGTGTTTGTAGTTTTTGGACTATACTGTTCTCCGTACTGTCTGTGCTACTTTACATTCACACCAACAGCGTACGAGGTTCCCATTTCCCTGCATCCTTGTCAGCATTTGTTATTTTTTTAAACATCTTTTTGTTAAAAGCCATTTTAACTGGGGTGAGATGATATCTCGTGGTGCTTTTGACTTGTGTTTCCCTGATGGTGAGTGATGTGGAGCATTTTTTCATAGACCTGTTGGCCATGTCTATTCAGATCTTTTGCCCACTAAAATTTTCTTTTTTTGAGACAGGACCTCACTCTGTCACCCAGGCTAGAGTGCGGTGGCATGACCACAGCTCATGCAGCCTCATCCTCCTGGGCCCAGTCAACCCTCCCACGTCAGCTTCCTAAGTAGAAAAAGGCCAGCTGTGGTGGCTCACCCCTGTAATCCCAGCACTTTGGGAGGCCGAGGCAGGTGGATCACCTGAGGTCAGGAGTTCGAGACCAGCCTGACCAACATGGTGAAACCCTGTCTGTAGTAAAACTGCAAAAATTATCCGGGCGTGGTAGTGGGCACCCGTAATCCCAGCTACCTGAGGCTGAGGCAGGGGAATCACTTGAGCCCACGGCACGTGGATCACCTGAGGTCAAGAGTTTGAGACCAGCCTGGCCAACATGGTGAAACCCCATCTCTACTAAAAACGCAAAAAATGAGCCAGGTGTGGTGGCGGGCCCCTGTAATCCCAGCTGTCTGGGAGGCTGAGGCAGGAGAATCGCTTGAACCTGGGAGGCGGAGGTTGCCGTAAGCCAAGATGGTTCCACTGCACTCCAGCCTGGGCCGCAAGAGTGAAACTCCATCTCAAAAAAAAAAAAAAAAAGTGAAATCTGCAGAGATGACAGCTTCATGAGCTGATTGTATGAAGCCACAAACAGTACTGTGCTTAATGGTGAAACACCACAGCATTTTCATTAGTCAAGAATGAGACAATATTCCCAGGATCACCACTGTTTCTTCCCGTTTCCCAATGTTAAATTGGCCAATGCAATTGAAAAAGTTAGCCGGACGTGGCGCACAAGGAATACGTGTTGGAAGGATGAAGCAAAGTTCTCATTCTTTGTAAATCACTTGATTGCACCACTGAAACGTCCTCTGGTCTGCTGGGCAGGTTTGAGTCAGGAGATTCTGGCTGTCTTCACTGGGCCTATCTGAGACTGGGTGTCATTTGCTTTGCTCTTGTCTGATTTTACTGTCAGACATCACTCCTGTAACCAGTCTTTGTAGTAAGTCTCATTTCTTGCATGTACTTGGAAGTACATGCAATAAATGGTTTTATTTTCCCAGCGACTGTGCCCGCCCCCACCCCATTGAGTTGTGCCAAATCCCCCTTAAGACGTGGGGCCCGAGTCCATCATGTTTCAGTCAGGTTGCTTGTAATTAGTCTTATTCTGGTTCTTTTTTCTTTTCTTTTCTTTTTCTTTTTTTTTAGACAGAGTCTCGCTCTGTTGCCAGGCTGGAGTGCAGTGGCACAAACTCGGCTCACTGCAACCTCTGCCTCCCGGGTTCAAGTGATTCTCCTGCCTCAGCCTCCCAAATAGCTGGGACTACAGGCTTGCACCACCACACCCAGCTAATTTTTGTATTTTTAGTAGAGACGGGGTTTCACCATGTTGGCCAGGATGGTCTTGATCTCTTGACCTTGTGATCTGCCCGCTTCAGCCTTCCAAAGTGTTGGGATTACAGGCATGAGCCAACACGCCCGGCCTGGTTGTCTTTTCTTTTCTTTCTTTTTTTTTTTTTTTTTTTTTTTTTAAGACAGGGTCTCACTCTGTCACCCAGGCTGGAGTGCACTGATGAGATCTAGACTCACTGCAGCCTCAACTTCCTGGGCTTAAGCGATCCTCCCACCTCAGCCTCCCGAGAAGCTGGGACTACAGGCGTGCACCACCACGCCTGGCTAATTTTTGTATTTTTAGTAGAGACAGGGTTTCTTCATGTTGGCCAGGTTGGTCTCAAACTCCTGACCTCAGCTGATCCACCTGCCTCGGCCTCCCAAAGTGCTGGGATTACAGGCATGAGCCACGACTCCCGGCCTACCCTTAATTTTTTTTTTTTGAAGTGCACAAGCTAATTTTTTAATTACTATTTGTAGAGATTAGGTCTCCCTGTGTTGCCCAGGTTGGTCTTGAACTCCTGAGCTCACGCAATCCATCTACCTTGGCCTCCCACAATGCTGGACTGCAGGTGTGCACCACGCTCTGGCATCATTCTGGTTCTTAAACCCAAGGGTACTTATTTTCCAACATGAACCTTAACCTCACCCTTCCAGAAACTTCTCAGGCATGGGCAAGGTTGCAGTCTCCCTTACTGCAGGCAGCAATGACTTTAGCAACAGGTGATCTTGGTGGGCTCGTAGGGGAGTGGGAATGGGCAGTGGCTTTTGTCCTCCTTTTGTTGTCCGCTGGGGATCTTGGTTGGGAAGCCTGAACCCAGCATTGTTTCCTAGCCCTGTGTTCAACAATGCCGGGAGCGAGGTGCCTTCCTATCCCCGTGATAAACAGTTCTGGGACCTGTTGCTCTGCCACACAATCCTGAGAACTAGCACAAGTCAATTCGCTTGCAGGACCAACACACCCATGCTCCTGAAAGATGAGACTCGCAGAGCCCGGCCCGAGACTGCACCCAGCCGTCCAAGGCTGACCATGCTTCCCACCCGGCCCTCCCCACGCCGGCTCGGACTTCGGGCATTTTCTCTCCTCCTTTCCTCCCTGGTGATCTGAGGCCGGCTCTGTCGGGGGAGTGTTCTTCCTCTTTGCAGTGAGTCCAATAAACTCAGCTTTGCCTGAACAACAGGTTTTTCTGGTGGTGATTTTGGGGAGTCTACAGCCAACAGCTGAAATTGGGAAAACGGGGCGGGGGTGGGGAATCCCTTTTTGTTTTTTGTTTTTATTTTTTACAGTAAAGTGAAAGCAAGTTTATTAGGAAGATAGAGGAATAAAAGAATGGCTGCTCCATAGACAGGGCAGCTGGGAATCCCTTTTAGCACCTGGTGGCTGCAGATGGGTAGAAATACAGACCATATTTGGTTCTTAGTTTAATTAGCCAGAGACGCAGAACAGGGTGGGAAGCCAGACGGCCACACCTAGCACCTCATCAGGCTGCAGCCAACCAGGGCCTCTCGGGGCTGGGAAAACTCGATTCTTGCTGTACTTGGGCTTACTCGGCTCTCCATCTTATGCAAACACCTCTCCTTATGAAAGGCAAGAAGAATTTGTTCTACACTGGGGATGGGTTGTGCCTGTCACATGGAGCAGCCTGGGGACCTAGAGGGACCCTTTAGAAGCTTAGCACCTAGCAATTCCTTTTCACATGTGACTCATGGTCTATTCAGTTTTAGTACTTCTTTTTTTTTTGACAGAGTTTTGCTCTGTCACCCAGGCTGGAGTGCAATGGCGCGATCTCTGCTCACCGCAACCTCTGCCTCCCAGGTTCAAGTGATTCTCCTGCCTCAGCCTCCCAAGTAGCTGGGATTACGGGCACGCGCCACCACGCCTGGCTAATGTTGTATTTTTAGTAGAGACGGGGTTTCTCCACGTTGGTCAGGCTGGTCTTGAACTCCCAACCTCAGGTAGTCCCCCTGCCTCGGCCTCTCAAAGTGCTGGGATTAAAGGCGTGAGCCACCACGCCCGGCTTTTTTTTTTTTTTTTTTGAGATGGAGTCTTGCTCTGTCGCCCAGGCTGGAGTGCAGTGGCACCATCTCAGCTCCCTGCAACCTCCGCCTCTTGGGTTCAAGCAATTCTCTGCTTCACCCTCCCACGTAGCTGGGATTACAGGTGCCCACCACCATGCCCGGCTAATTTTTGGATTTTTAGTAGTGACGGGGTTTCACCATCTTGGCCAGGCTGGTCTTGAACTCCTGACCTCGTGATCCATGGCGCCTGGCCTACTACTTCTTTATTCATTTATTTTTTGAGACGGAGTCTCGCTCTGTCACCCATGCTGGAGTGCAGTGGCACGATCTCGGCTCATTGCAACCTCCACCTCCCGGGTTCAGCTTCCCGGATAGCTGGGACTACAGGTGCGCGCCACCACGCCCAGCTAATATTTTGTATTTTGTAAGTAGAGACGTGGTTTCACCGTGTTGGCCAGGGTGGTCTCAAACTCTTGACCTCAAGTGATCTGCCTGCCTCGGCCTCCCAAAGTGCTGGGATTACAGGCGTGAGCCACTGTGCTTGGCGCAGTTTTACTACTTCTTGAGACAACTCTGAAGATTTCTATTTTTCACAGAAAGTCATTCAGTTAATCTAGACTTTTCAAATGTATTGCCATAAAGTTATATTTACTATTTTAAAATTTTAATTTCCTCCTTAACCCAACATTTATTTAAAAGGGTCATTTCAGCCGGGCGTGGTGGCTCACGCCTGTAATCCCAGCACTTTGGGAGGTCGAGGCAGGTGGATCACCTGAGGTCAGGAGTTTGAGACCAGCCTGGGCAACATAGTGAGACCCCATCTCTACAGAAAAATAAAAAATTAGCCGGGCGTGGTGGCACACATCTGTAGTCCCAGCTCCTCGGGAGGCTGAGATGGGAGGATCACTTGAACCTGGGAGGTCGAGGTTGCAGTGAGCCATGATCGCACCACTGCACTCCAGCCTGAGTGACAGAGCCAGATCCTGACTGCTGCTCATAGAGATCTCGCCTAAAGATCTTGCCTAAGTGCAAAAACACACACACACAGAAACTGGAACAACCGAACTGACCCTTTGGGGAGGCTGGCGAAATAAATGACATGGAGTACATTCATACAGCTCTAAAAAAGGACAAAAGTCAGGGACATCTGTGTCCAGGGAACACTCTCGATTTGTCTTGTTAAGTGAAACTGGCGAGGCGTGGAATCATGAGAGAAGCGTGAGTAGAGGGGACTTAAACCAGGGACTGGTGGCCACAGCTAGTGTTAGCCAGGGGACTGGAGGCTGGGAGACTGAGAAGGAGATTTTCTTACTTCGTACGTGTCTGTACTGTTTGGATTTTTTTTTTTTTTTTTTTTTTGAGAGGGTATTTTTTAAAAGGAAAAGCTTGTTTTGTTTTTCTTTTTAAAAAATAGGCTCTAAAAATTCTGGAGAGAAATAAAAAAGGCAACATGGTGGCCGGGTATGGGCGTCTCTTCTGATTCCAGGCTGGTTGGCACTGGCCACCTTGCTCAATGGTTGCCTTAGAAACCGGCCTAGCGAGGGGGTGTCAGTTGTCTCTGGTAGCCATTAAGGCAGTGACTCAGCAGAAAACCCAACCCAAGAGGGAGTTGTTCATTCACTGACTTTCCTTCTCTCCCAGAAAAGCATGGGTGAGGCCATTTCTGTTACATTTGCGATCGGGTGGCAGCTGCTCCGCCGTGAAGGCGGTAGCGAGAAGTCTGCCCGCTCCTCCAGCCTCTCACTAGGTGAGTGGCGTCTCTGTGCTGCCCTGTCCCTCAGAAACCACAGGTTCCGGTCCCTCTGCCAGCCTGTCCCCTGTCTCTCCCCTCCCGCTGACAGGGTGAAACCAGCTTCCGCTCACAAGCACTTGCTGGGGGTTGCCACAGGCATGGCTCTTGGGGAGATCTTTAGTAAAAAACCCAACCAAACATCACGAGTGGAACCGAGTGTGGATCATAAACTCAACTGAGAGAAAAGCCAAGGGACGCATGTGGGCAAAATACACAGAAAACCCAGCATGGGCGCGGGGGCTCTCGCCTGTCATCCCATCACTTTGGGAGGCCAAGGCGGGTGGATCACTTGAGGTCAGGAGTTCGAGACCAGCCTGGCCAACATGGTGAAACCCCATCTCTACTAAAATACAAAAATTGGTCGGGCATGGTGGTGGACACCTGTAATCCCAGCTACTCGGGAGGCTGAGGCAGGAGAATTGCTTGAACCGGGGAGGCGGAGGTTGCCGTGAGCTGAGATCACACCACTGCACTCCAGCCTGGGTGACAGAATGAGGCCCTGTCTCAGAAAAAAAAAAAGAATCACGTGCTGAGACATGCTACAACACAGATGAACCCCAAAATCATAATGCTAAGTGAAAGAAGCCAGACACGAAAGATCCCATGAGTATTATCCCATTTATATGGAGTGTTCAGAGTAGGTGAATCTATAGAGACAGAAAGGAGATGAGTGACTGCCTCAGCTGGAAGGGAAAATGGGGAAGAAATGGGTAGTGACTATTAAAAGGTATGGTGTTTTTTTTTCTTTGTTTTTGTTTTGTTTTGTTTTGTTTTATTTTGTTTTTTTGAGATGGAGTCTCGCTCTGTCACCCAGGCTGGAGTGCAGTGGCATGATCTCGGCTCACTGCAACCTCTGCCTCCTGGGTTCCAGCAATTCTCCTGCCTCTGCCTCCTGAGTAGCTGGGACTACAGGCGCCCACCACGATGACTGGGCAATTTTTGTATTTTTAGTAGAGATGGGGTTTCATCGTGTTGGCCAGGTTGGTCTCAAACTCCTGACCTCAGGTGATCCACCCACCTCGGCCTCCCAAAGTGCTGGGATGACAGGTGTGAGCCACCACGCCTGGCCAGTGTTTCTTTTTGGAATGATGAAAATATGCTCAAATAGAGTGCTGGTTGCACAAGTCTGTAAATCTATTAAAAACACGGAGTTGCACACTTCAAACAACTGAACCTTGTGGCGTGTGAGGTAGATGTCTTAACACAGCTGTTAAAAAGCCCAGGATAGCTGGGCACAGCGGCTCAGCTGTAATCCCAGTACTTTGGGGGGGCTGAGGAAGGAGGATCGCTTCAGCTCAGGGGCTTGAGACCAGCCTTGGCAACCTAGCGAGACCCTGTCTGTACTAAAAATAAAAATAATTAGCTGGGCATGGTGACATGCACCTGAGGTCCCAGGTACTCGAGAGGCTAAAGCGGGGGCTGTGGGCAGGAGAACAAGGCTGCAGTGAGCTATGATCACGCCATTGCACTCCAGCCTGGGCAACATAATGAGATCCTGTCTCAATAAACACATGAAAGAGACACATACTGTTATTTCAAACTTCACTCAAAATACACTGCCTTCTATGTGCTGGGACCCAGAGAGGGTTTGTGGCATGTTTGTAGGAATAAGTCCGGATCAGAACGGAGCTGAGAATGGGTGTTCACTCGTATTCTTCAATGTCTCCTATTGAGATGATGTTATCCACTTGTTATTTTCTTGACCCTATTTTCTGCCAAGAAATAAAGTAATTTGAGAGAGAGAGAGAGAGCGAGATCTAACGTGGAAAAACAGATCTGCAGGAAGGCATGGAACGCACTAGAAAGGTAAAAAATGGGCTGTTTAGACCAACACTAATAGTGTCCTTTGGGATTTAAAATATACGAAAACAAGAGCACCCGAGGCCCGGCGGAAACACAGTCTCGCTGCTGGGAGGCTCTGGCGTTGCTTGAGCCACTGCACCGCAGACTCAATCCCTAGGGTAACTGCTGGAGTAATAATGAAAAGTGACACTGAGAAAAGGCAAAAAAAGAGAAAGAAAGTAACCAACGACAGATGGGACAACAGAGAACAAATGGTAAGCTGGTCCTCACACACAGCCAGAGCAGGAGGGTGGCGGGGGTCAGGGTCTAATGGTGTGGAGGAGGAGGAGGAGGATGTTGAGGGTGAAGAAACAAAGCCCATGCCCCCGAGTTGTACACTTATAAATAGTTAAACAGATGAATATTATGTTGTATATATTTTATCACAATAAAAGATCTCACATACAGCCATATTGGCAAATCCATTAAAATGAAAATGGATAAACACACAAAGATTGCCGGGCTGGCGTAGAGGGAAAATAAAACCAATCAATCAATATGCTGCCTCAAAGAGACATTCTTTCTTTCTTCCTTTCTTTCCTTCCTTCCTTCCTTTCTCTCTTTCTTTCTTTTTTGACAGAGTCTCACTCTGCTGCCCAGGCTGGAGTGCAATGGCGTGATCTCAGCTCACTGCAACCTCCATCTCCCGGATTCAAGTGATTCCCCTGCCTCAGCCTCCTGAGTAGCTGGGATTATAGGCGTGCACCATCATACCCCACTAATTTTTGTATTTTCACTAGAGACAGGGTTTTACCATGTTGGCCAGGCTGGTCTCAAACTCCTCACCTCAAGTGATCTTCTCACCTCAGCCTCCCAAAGTCCTGGGATTACAGGAATGAGCCACCGTGCCCGGCTGCATTTTATTTTATTTTATTTTATTTTTGAGATGGAGTCTTGCCCTGTTGCCCAGGCTGGAGTGCAGTGGCGTGATCGCCGCTCACTGCAAGCTCCGCCTCCCGGGTTCACGCCATTCTCCTGCCTCAGCCTCCCGAGTAGCTGGGACTACAGGTGCCCGCCACCACGCCCGGCTAACTTTTTGTATTTTTAGTAGAGATGGGGTTTCACCATGTTAGCCAGGATGGTCTTGATCTCCTGACCTCGTGATCCACCCGCCTCGGCCTTCCGAAGTGCTGGGATTACAGGCGTGAGCCACTGCGCCTGGCCCATTTTATTTCTTAAAAACAGCTTTTTTTTTTTTTTTTTTTTTTTTGACAGAGTCTCACTCTGTCGCCCAGGCTGGAGTGCACTGGTGCCATCTTGACTCACTGCAAGCTCCATCTCCTGGGTTCACGCCATTCTCCTGCCTCAGCCTCCCAAGTAGCTGGGACTACAGGTGCCCGCCACCACGCCTGGCTAATTTTTTGTATTTTTAGTAGAGACAGGGTTTCACCATGTTAGCCAGGATGGTCTCGATCTCCTGACCTAATGATCTGCCTGCCTCGGCCTCCCAAAGTGCTGAGATTACAGGCGTGAGCCACTGTGCCTGGCCAAAAACAGCTTTATTGAGGTATAATTGACATAAAATAAACTGCACATTTAAAGTGAACAGTTTGAAAGTTATATCTGCCAAACCATCAACACAATCGAGAATGAACCCACCAGGCCAGGCGTGGGGGCTCACGCCTGCAGTCCCAGCTACCTGGGAGGCTGAGGTGGGTGGATCGTGTGAGCCCAGGAATTCGAGACCAGCCTGGGCAACATGGCAAGACCCCATCTCTACAAAAAATACAAAAACTGGCCGGAACTGGGATCTGGAAGGCGGAGGGGACGCAGTAGGCATTTGTGCACTGTGAGTCCTGGTGTGGGGCCATCGCAGCACTGCCAGCTCCCATCAGGTCTCCCTGATCAGATGTTCCAACATGTGTATACAGATGTGTACAACACCCAAGAGAAATGAGTGTGTATGTGCAGCAAGACAGATTCGGAAATGTTCATAACAGCTTTATGCCAGCCCCAAACTCAATCCAAACGCCCAAGAGTAGAAAGAGTCAAATGCGGCCCATTCTTACAATGGAACGCTACCTGGGAAGGCAAAGCAATCGCTTAGCGCTACTCACGGCTGCAACAGAACAACAGTGCAGAGCAATAGCAGGCAGACGCGAGTTCGTACCACGTGTGTTAATCCATTCTCACACTGCTGTACAGAAATAGCCAAGACCGGGCAATTTATATAGAAAGGAGGTTCAATGGGCTCACGGTTCTGCAGGCTGTACAGGAAGCATGGCTGCATCTGCTTTTGGGGAAGCCTCAGGAAGCTTCCAATCATGGCGGGAGGCAAAGGGGGAGCAGGCACATCAGATGGCCACAGCGGGAGCAAGAGCCGGACAGTGGAGGTAGCACACACTGTTAAACAACTATCATGAGAACAGCACCCAGGGATGGCGCGGAAGCATTCATGAGAAATCTGCCCCCATGACCCAGTCACTTCCCACCAGGCCCCGCCTCCAGCACTGGAGATTGGGGCAGGGACACACATCCAAACTAAATCACGACACAATCTCATTGACATGAAATTCCAGAACATGCAAAACTATCTATGTGTTTAAAGCCAGGTTTGGATGTTCTCTGGTGCTACTCTCATCAAAAAAGGCGGCCCACAGCGCCTCTCCCCTTGCATACACTGGCCTCAGAGGCTTGCGTCTAGTGAGCAGGCTGCCGGGGAAGTGGCAGCACCTGATCCCCAGGCCAGGCCATCAGATGACGTGGCCTCCGCTGGGCTTTCTAGCTTGAGATGCTCCCCGGAGAACCCAGCCTCACAGGCACATGGAGGTGTCCTCACCCCGGCAGCGTCCTCCGCTGGACACGAAGGAGCCGCTGGGTGGTTCCAGCTCGTGGCCATCGGGCTGCCCCGGCTAACCGACTGCAGCGGGTGAGCTCTGCCAACTGAGACCTCACAGAGCACAGGCTCGCGAGCAAAACAAACATTGCCATTATTTTCAGCCCGTACATCTTGGGGTGGCTTGGTACCTAGCAAGAGATAACTGGAGCAGATTCATATGTGGGTCTATGTGGTGGCTGCCACATGGCCGTGTACATATAAAACAGTCATTGGGCTGTACGAGTACGGTTTGTGTACTTTTCTACCTTTAACTTATACCTCCCTAACAAAGTCTTTCAGAAAAGCCTAACTCCTGAGGCTCTGGTGTGGGCAGCTGGGTGGGCGCTGGAACTAGTCCCACACGCTGAGGTGGGAAGCTCATGGTGAAAGGGAATCCCAAGTCTGCTTGGCCATCTAAGTTTACGGTGCCTGTGAGAAAAATCAGAAGGCCAAAACCTCAGGAGAGAGAGCATGACGGAGGCGCTGCCGTTTGGGAATGGACATGATAGAGCCGTGAGAATGAGGAAGATCACCGTCGGGAATGAGTGCAGGCAGCTAAGAAGGCGCAGAGGCGTGTCTGGAGGGACTCACACCTTGTAGAGGCTGGGTAGAGAGAGCCCACGCACGCTGAGAAAGAACACAGACTTCAGCGTCACAGAGGTCACAAGAGACAAGCGGTTGGTGGGGGAGTAGGCACCGGCGAGAGAAAGTCCAAGAGGACTGGATGGATTTGACAACACGGAGATCCCTGGTGTTCTGGATGAACGCTGATTGGATGGAGTGGCAGGGGTAGAAGCAGAGGAAGAGGGACTGCACAGGGAATGGGCAAGTGAGAAAACAGACAAGGATTCTGAAAAGTTTAGCTACAAAGAGGAACAGAGAATTAGGGTTGTGGTTGGAGGGGGTGTTGGGTCAAATGAGTTTTTATTTTTATTCTTCAAGAACGGAAGCTACCAGGACATGTTTGATGAAAATAGATCCAGAGGCCGGGCGCAGTGGCTCACGCCTGTAATCCCAGCATTTTGGGAGGCCGAGGTGAGCGGATCACCTGAGGTCAGGAGTTCGAGACCAGCCTGGCCAACATGGGGAAACCCCGTCTCTACTAAAAATACAAACATTAGCTGGGCTTGGTGACACATGCCTGTAGTTCCAGCTACTCAGGAGGCTGAGGCAGGAGAATTGCTTGAACCCGGGAGGCAGAGGTTGCAGGGAGCTGAGATCATGCTGCTGCACTCCAGCCTGGGTGACAGAGTGACTCTGTCTCAAAAAAAAAAAAAAAAAGAAAAGAAATAGATCCAGAAGCAAGGAAGAAATTGATCATGTCGGGTGACATTATGAGTGAAGAAGTCCTCAGAAAAGAGGAGAAACTTGCAATTCTGGCCACAGTGGAATAACTGATGCCAGTTGTAAACACCTAAAACACTGGGCAACTATTTTTAGATATCGGACAATAGGCTGTGCAGGGCTGTGACCAGAGAGAAAACAAAGAAGGTGAGCCTTACAAGTACCCTGAGTTTCTGCCTGGAGGCACTTTCACACCATGGTTCAGCAAAGGGGCCTGAGCGGAACCAGCAGTCTCACTGAATTACTAGAGCGACCAAGCCAATAGCAGAGAAAAAACAGAATCCCAGAAATATGTAATTAATCCAAAAGTCAAAACAGATGGGGTAATAGAAAACAAATAACAAGATGATAGACTTAACTCCAACCATTAAATGGAAATGGATTAAACAGACCAACTAAAGGCAGAGATTGTCAGATTGTTTAAAAGAATAAGGCTGGGCTGGGTGCCACGGCTCACACCTGTAATCCCAGCACTTTGGGAGGCTGAGGCGGGCAGATCACTTGAGGTCAGGAGTTCGAGACCAGCTTGGCCAACATGGTGAAACCTTGTCTCTACTAAATAAAAATATAAAAATTAGCTGGGCGTGGTGGCACACACCTGTAGTCCCAGCTACTATGGAGGCTGAGGCAGAAGAATCGCTTGAACCTGGGAGGCGGAGGTTGCAGTGAGCCAAGATTGCACCACTGCACTTCAGCCTGGGTGACAGAGTAAGACTCTTGTCTGAAGAAAAAAAAAAAAAAAAAAAAAGCCGGGCACAGTGCCTCATACCTGTAATCCCAGCACTTTGGGAGGCTGAGGTGGGTGAATCACCTGAGGTCAGGAGTTCGAGATCAGACTGGCCAACATGTTGAAACCCCGTCTCTACTAAAAATAGAAAAATCAGTCGGGCGTGGTAGCGGACGCCTGTAATCCCAGCTACTCGGGAGACTGAGGCAGGAGAATCACCTGAACCTGGGAGGCAGAGGTTACAATGAGCCGAGATCGCACCATTGCACTGCAGCCTGGGTGACAAGAGCGAAACTCCATCTCAAAAAAAAAAGTAAATATACAGACAGCCAGGGACAGGTGCAGTGGCTCACACCTGTAATCTAGCACTTTGGGAGGCCGAGGCGGGCGGATCACTGGAGGTCAGGAGTTCGAGACCAGCCTGGTCAACATGTGGAAACCCTGTCTCTATTAAAAATACAAAAAAATTAGCCGGGTGTGGTGGTGGGCACCTGTAATCCCAGCTACTCGGGAGGCTGAGGCAGGAGAATCACTTGAACCTAGGAGGCAGAGGTTGCAGTGAGCTGAGATAGCGCCATTGCACTGCAGCCTGGGCAACAAGAGCAAAACTCCATCTCAAAAAAAGAAAAAAAAAAAAGAATTTAAACAAGGTCACAGAATATACGGTTCATATGCAAAACTCAACCGCTTTTTTTTTTTTTTTTTTTTTTTTTGAGGCAAGGTCTCCCTCTGTTGCCCGGGCTGGAGTGCAGTGGTGGAATCATGGCTCACTGCAGCCTCAACGTCCTGGGCTCAAACTATCCTCCTGGGTCAGCCTCCTGAGTAGCTCAAACTACAGGCATGCACCACCATGCCTGGCTAATTTTTGTACTTTTTGTAGAGACGGGGTTTCGCCATGTTGCCCAGGCTGGTCTCAAACTCCTGGCCTCAAGTGATCTGCCCGCCTTAGCTTCCCAAAGCGCTGGAATCACAGGCGTGAGCCACCGTGCCCAGCATCAATTGCATTTCTGTATAATATCATGATGAACTAGAAAATCAAAGATACCATTTAGAATAGCATAAAAAACATGGACTACATCAGGAAAAACCTGACACGGGAAGTGCTGGGTGTGGCCAGCCCAGAGTAGTAACAAGACCCTGGACGCTCAAGAACCCTGAAGTGTAAGGCATCAGGAAAGCTCAAGGCTTTCGGTGCAACAAAGTCCACAAGTAGAGCCCGAGATTGCAACATACGTTTTTATTACTCAAGGACAACCTGGACGTCACCAATGCCCAGCTTCACGGGGGCATGTAGTGTGACTCACGGCTGAACACAAAATCACTGTGAAGCCTGTGCTACAGCCCTGGGCTACTTTTGGACACGCAAGAGGACACTCGGTTACATGAAACCTGACTTGCTTCTGAAGACATGTGATACATGTCTTTTCCCTGAAAATGTTTCCCTTCCCTGTCTGCCATGCTCCCAACTTTTCTGCCTTCCAGGGGCTTCTCACTGTCTGGGTAACTAGGTCTTGGGCCTAGCTAGACCTTGGGTAGTGGCCCCTCTGCCACAATCAGTGCCTGGGCCTGAGGCTGAGCTTGTGGCCTCCGAAGCCTGACCTGGCTCGGAGCTCGTCTGTGGCGCCCAGGGATGGCCTGGCTTGCAGGCCACCACATTAGGCCAGCTCGCAGGTCCCCAGTAAAGCCTGAAGACACTGGCCCGAGGTTGGAGGTGGGTGCTGCTCGACTTTCTGGAGGATCTCAGAATTCTCGCTTCTTGCTAGGACTGAACCATGAGACTTACAGCCATACTTCACTTTTCCCAGGGTTTTTCTTTTTGAAACAGGGTCTTGCTCTGTCACCCAGGCTGGAGTGCAGTCATACAATCATGACTCACTGCAGCCTCGACCTCCCAAGCATAAATGATCCTCCTACTTCAGCCTCCCCAGCAGCTGGGACCACAGGCGTGCGCTACCACGCCAGGCTAATAGTTTAAAAAATTTTTTGGCAGAGACAGGGTCTCATCATGTTGCCCTGGCTGGTCTTGACCTACTGGGCTCCAGCGATCCTCCTGCCTTGGCCTCCCAAAGTGCTGGGATTACAGGCGTGAGCCACCGCACCCGGCCACACTTTTCCAAATTGTAAGCAGGTAGGAGGGCCCTAGGCCTCGTCGGCCCCATTGTGCAGGGTGGCCACTGTCCAAAGAGATGGGCAAAGAGCTGCTGCCAGAGGCCTGGGCTGCAGACGCCCTGCATGGCTCTCAGGGGAGCCAGCTCCCTACTCCACACCCCTGCACAGCAGCCCCTCTCCTCCCCTCACGGGTCTGTGCAGCCAGCAGCCTCCCAACATGCGCCAGCCTCCTCACTGGATGATGCCAGCCTTCCTTGCCCCCAGATGCTGGCATGGAGGCAGGGTTCCACTCTGCCTGCCTATGCCCACAGAGCCTAGAACAGCAGGGCCACCTCCTTCTCTCCCCCGCGGGCATGGGCCCCCACCCCCACTGCCGGCAGAGTGCTGAGGACTCGTGCACCATGAGAACTTCTGACCATGAGAACTTTGACTTCCGGATTTGGGGGATCTGCCCAGGTGAACACATCAGCTCTGAAATTCATCACTTTCTTCGGGCCCCTGCCTGTCCTGTTCCAGGCCCAAGCCTACAGAAGGAAGAGGAAAGTCCGCTTAGCAAATGGGGGAGGCTCCCCTACTGCCAGAAGCCCTGGCTCAAGGCCTGGGCCATGCTCCCTTATCTCCTGGGGCGTTCGTGGGAATTGAGGGTTTTTGTTTGTTTGTTCATTTGTTTTTGAGACAGGGTCTAACTGTCTCCCAGGCTGGAGTGCAGTGGCTTGATCACAGCTCACTGTAGCCTCCACCTCCTGGGCTCAAGTGATCCTCCCATCTTGGCCTCCAAAAGTGCTGGTATTATAGGCATGAGCCACCTCGCCCAGCTGAGGGTTCCTAAGCAGTGGTTCTTCAAATAGTACCTGGGATGGAAAATTCCTGCTGGGGCTTCCTATTTCCTGAAAGCACAGAGTGGGGCAGGCACCCTCGGGCTAAAGGAGGTGCTACTGTCAGGAGGCGAGGGAAGGAGTGGGCCAGGGTCTTGCTAAGGGAGGCATGTGGGGCCGGCTGGGCTTCTAGAGGTCGCCAGAGCCAGTGGCCTGCCCGGCTGCCCCACGCCCTCAGCGCAGTCGGGACAGACACTCTGCTCTTTGGGGCTGACACGGATGCGCCTGAGCACCCCAGAGGCCAGCCTGGGCGGCAGCACCTGGGAGGGAGCTGGACGACAGCAGCTGCAGGCTGTCCAGGGCCCCATCCTCGTACAGGGCCAGCTTCTGGACCATCTTCTGTCGGGCAGGGTTGATGATAATCTGCGGTGGCTCTGACGACGATGATGCAGAGCTGCCAAGGGCCAGTCCTGGGGTGGAGATGGCACTCCCTTAGCCTCATGCTGTGGCTCCCCAGCCCGCAGCCTAGCACCCTGCCTCCCTGGCCTCAGGCCTGAATTCCTCAGAGAAGTCCAAGGGCAGGGCCCAGCTCTCAGGCTACCAGACAGAGCCCTCCTTGTTCCCAGCCTTCAGGAATGGGGTGGGGGGAGGGCTGGAGAGCAAGCTCCACCTGGGAAGGATGTGGCCTGGGGAGGGGAAACCAGGGTTGCTAAGGTCACAGTGAGCTGAACATTTGGCCCTGGTTCTCTTCTAGAAGGCTGGGGTGGGGACTTACAGGGGCTTTGGCCCAAAGAGGCCTTGGTCCCTCTCCTGGGAACCCGTCTCCCCAGCTACCTTCCACGGCTGTGGGCCGGGATCCTGGGCCACTCCCCCAGCTCGATTCTCCTGCCGTGTCCCCCTGAGGACAGCCGGCCTCCCTGAGGGGTGCTGGGTCCAGAGGGCAGCTTGGAGTCAAGTGCCAGGAGCGCAGGGCAGCAGAGAGGCCGCCTAGGCTCTCGTCACTCTCCACGGGCTGGTTGGGGCCTCTCTGCAGCTGCTCTGCTGCCTGGGCACTGGCTCCTGATGGCGCTGCCAGGGGCTGCCATGGAGCAGCCCCACTGTGGGCTCTGCCAGTGCTGGACACGTAGGAGTTCTCCTGCGGGGAAGGGGGGATGCAGCTGGCGGCCTCCGAATGCCCGGGCACCCCCGCCACCACTGCCTGCAGCTTCTCTAGCCTCTCGTACACCTGCAAGTGGAAAAGAGGGACTCTCAGGGTGAGATGGCAGCCCTGGCCGGTCACCCCGTGGGCAAACCACAGGGCTGCTCCAGGCCGTCCGTGACCTGCCCCAGGGCTCTAAAATGACATACCCTGCAGCTGGGAACGCTCTGCCCCTCGCCCCTCTGTTCCCATCACAGGGAGTGCTGAGAAGCGCGGCTGCCAAAAGCAAGGACTGAGAATGGCCTCGTTCTTTTCTACAAAATGAATCTCACTGCCCCGCTGCCCTCAAACGGGGCCTCTCCATTTTCAACTGTCACCAGAGGAGAAGAGGTGGGGTACTAGGGAGGGGACAGAAAAAGGCAGATGCAGTAGTGCAGTGCGCCCAGCAGGGGGCGCGGCAGCAGCTCTTTCCTTCTCTCTATGTGAAGGGGGTCGGAGCTGGGCTCCGCAAAGCAGGACTGCCCGGGGCCCCTCAGTTCAGAGGGGCGCTGCCCCAAACAGAACCAAAGGGCAAGCAAGAAATGTGTGGAGACTCCAGAGAGACCTAGCAGGTGCTGAGATGGGGTCACTACAGAGCAAGGCCTGGAATGCGGGCTTTCTATCTGGCCACCCCGTCCCAGTGCGCAGCTGGCTACCTGGGTCATAGGAGGCCTCCTTTTGGCCCGGCGGTGCAGGCAGCAGCAGGCCAGCTGGCCCAGGCCCAGGCCCAGCTCAGGTGGGCAGGGCCCGGGCCTGGGGTCCAGGTGCTTCTTGTAGATCTGCATGGCGATGGGAGCAGCCCAGGCATCTGCAGCCAGACCTGCTTGCAGTGTGCTCTGGGTGCTTCTCAAAGCCACTCCAGCCTCCTCAGCCTCCTCTTCCACCAGGTCTTTCTGTGGGATAAATACTGTCAGTATGGCTACCAGGTGGCCACACCTGCAGCTGCAGTCCTCAGGTCCTTGTCACTCAATCGTATGGGTTTTGATAAAAAAAAAAAAAAAAAAAAAAGAGATGGGGTCTCGCTTTGTTGGCCTGGCTGGTCTCCAAGTAGGCTCAAGTGATCCTCCCGCCTCAGCCTCCCAAAGTGCTGGTGTTACAGGTGTGAGACACTGTGCCACAGCTCTTGGTCTTTCTACAACTTACTTTTTTTCTGAGACAGGGACTCATTCTGTCACCCAGGCTGGAGTGCAGTGGTGCAATCATGGCTCAGTGCAGCCTCAACCTCCCAGGCTCGTGATCCTCCCACCTCGGCCTCCCGAGCAGCTGGGATTACAGGTGTGTACCACCATGCCTATCTTGCTATGTTGCCCAGGCTGGTCTCCAACTCCCAGGCTCAAGCGATCCTCCTGCCTCAGATTCCCGAGTAGCTTCTAGAGATTTATTAAACACCTACTGTGGGCCAGTGGTGCTCTGGGCCCTAGGGATACAGGAACAAACAGAACCCTGGGACCCGGTTTGACAGAGCTGACTTCCTGGTGGGGGAGAGCCCCATGGAGCTGGGGTCTGAAGGCAGGAAGTAGCCTGAGAGGGCAGAGCCGAGAAGGAAAGCGCCCCACAGAGAGGTGCCCCACAGACAAAGAGGTACCCCAGAGAGAGAGGCGCCCCGCAGAGAGGCGCCCCCAGGGTGGAAACAGGACCGGAGGCCATCTCCAGTTCTGAAATCAGACAGACCAGGAGGAACCACCTGGGTGGGCGGTGGCTTTTCTCGCAGAGCGAACGGCACATACTAAGGCTGTGAAGCAGGCAGCAGGGAGCGCCCCGAGTCCCAGGGACCTGGGGCGTTGGGGGGTCAACCACATAAGGGACTGGGCCTTCACCCCAAGAGCAGAGAAAAGGCAAAGGGGCCTTTGAAAAGAGCACTTTGGCTGCAGGGTGGGGAGCAAGTGGGGAAGTCCAAGGACCCCCAAGGAGCCTGGTGCGCTTCTTCAGCAGGATGCATGGATGGACGGACGGGGAAGGGAAAGGAAGGAGGGCTCAAGCCCGGCTCCTGGGTTCTCAGCGGGGCTGAATCCTGACGGAGACCCCACAGCACACAGGAACCGCCCCAAACAAGAGGAGAAGCAGTGAAGCAATTACTGGCTGAGCACATTCTGTGAAGTCTGTTTTGCATATGGGAAAACAGGCCCACAGGGGAGCAGGAATTTGCTGGAAGGCCACTGTCAGGCTGGGGCTAAAACCCAGGTCTCTAGTCTCCTGGCCCCACCACAGTCCACGGTGAGGCAGACTGAGTGGAGTAAGACCGTGAGGCAGCTCAGGCTGCCCTGCACGGTGCGGAGAGCTCAGCTGCAGCCTGCTGGGGCCCAGGAGGTTCCTCGGGGCCTGCTTCTTCTCTACCACCGCCTTTCTCCGGCCAGAGTCCTCTGAGTTCCACTGCAGCTTGGGTCTCAGTGCCCTGGGACCGCCCTTCCCCCTGCCCCCAGCCCAGGTGGGGTCTGTACAAGGCCCATAGTGTCTGCAGGACAGACAGGTTTGTCCTCGGCAAGGTAAACGAAGTTGTTTGGAGCCCTGCCTACTTTCAAAAATGAGGCCACTGTGGCAGCAGAGGCATCCATGGGCACTGCGCCCCAGTTATCCCCGCCACTGGGGCTGTGCCTGCTGGCTGCCAGCAGCTGTGTGTCCCTCCTGGCCCTGCCTCAAGGGGCTCACCAGATACTTGGTCCTGGCACCGTGCGTCTTCACAGCCCTCTGACCAGCCAAGGTCTCTAGCACTACCTGGAGAGAGGGAAGAGGGAGAGCATGGCAGTGGCCTTGGCAGGGAAGAGGCCTCTGGTGTGGACATGGATTGGGCCTGACAAGGGTGTGGACAAAGGCAGAGCCAGATGTTATGGGACTGAAGCTCGGGCAACTCGGAGAGCCCACTTGAAGACAAATTACAAACACACAGTTAGGTGCAGGGTGAGGAGGAGGGCCTCGGAGGGAGGGGGACCCTGGAGCTGCAGCCTCCTGGGGTCTTGGCAGATGGCCCCTGGCCCGCAGTGCACTCTGCAGCCCCCACCTCTGCCTGCCTGTGGCTTCTCCTCCTCTGAGCCAGCAGAGGGGTCAGTGGCTCACCACCCCAAAGCTGAAGGTGTCCGTGTCCACAGCCAGCCTTCCCGTCTTGATGTACTCCTCGGGCAGGTAGGCCAGGGTGCCCCGCACTGTCTGTGTCCGGGCCACCATGCTGCTCTGGCTGGGGCTGGACCCGGCAAAGCGGCTGAACCGGGCCAGGCCAAAGTCTCCCAGCTTGGGTGTCAGCCTCTCATCCAGAAGGACGTTGGAACTTGGGGAGAGAAGACAGTGGCGTCAGCCCGGTCCTAGCTCCTACACCTGCCCGGCTTAGATAAGGCTGGACTCGAGGCTGCCAGCCCGGTGCCTTGCCCACAGAAAGCGCTGGCACTGCCCTGAGCGCTCCAGCTGCCTGGGGGCCTCTGCTCATCAGTAGGGCCCATCCTTGGCCCGTTCCCACACCTGTGCGATGCCGGGGTGTTGAGGTCCCAGGCCATGCCTGATCCCCACATTGATAGGACGCGGGGCCCCCCTTGCTGCAGGCCCTGCCCCGGCAGTTCTCAAGGGCCCCTCCTCACCTCTTGATGTCTCCATGGATGAGGCTGGGGCTGTCCTGATGTAGAAACTGAATTGCCCGGGCTGTACCCAGAAGGATGTCCAGTCGCTGAGGCCAGGAGAGAGGTGGGCAGGCCTGGGTCTGGGGTGGCAAAGGGGGACAGGGGAGGTTGCTGGATGGCCGTTCCTTGATCCCAACCATCCTTCTACCTGTCACCGTGCAGCCTGGAACAGCCACTTCACTCTCTAGGCCTCAGTTTCCCCCTTCTGGAAAACGAGGAGCAAAGTCTCCGTGACCTGCACTTCTTAAGCAATGGCTGGGGACACGTTCAATAGAATCTGCTGGGCTTCGGCTCCCAGGGCTCATCCCTTTGTCCCTGGTGGTCGGGAAGTCCTTGAAGGCATTCTTCCCGCTCTCCCCAAACGCAGCATGCAGGAGGAGGCAAGGGGGCCCTCCCTCAGCTGTAGGTGGTCCAGCTGGTAGCCCCAGACCCCCTCGCCTCCGGGGCTTGCTGATGAGACCCTCCAGCTACGCTGCTTGCAAAGGGGAGAGGCCTGGGAAAGAGCTCTATAGAAAACATTGGGTCGGGCCAGGCGTGGTGGCTCACGCCTGTAATCCCAGCACTTTGGGAGGCTGAGGCGCGCAGACCACCTGGGGTCAGGAGTTCGAGACTAGCCTGGCCAATGTGGCAAAACCTCATCTCTACTAAAAATACAAAAATTAGGCAGGTGTGGTGGTGCATGCCTGTAGTCCCAGCTACTCGGGAGGCTGCGGCAGGAGGATCGCCTGAACCCGGGAGGTGGAGGTTGTGGTGAGCTGAGATCACACCACTGCACTCCAGCCTGGATGACAGAGCAAGACTCCACCTCAAAAAAAAAAAAAAAAAAAAAAAAAAAAAAATTGACCCCACCGTGGGCCAAATCCTGAGCCGGGTGCTGCTGGGGAGCTGGAAGTGCAGGCCTGGCCTGCTGGCAGGACCCACTCACACAGGCTGAAAGCCCTAGGCCCCGCGCCCGGCTCCAGCCAGGTGTCAGGAGTGCTTTGGGTCCTGGGAAGCGTGCCGGGCCAGGTGAGCCTACCTGGCAGTGGAGACGGTCCTCCAGGGAGCCGTTGGGCAGGAAGCCGTACACCAGGCAGTAGAAGCCGTTCTGAGCACAGTAGCCAGCAAAGTCCACAATGTTTGGGTGACGAAACCTGTTTGAAAAAGGGGAGCACTTTCCATCAGGCCAGACTGGGTGGGCAGCCCTGGCTGGGGCCTCAGCTCGCCCGGGCCTGCCAGGCCTCAGGTGCCCAAGGGAGCCAGGTCCTGTGGTGTGCGGTCTGAAGCCCCACGGGACCTGGTGTGGCTCCCCCTCTGGCCTCACCTGGACAGCTGCTCCACCTCGGTCAGGAAGCTCTGCTTCACTGCAGTCCACTCCAGGTCAGCGTTCTGCAGCCCCCAGGGTGCGGTGGGGGAAGGGGCAGGGAAGACGGGCAGCGTGAGGCTCTCGAAGCGAAGGCCTTCGGGCCACCAGTGCCACCTACCCGAGGCCCAGAACCACCAAGGGGCCAGGGACCCTACGCCAGAATGAGGGCTGAAGGAGTTGTGTGGGGAAGCGAGGGGGAAAGGCTGGAGAAGTGGTGAGGGTTATCTGATGGCCTTCCAGGGTCCCTGCCAGGGTGCGACACTCACCTCCTTCAGCCTCTTCACAGCATACACCGTGTTCCTCATCACCGCCCGGTACACGCACCCAAAGCCACCCTCCCCGATCTTGAGCTCCTCCGAGAAGTTGTGGGTGCCCCGGGAAATCTCACAGAGGGGCCAGCAAAACGGAAAGGGGCGGGCTCCCTGCAGGAGGGACACTGAGCTCTCTGGGCCTGGCTGTGGGAAGAGAGCCTGGATCAGGTGGGGTCCCTGTCTCTTCCCTTCTGCCCAAGGCTCCAGGCTCTCCCCACCACAGCTGCCTCCCAGCTGACCCAGCTTGGCTGACTGGGGCTCTGCGCTACATCAAAGGCTGAATTCCTTCCTCCTTGTCTCGAATCTTCCCTGGGGGGCAGGGGACACCTACCTTGGTAGAAGAAGGGGCTGGAGATGGCGGTGGAGGCCACAGGGAAGCAGGGCTTGGGACCAGGCCGAGCTCAGGCCCTGAATGGGTCTGGGAGCCTGGAAAAGCTTCATAAAGACACCAGTGAGAGGCAGGCAGAGACCAGCAGCAGGGTCTACAGCCGTGGCCGTGGTCAAGGTGGGCTCTTCTTTGGGTCCACCGAGCCTAACAACCGGGCCCTCTTACCTGGGGAGAGGAAGGTGGAGGCTGAGGATGGCAACTTCCGGGGGCTCCAGGCCTCGGCCTCGGCGGGTGCAGGGATGCTGCTGGGCCTCGGGGCAGTGGTGCCTGGGGACGGAAGCGGGGCGGGAGGGTGCCCTGGGACGCCAAGGAAGGAAAGGAAGGTTGAGGCCCGGGTGGGGGAGCCCCGTGGGGCCCGCCGGCCTCCCAGCCGTGGGGTGCCCGGAGTCCCGCGCTCACAGGCTGTGATGATGTCCCGCGCACGGAGCAGCTGCAGGTGCGTGAGGATGTGCACGAGGTCGGCCACACGGGCGTTGCGGTTGATCCAGGGCCACAGGACGCTGGCCGTGCGCTGCCCGGAGCGCTCGCACAGCCGCAGCTCGGTCTGGTCGCGCACGATCAGGGCGGCTGCGGGGCGGGGGGCGTCAGGCGTCGGCGCCAGGAGCCCGCGCGCCTCCCGCCCCCCGGCAGCCCGCCGCCACCCACCGAACTGGCACCAGTCGGCGGGCTCCAGGGCGTCCATCACTTTGTAGAAGCGGCACATGACCCAGGGCGGCACCTCGTACAAGAAGTGCTGGGCGCCGGGGGCTGCGGGCTCCCCCGGGCCCGGCCCCCCGGCCATGGCTGCCGCCGCCGGGCCGGGACCTGCCGGGGCCTCTCAGGGCCGCGGCGGGCGCGGGCCTGGGCCGGCCGGGTCCGCGGACACTGACTCACTTCCCCTTCGAGCCGGCCTCGTGCGACGCCCGGCGGGGCGGAAGGGGCGGTGCCCGGGCCCGCCGCCATCTTGCGCGCCGCGGCCGCGCGCTGGGTCACACGGGGGCGCCCCGCGCCGGGGAGGGCCCGGGTCCCGGCGGGTTCCGCGAGCGGCGATCGGCCTCCCGGGCTCGCCCGGGCGGGGCTCTGGAGGACGAACGGCGGCTCCCGGCGTTGGGGACAGAGGGCAGGGCGGAGGCCCGGGCTGCTCGGAAAGGGGCCGGGGCCGGGCCTTCCGAAAGCTCCTGGGCGGCCCTGCCGGAACCCTGCTCTCCACTGCGGCCTGCAGGGCTGTTACCAGGAGCCCTGCCTGCCCGCCCCACGTCTAGCCCCCTGCACACGGCAGCAGCCTTGAGCCATTCAGTCTCCTTAGGTGTCCTGAAATATGCCGAGAACGCTGCCCGCCACAGCCGTGAGTGTATGCGTTGCTGCTGCCCCAGCCCTCATTTGGCAAGGGTGAGCTCAGGCAGCTGTGGTGAAGGCTTCCTGAGCCCGCCGGCAGAGCTCCTGCCACCCCGTACCTGTCCCCTCCTGGGCATCGTCCTTGATTACTTGTCTGGACCGCCACCCCCGGTCCCCGCCCTGAGATGGGGAAGACCCCACAAGCAGCAACGCAGACTTACTCTTTTGTTTCTCCAGCTGGATGTCTCCTCCAGCGACAGTTCCCCTTGCCCTCTTGATCCTGACAGCGAAGGGGTTCCCCACCCCTAGCCCTACAGACTTAGGACTTTTCCTAGAAACGAGAAGTGCCCAAGGCCCACAGCTGGCCCCTGTTGGAGTCTCTTTCCTGAAGCCACCACCACTGTGGCCACTCCCAAGGAAGATGCCAACCATACCATGAAACCCATGGCTTCTCACGGGACAGACTTTACTGAGATGTACCAACTCAAGTATCTGAAATGACTGCACACCCATGCTAACCTCCACGGGGGCACTTGGTCCTACTTACACACAAAGGCCCATCAGCTCACGGAACAGGGCTGGCATACGAGATGCTCAATGCATACAAGTTGACTTTTCAACCCTGGGATCTACCTTTGAAGGCCAGGCCTTCCGAGGGTACCTTCTAGCATGTGCATGTGAAGCTGGACTCCTTTGAGCAGTTGTCTCCTCCAGCCCCTTACCAACCTGGTGAGGCTGCTCCTGAGAGCCAAGGAAGCCAGTAACAAGGGGGCCCCCTTTGGGCAAACCCCTCAGCCTGCCCTTGCCTGGTCAGAGAACCACGTTAGCAGTCAACAGAGGGCACGTGAGGGTCCTGGCCAGAATGAGACACAGGAGGAGCCACAGCCTGCGGGGGTGGGGGTGTCCAAAAGCACCACAGCACATCCAGACCTAGGGGGTGCCCCTACCATACGGGTCTGGAGCAGGGAGGTTGTGCTGCAGGCTGACTCATGCCAGGCCCTTCCCGTCACACGCTGGAGCAGTGTGCCTGGAGAGCACTGGCTTGGAAGAAGCTGAGGGGCCAGCGAGGCCAGCATATGGAGGAGGCTTCCCTTGGCCGCTCGTGGCAGGCCTGAAGGCAGCTACCTGTGTCCAGGGACAGCCAGATCCAATGAGGAAACGCAGCACCATGCTGTCATGTGAGCTGGAGGGGGACTTCTGTCTTATAATGAAAGCCCAGACCTTGAGTCACTTTCACAGAGAGATTTATCGAGAATGCTAACAGCACAGGATACAGTACTTCCCAACAAAAGGTGCAAACGCGTCACTTAGAAAGGCATGCTGAGTATTCTTTGCTTTCACATGTATTAAAAAACTTACAAAAATAAAATAAAACTGCGTGCTGCCCATCTTTTCCAATAGTAAAAGAACCTTATGAAAAAATCACTTGATTTTTACAACAAAAGACACAAACGGACATTTTTATGTAAATTTATAAGGCAAACTCTTTATATAATAAATAGGTTACAGGGATTCAGTGGGGGGGGGGTGTTTTTGAAACGTATACAGGTACATTCAGACAGGTTTACTGAAATGGTACAAATTTCCTTAATAAATTGCCTTTTGTTTTTAAATATATCAGTGCTTTCAGTCATTTGGCTATACACAAAGAACCTTTTTTCTGAACACTACAAAAAAGCAATCAATAATTTTTGTTTTTAAAACGACCTACTTATTTTCTAAAGTAATTGTCCCAAAACACAAAAACTGAAGGTGAATACGATACAGGGCTTTTAGAGACATCTCCAGCTAAGTGTGTCCCGGCCTCTCCCTGTGCCCCAAGTGCACCTCTCCCAACCTCAGACAGGTTTCCAGGCTGGAGCCAGCTCCCTTCTGCACAGGGTGGCCTGTGTTACTGGCAATGCTGTCCATAGCTCTCGGCCTCTGGGCTGGCACAGGGGAGCATGACTTCAACTCAGGAGGGGGCAGACACCCTGCCTAGCTCTTCCAGATGCTGCACCCGGCATGCAATGGTCACTACAGTCAGCACTCTCCGCCTCTCAGAGGAGGGAGGGGCTGTCAGGTGTTTTGGGAGCCCAAAACCATGCCTAATGAGGGTAATGGCTTTTCTAAGGAGATGTTTTCGCCATGGAATGGGAAGGGGTTTTCTCACATCTAAGTTTTGCTGGCGATCGGGTGACAGCCAAGAGAGTGCAAGCCCCCTCCATGGTCATTTTATTGCCCTGGGAAGGGGAGGGTGGGGAATAGAGATGTCACAGTGTTGAGCCCTGGAGGATGGGGTGGGATGTGACGGAAGTGTCTTAAACAGTAATGCCCACGGGGCACACCTTGGAGAGAGAATGCCCACCACCTGGCCTGTCCAGGAAGAGCTGCATCTGCCAACATTAGCCTGACCTGTGCCCACAGCAGAGCGTCCCAGCCTCCTGCTTGGGTGGGCCCAGCCCCATTCTCCCCAGCTCTTCAGCTCTGCACACACACATCCCCTCCTGGCTCCCCTCAAGGAAACATCAATCTTGCCTTTCCTTAAAAGCACGGGATGGTGGTAATAATCTCGGGGGGAGGGGAAGCAAAACAAGAATCCACTGGGCGGAACAAAACCTGGTTTTGCAGTGACTTGGAAAGTGGCAACACATCAGCTATTCGGCTTGCTGGCTTGGAGTGGGACTCCTGGGCTCCACTGCTTTGGGTGGCTTCTGGCTGATCTGGGCAGGGGTCATCTGTTCAGCTCTCCCCTCTCATCTCAGTCACCATCCCCCTCCCTCCGAATGCTTTTGTTTGTAAAGAAAAAGTGTCTAGAAATATTTGTCTCTGGAACAATTACTTTAAACATAGTTACAATACAGACTTCAGTTCAAACACAGAAGAGATTTACTTAGCAAAATTCCTTTCACCCACCAAAAATTACACAAATATAAGCCTCAACACCACAGTTAAGAGGACCAGTAGAGAGAACCTCATGTTTGGAACACAAAAGGAGAAATAAAAACCAAACCAAACCCAAACAGAAAAACCCCAGAAAGACAAGTAAAGGGCAAAGAAGGAAGGGGAAGGGGAGCAAACACAGCACACGTTACAGTGTCCAGATACACGGGAGCCCAGCATGGGCAAGGGCTCGGCACACATTGAGTAACAGTCCTGGTGATATTTGGTCATATATTCATTGACTACTGACTCTGGAGCGGCTGTTATTGATTGAAGCAGTGACAAATCAAACGGAAAGGAGGCCGTGGTAGCAAGGGAAGGAGCAGGCTTCAAGTTCTGCAAGCCTTTTGCACTCCACTGTCCAGCTCCCCAGAAACACTGAACCGGGTGGGCCCCGCTCCATCCGGGCAGGGCTAGAGGTCACCGGGTGAGGCTAACTCGGGCGTCGATTTCATGTCAGTCAGAAAACACGCACGTGGACGCACGCAGACACCCACCTGTTCACGGCCAAACATCAGCGGCAACGGCCTCCTCGCCTCCTCTGCCCCTATCCCAGGCTGGGTGGGAAAGAGCATCATGACCCACTGCTAACACTGAACACACGCCGGAGCTGGCCCCGGATGTGGGCCCAGAGGCTGCCCCAGCCCTGGTCCTCCGAAGGGCTCACGGGTAGCCCGGCCACTGAAAGGGCCTATGGCTGTTTTTCTTTTGGATTCAGGCCTCAGAAGAAGCAATGACAGCAGGGAGGGAAGCTTTTGGCCCTGGTGATTATAATGCTCTCTGCTTTGGAAGAACAAGTTTCTGGATTTTTTTGGTGTTTCTAATTATTAAAAAAAGATGATCAAAAAGAACTGTTACAGCTAAACTCTCTAGCAGATATTGCTCATTAAGAATTACAAAAGCAAATGCAATTACTCGTAGGATGGGGGAGAAGAAAGGGACATTTCTGGAGTCTTCACTACTCCTGGAGGGGACCCCTTGGACTGACGCACATGATTCTGGGGTCCCTGGCGTTCTACCTGGTGCAGCTCACAGGTTCCGAGACAGGCCAGGCCTCCCGTCTCCGCTCCAGCCCCCAGGCTCGACAGAGTGGGAAGGATGAAACACACTCGGACCCTACTGGCAGGGAGGCCTGCGAGGCTGACTCCACATGGGCTCACCCTGACCAGGTCACGGGAAGGGGACTGGGGGAGTCAGGCCACCCCAGTGGACTCCAGCTCCCAGAGGTGGAAGGCGACCAGGCTGTGCCGACTACGTTCCGGACTTCAGCAGGTCAAGGGAGCGCTCCTGCACCCAGAACCTTGGGACCTCTTTCACAAGCACGGGAGAAACAAGAGTGCAAAACCTGGGTGCTGCCTGGAGCCTCCTTCACCTGGCACAGGAAAGCCCTTGAAAGAAGCGAGGAAAAGACCACGAATCTGCTTGGACAGAAGAAGTGACCAGCAGACAGATTTGTCGTTTTTTTTTCTTTTTTTTCTTTTTTTATTTTCCCTTGTCCTATGCTATGGTTATCAGAAATATTGTAATTAAGCAACAGGTATAATTTTAACAGGTCTTTTTTTGTGTGTGTGGAGCCACAAGCAAAATGAGTTTATAATTGTGCAATATACAGATATATATATAAAAATTCAACTGCTTTGTGTGTCTAGTCGGTGCGTTAAATAAAAGGGACAGAAAAACTAAAAGCAAAACTAAAAAGCAAAACAAAAGCCCAGGATAGAGGAGACAAAGCAGGCCTATGCGCACAGTCTATGTGTTACTGGATATAATCAGGGTCACCAGGAAGAACAGCTTTGCCACTTGACACACAAACACTGCGGGGAGAGGGGCTATCAGTGGGCAGGAGCCAAACCTCTTGGCCTTTTCACCTCATCTGCTCTCACTGCTGAGCAGGACCTGATTAAAGGTAGGACAGAATGGGGGTTTGGGGGCAAAGAGATTTCCAAATTCCCCAAATGTTCTTGAATTCAAAGGTAGGATTTCCTCCAGGGTCTGGGCTCTGCCTGTGCACAAGTCGGAGCCCGGAGCGGGAGCTGGGGGTTGTGCTCCCTCCTTGCACTGCCCTCACACCTGCTTCCTTCTGCCTCCTGACAGGGCAGGCAGGGGGCCTTGGGGAGGCAGTGAGAGGCCAGCTCAGAAGGCTCAGCTGATCCGAGGCGAGCAGAGCAGGAGTGGGCAAGGCAGGCTGCCCCTCAGGCAGAAGTGCCTTCCTAGTTCCCTGGGTGTTTTCCTGACACGTCAGCGCTGGGGCAGGCTCTGTCAAGATGAGAAGAGTGGGAAGGAGGGTGGTGCTGGGCCTTCCAGGTCACTGGTGAACGCTCCACCTTCCATACCACTCCCAAAAGACAGGTTCAGAAGCCATGTCCTCAGGTCGGCTACCTCCAGATTCCCCTTGCCTGTAATGCTCACCAGGCATCTCAGGCCAAGTGCTAAGTATTTTTAGATCAGCACTGTTGTAAAAGCTTGCTCGTATTCATTCAAAAACATCGAAATGTAATTTTCTGCCAAATGTTTTCTAGGTTTTCCTTCTAAATTGTTGAGAACTGACTTCAGTGTTCAGCTTTTCCCCTCTAATATGTAATTTTAGACCCTGGGGGAGGCAGTATCCTAACGATTTATAACAAGTAGACTATGCCTTTTCTAAAGATTGATACAATATCTAAAAGAGAAAGACACCAAAATGGAGAGAATCAACAAATCCCGTCAGAGCAGAGAGAAGAGTAGGAAGACCCGGAGGGAGCAGGGCTCTGCCCCCCCACCGGGCAGGTCCTCCAGACCCACTCCATGGTAGGAACTCTAGAAACAGCTGACTCCCTGAAGTCTAGGACACAGGTCCTAGAATCTGCAGGTGTGAACTTGAAACAGGAATCCATTTGGGGCAATGACACAGGCTAAAAATGTATATGCCCAAAGATCTTCTTAAAGAACTGGTACCTGTAACCTCCCCTGGCCCAGTCAGCCCAGAGAGCCTGACTGGAATGCTCTGGAAAAGGAGCTGTGGTTAGACGGGGGACACAGAGTTCTGGCTGTCAGGCTCCACTTGGGCTAAACCAATTCCAGATGGTCCCGCGCAGGGGACTCCGCTCGTATCCCTCTGCTCCCTCCTGGGCTTGAGCCGCTTACTAAGTGATTTAAAATTCAGAGATTCTGTCAGCTAAAGAAACTCCTTTCTCCACCCAACTTGGCAGTTTGTGTCTGGTTATTACCCTCTTTCGCCATCACTGTCACAGCAATGAAAAGCTGGGCAGAGAAGCAGGTGACAATTTGGGGCTGCTCCCTGTCCCAGGTGCACTGTTCATGCTTCGGGCCTGGAATGATGCCACCCAACAGAAGATTGTCTGCACCCGCACTGGCGCTCACGAGTAGCAGCTTCCGCCATCCAGCGAGCTGAGAAGCTGGGGCCGTTGGCTAGTTTGGCACTGATGGATTGGGGGATGTGGCGTTTCTGGGTGTCCCCTGTGTCTTTTGATATGGGAATACAGCATCAACAGAAGGGAGCTGTGCTAGCGCCTGGCTGTGACCAAGTATCTCCAGCTCACTGAGCTGTCAAGACCGGCAATCCCACTGGCTATGACAAGCCCACCAGCAGGCAGGGCCGGGAGGGGTAGACCTGGGGGGAGCTCGACGACATACAGTATTGTCAGGAGAGGAGGTAGTAACTAACAACTGGAACAAGGGTGGGGGAGACTGTGGATGTGGCCTTAATGACCTAGCCCCATGGGTACTGGAAAGCTGTCGGTCAATTCTGCTGTTCACAAATTCACTGAAAGAGGCCCCCATCTTCATAATGTTCAAGTACAGACAAAATTGAAATTGAGGTCACACCCCAAAACTGGGCCGGACACAGCTGGTGAGAATCCTGCAGCTTAAGGCTTTCCCTCCAACCTCCTGTCAACCTGACCCCAAGGCAGGGGCAGCATGAGAGCTGCAGGGCCCCTGCCTGCCAGGGCGATAAACCGCCAAGGCTGCCTGCTGAAAGGCGACTGACTCGTGATGCCTTTGGGAAAGACGAGGGAATGAGGAAGAAAGGGGGAAATAGAGAGAAAACCCTAAGGAGCCTCAGGCCCCACTGGCAGCTCTGGAATAAACTGGAAGGGAAAGAGGCTGGGCAACTGCCTCTTTGAGGGAGCTGCAGGTGGGGCCCGAATGAAATAAAGTGACGCTTGAAATGCTGTGTTCCCAACCACGACTGCCCCATCGGCCCTGAATGAACTGTCATGGGTGACAGGGGGGCCTGGTGGGCCACGCACTCCTCTTACCAGGACCAGATGACGCCCAGGTGACGGGGAAGCAGCTCTGGACAATGATTCCAGAAGCCACATTACATTTGACTAAGTATAATACATAAAAACCCAACTGACCAAAATAAACATCTTCTCAGTGACAACCTGGTCGGATGCTGCGCTCTCGTGGATAAGTGTCCTTTGGTAGTGCCAGGAGTTCGAGGCCACTATGGGGGCAGGAGCCTTCTGTCCTTGGAGGAAGAGTTCTGGAGGACTCACCCTCTCTTCTGACCCCCCTTCCCTTCCTGGGGAAGAGTCAGAAGTGAAGCTGGGGGGGTCATCAGCAGAGCAGGTGGAAGGGATCAGGGATCAGGGATTGGGCTGATGGGAGTTTGGTTGCAGGACTTGCTTTTACAGCATAAGGAAATGGACACATATATGCTAGAAAGTCCAACTATGAGACTCTACAAACAGAACGGGGCAAACTCCCTCACTTCTAACCATTCCAGAAGAGACAAACACGGTTTTTTCTTAAGCTACTGATTGGAACTGTCAACTATGGTTCCTGATCACTAAAGACTGGCAAGGAAGTGCTAGACAGTTTCTATGATGTTTCACTCCTTCATGATTACACCATAGTAAGGAAGCCAGGGACAATAACTGAAATACACAAGACAACACACACTTGACAGTTCATGGCAGCAGCTCACATGGGACATGCCTGTGGGTGTTTCTGGAAGCATAAGACTGCTGTCTCATTTGCTACTTTGATAAGGTACTTCTCAGTTGGACAGATTTAGATATAAGAGACATCTCTGTAAACACAGAAAAGGATATACCAATATGATGAAGATATGCAGCTAGATAAGGACTTCCTGAACAGAGGTTAAAAAGATGGGATCCCACATGAAAACTGATCAATTAAAAACCCACAGCAAGCCCATGCCTCTAAGCCCCTACACCACAGCTATGGACCAGACAGACAGTGAAATGTGTGGTGTTCTGGCCCCCTGTCTGCATCGAGCAAAAGCAAAACATTGCCATTCAAGAAGAACTCCGAGGGAAAAGGGGGAGCAGAGGAAGGGCTGGGGACCCAGGTACTGGTCCCAGCTCGGGTCTTGGGAGTTCTGCATTGGTACCGCTACTGCCCTGCTGCACTACGCTAGACTCTGGACTTCTGAGTGAGGTCAAGGTCGGCTGGCATGGAGCCCCTGTTGGGCCACTCGATGACTGGCAGGCCACAGGAGGCCTCTGTGCTTTCCTCAACTACCAAATCGGGCCCAGCTCCTCCAGTCCACTTCTCTAGAGTAGAAGGGTGAAAAGGCTCGTTGTTCAGGGTGGGAAATGCCTTTTGCTTTTTCTTACCAGGGAAGAGGGGGCTACCTAGGAGAGCAAGACCTTGCTGCTCTCTTGCTCTTCACAGACAGGCCAGGTCGGACTCAGCAGAGCCCAAGGCCTCCTCAGGGCTCAAAACAGGGTGGGGCTGGTACTGGCAGCAGGAGGACAAAGGGCAGGCAGAGTTCTGGGGACTGGAGCCGACAAGTGTGGTTGGGCACCGCGGCTGCCTGGAAGAGAAGGGATGAACTAGGAAGGAGGAGGATGGAGGAAGGGAAAGAAGTGAAAGGATGAAATGAACAAAAGGCAGAAATGGAAGGGGAGAAGAGAAACCAATCAGGAAGTCCTTATAAAATTGCAGCAAACACTTAGAGTTTCGGAGCTTCGTGGGAACCCTATGTGCTGAGCCCACTTTAAAACAAGCGCAGGTATATATACAAATCCAGGTAGTTCTCAACACTGTCACATCTGGTGGCTTGAGGGACTAAATGTCACCAATTCAAGCCAGTTTGCTCTCAGAGCATCTGTTTGTTTTGAAGTGGGAACATGAAGACTCAATAGTGCAAATAATTCTAAGCTGTCCCTAAAGGAGAATTGGAAAGTAACTGGAAGAACATTTTCTTCTCCTCCCCCTTTGCCCCCTCCCCTGTCCACTAAGTCACAGACTGCTCTGAGTGATTAGGAATCCCTCTCACCCCGCTGTGCTCTGCCCGGCCTGACCCCAGGCCAGCCTGCCTGCACCTTGTCCTACTGCCTCCATGGCCTCTAGCGCCACCCGTTGGAGGACGTCCCTTGAGAATGGACCATGCCACCTCACCCTGGGCCATCCTCTCCTGTGGTTCAGGCCAGTCTACACCCAGTAGTTCAAGGGACTCCCCCCTCCTAGCCATGCCAGAGCTGGAGCAGACAGGTGCCACTTTCCTGTCCTGTGAAGCGTCCTTGCCAGTTTTGGATTGGGGCTGGTGTGGGGCCAGACTTGAGCCACCACGGGTGGGATCGCACAGGCCATAGCCACTGGTCATATCCATCTTCTCTAAAGAATCCAACTGTCTCTCCTGCCTCACACCTCCCTGTCCCAACGTGGTTGGGAGTGGGGGAGGTGGGGGGAGCTGGGGGAGCTGTAGACGGGGCACTGATGGCACCGAAAACGGGAGTGTCCTCTCAACTGCTCTGTCGCTCTGTCTCTAACGACCACATGGGGGAAAGGTTTGGGCGGGAGGGGAGGTGCCTGGTCAACAGCTTGTCTGGTCAGTAGTATCTGCAGCAAGCCTTGTTGAAGGAGCCTAGTTTAGAAAAGTGCAAAGCTACTTCTGGCCCTGGTTAGGTCTTCAACCTGACTGTGCTTGTCGGTAAGAAAAACATCCCCAATGCTCCAACTACTCCCACCCTGAAGCCACGAAACTCTAAGTTTACTGAAAGAAAAAAAAATATTTTTTATTTCAGTTAATCGGGAAGCTTTGTCAGAGCCCTACCCATAAGGAGAAGAGACAACAGCTGCCTTTATTCTTGTTGGTTTGCTTTGCAATCCGCTCCGTGTAAAGTCAGCTAACTCTCTCGGTCACGGGCGTCCGGCTGTCCACAGGCTCCTCTCTGTTTGGCCTTGGCATGGAGGATGAAACAATGTCTTTGCGCTCTCCCTCCCCTCGGTGTTTGTACTTTTCTGCGGCCGTGGCGGCGGTGGCAACCGCGGGCTGAGTCTTAGCTGGCTCCTTGGGGCAGCCGTCGCTCTCCAGTGAGCCTCCTCTGGGCATCTTCTCCTCTTTGCAGACGCTGCTGCTCAAGTCCTGGGGCTCAGGGGGGCTGGTGGGGTCCTCGGAGCTCTCGGGCTCAGGTGGAGGTGGGGGCAGGGGTGGGAGCAGTGGCACGGGGGCCTTTGGGGACTCTGAGTGGTGGTGATGGTGGTGGTGCTCCTTCTTGGGGGGTGAGGAGGCGCTGCTGCTGCGCCCCTTGGGGCTGCTCTCCTTGCTTTTCCGCCCAGGGCTCTTACAGGTCTTCAGTCCTTTCCCGCTCTTCTCACCGAGGGTGGACACCAGCAGGGGCTTCACCACTTCCTTGACCTCGATGCTGACCGTCTCCCGGGTCTTGCGCTTCTTGATGGGGAGTACGGTCTCCTGCACAGATCGGATAGAAGACTCCTTCACGGCTTTCTTTTTGGCCTCGGCGGCAGCGGCTGCCACCACACTCCCCGGCTTTCGGCCCCGTTTCTTGGGAATGGCCTGAGGGTCGGCCTCAGCTTTTCGCTTCCTGCCGGGGCGTTTGATCACCATGACCTGGGTGGATGTGGTGGCCCCACCCCCCTCAGCCTTGCCCCCTGGCGAAGTTTGAAAAGGCATCTTGACAAGGAGCTTCCCAGGACTTTTCTCCAGGACCCTTTTCACCTGCACACCCTCTGACGTGGCCGCCTTGGGTCTCGTGGTGCCGCTCCCTTTGGGGCGTCCCCGGCCTCTGCCAGTTCCTGGAGCTTTGGGAGATTTGGGCTTCTTAGGTGGTTTCTGCTCTCGCCGGGAGGGGCTCCCTCTCCCAGTTACCGTGAAGTCAAAATCATTAGGGTCCAGGGATGTGTCGCCTACCTTTTCGAAGTACGCAATCAACTCCACTTTAGAGCGAAAGGCTTTTCCCTGGGGACTGTGGGGACAAACAGAAAGACACAAGGAACAATTAGAGGCTCTCCATAGCAATGTCAGAGATAGGGCAGAGCGGATGGTGGTGACAACGCTCTGACAAACGTTACTATTGAACGAGAGTCACACTGCCTGGCTGCCCCTGAGGACCTGTCACCAAAGCCACTCACTCGTCTGCCTGCCGCTGACCCCCCCAGGCCTCTCCAAAGTTCAGCAACCAAAGAGTCAGGCCTGGTACAGAAGGGTTGTCAGGCTGAGGCCCATTCTGCTGGTTGGTGCCTGGGCCTGAGTCACCATCTAGAACATTCCCAAGTTTGAACTCAGGTACGGTGCTCAGTCTCTCCAGGAATCAGTTTCAACAAGATAATCCTTTGCTCACCCTTCTCATGGAATTAAATGAGGCTGTCTGCAAATGTCATTTGAAAACTGCTAACCTTTTTGGGATCATTTAAAAGGCAGAACTGAAACATGCTTCTTCACCCCTCTGAACCCCTAGCTCTGCAAGTTCCTCTGCTTCCGCAGCTATTCCATCCCCAGATAAAGACTTGAGGTGTGGAGAGGATAGAGGGCCTGCTACCTTGAGAACTTCCCACTCAGGGCAGCGACCTCTGTACACGGTCATTTCAAGCACACCTGGTCTCAGTGTTCATTGTTTATGTTCCCCCCGACCCCACCCTGGGCACATACATTTTCCTGCTCCATGAGGGATCCTTGTCCCTGCCCTCCCTGCCCTGTAGAGATAGGAGTTGCTCTTACTTACTTGATCAAATACACATCATACTTCCCAGCAGAGCGGCCAGATTTCCTTTGCTTAAGCTTCCGTGTCCAGCCTTCAGGCAGGGTGGGGTCATCATACATGGGTCCCCGGTCACGGATGATGGAGCGCCGCTGTTTGGGGGAGGCAGAAGCTTCCGGCACAGCCGGGGCGGAGCCTGACCCTTCTGATGTCTCTGCTTTGCCTGCCTCTGCGGGCTCAGCAGAGTGGTGGGCTGATGGCTGCACGGGCTCATGCTTGCCCTCTTTCTCTTCTTTCTTATCTTTCTTCACCTTTTTAAACTTGAGGGGTTTGTCCTTGAGGCCCTGGAGGTCCTGGTCTTCTGACTTTTCTTCCCTGAAGTGTTAAACAAGTATGTAAGTATCACAGAGAACATGCCAGTCTGCAGAACAAGTGAGCAGAGGCAGGCTTGGACCCCCACCACATGCAAGGCCCCAGGCCATCATACACTCAGATCTTGATGTCCTTCCCCAGGACAACAGAGACTCGGGCCAAGCTGGGACCCAAATATTTCTTTAGGAATTTGGGCTGTGGGTGGTGCTGGCCGGTGTGCCTGACCTGCACTGTGGCCACCCACAAGTCTCCTAGCACTGCAGGAGAATCAGAGCCCTTTCCTCTGAGCGGAAACACTGCGGCTCCTGAGCATACCACCCCAGCATGAGTCGCACTTCAAGGGACTCTGGGCTCGATGGCTGACAAGAGGCCGTCGACTGCTGGAAAGGGAGCCAAATGGGGGAGGGGTCTCCTTTGTGAAGGCCGGGCCTTGGGTGTGTTTTTGGTTTTCTAGAATGAGGCTCAATGAGGCACACAGTACAGTGTCATGGAAAGCACACACAGGTTTGGAGCCAGCCAACCTGCACTGAAATCCTTTGCCGCTTTCCAAACATGAACCCAGCAAATGACCTCAGCATTCTGTGCTTCAGTTTCCTTATCTTGACAACAGGTAACCCCATCTAGGCATCCTTACTGTGAGCATCACAGGAGAAAAGGCACAATGGCACTATATAAATATCAGCTAACTCAGGCCACAGGAAACTACCGCCTAGGGTCCTGGGGGTGATAAGACAAGTGGTCCCAGGTGGCGTGAGCCTCTAACACATGTTCCCTGATGAGGAATGGCCTCGGCCACAGCAGATGCGGAGGGAAGAGCAAGGAAAAAGGTGTGGTCCAGGCAGAGCCATACATCCCCTTCCTGCCGGTGGAGAAGAGCACCCTACCTATTCTAGTGTGGGAGGCTTCCCCGTTCTTTTCTGGTGACCGAAGCAGCTCCTTCTCTACACATCACTTTGGCCCGGTGGGGTCTCGTCAGAAATGGCCACCGTGAGGCCCCACACCCCAGCATCACTATCTGGCCATGATGCTCTAGTACTCTGTCGAGTATGCCACCGTGAAACCTCCTAGGACTCCAGAGCCTCTGCAACAACAGGGGCAGCTTGGAAAGAAGCAGCAGCCACCTGCGAGTCCCTTCGTTAGCAGTTCATTCTGGAAAAGAGCATGACTACTCCCACCCTCCGTGTTCTCAGCCCCACAACTCCCCTGTCCCATGTGGTTCACATCAGTGCTAGTCACCGCCTTGCGGCTGGTCTACCCCAAGAGACTTCCCCTCTTGTCTACACTGCACAGACTGTGCAATGAGGGCACCATGGCACTCACTGGCAAGCATCCTTAGGAAACCAGAACTCAAATGATGTAGGGAAGTTACCAAAGGCTGCTTAGTGCTGGGACTCAGAAGCTGCAAGGACGTATCTCTCCAGAACCATCAGGTCAGGTGTAGGGAGGCAAGAGATGTTCCAATCTAGTGACAAGGTCTTAGAGTGAGGGAATGTCTTGTCCCCACCATGACTCACCCCTGAGTTCCTCCCTATCCTGTATCTTCCTCCAGAAGTTTAGGGCCCAGAGTGTGGCTGCCAGAGTCACCTAGAGCCACTGCATACACAAAGGCATCCTACAACCCACAGAGCAGTCTTTCTTGCTGTAAAGAGGGGTCCCTAATCTGTCCCAGCACAGAGCTCGCCTTGTTTTGTTTTTTGTTTTTTTTTTGAGATGGAGTCTCGCTCTGTTGCCGATGGCATAATATCGGCTCATCGCAACCTCCGCCTGCCGGGTTCAAGTTATTCTCCTGCCTCAGCCTCCGGAGTAGCTGGGATCACAGGCGTGTGCTACCACGCCAGGCTAATTTTTGTATGTTTAGTGGAGACGGGGTTTCACCATGTTGGGCAGGCTGGTCTCGAACTCCTGACCTCAGGTGATCGACCCGCCTCAGCCTCCCAAAGTGCTGGGATTACAGGCGTGAGCCACCGTGCCCAGCCAGAGCTTCCTTTTCATGTCTCTGAGTCTTACAGCTCTCAATGGGAAATGACGAAGAACCCTGGAAAGCTAGGTGTGGCCTGTTGCCCACCAGAGATCAGCCTTTGAGAATGGACCCCTAGGCAGCTCCCCAGCTCCCCATAAAGGAGGGAGGGAAGGGGAGCCACCAGCAGAGTGGGCCAAGAAAGCAGACAGATGGGAATCGCTACTTCTACACAATCCATCATGGCACTGCCTAACGCCAGGGCTGCTCCCTAGAACCCGGACGGTCCTAATGTCAGAGAAAAACAGTGAACTAATGGGAAAGATCTGGCTTCTTCGAAACTCTCATTTGCATTTCCCAAATACCTTAATCACCATGAGGTCAAACTATAAACCTAAACGTGACGTAAGGAATGCCTTCTAGAAATCTATGCTAAAGAGACACCTCCAGAAATCTCAAAGAACATATGCATGATGTTATTTGCTACAACATTATTTTTACCAGCCAAAGGCTTCCAATACCCCCGATCCCTATCACCAGGGCACTTGCTGAATAAACTTATGGTGCGCCCACACACTGGAGTACTGTGCAGATCCAAAGGGACTAAACAAGAGCTCTAAGAACTGCGATGGAGTCATTTCCAGGATCCACTGTGAAGCAAAGGGAGCAAAGCGCAAACATATCTACTGCATTCTACCAAAGAAAGAAGGGGGGGTATTAAGGAAGGACACACCAGGAACTAATGAAATTGATTCCCTGCATGGGGTAGGGGGAAAAAGGTAAGGGTACAGGCACAGGAGTGAGGCCTAGCTGAACATGCCTCAGTGTAATTCTGACTTCTGAATCATGTAAATGTTTATATTACCCAAAATAAAATTCAAACTAAAAGTAACAAAACCTTATTACACTTAATGCAAATAAAAACAAATGAGTTCGGGCCAGGCATGGTGGCTTCAGCCTACGATCCCAGCACTTTGGGAGGCCGAGGCGGGTCGATCACCTGAGGTCAGGAGTATGAGGCTGCAGTGAGCCATGACTACATCACTGCACTCCAGCCTGAGTGACAGAGCAAGACCCTGTCTCTCTCTCTCTCTTTTTTTTTTTTTGAGACAGAGTCTTGCTAGAGTGCCATGGCGTGATCTTGGCTCACTGCAACCTCCGACTCCTGAGTTCAAGCCTTCTCCTGCCTCAGCTTCCCGAGTAGCTGGGATTACAGGTACCTGCCATCACGCCCGGCTAATTTTTGTATTTTTAGCAGAGACGGGGTTTCACCATGCTGGCCAGGTTGGTCTTGAATTCCTGACCTCAGGCGATCCACCCACCTTGGCTTCCCAAAGTGCCGGGATTACAGGCATGAGACACCACGCCTGGCCAAGACCCTGTCTCTTAAAAAAAAAAAAAAAGAAAAGAAAAAAGAAAAGAAACAAATTTAATTCTATATCAAATTGACAATATACCACAGAGAAAAGATTTATTTCAAATGACTTTTGACTACAGTGCTCTGCAAACCTGTAGTGGGACATATTCTAAGGCCAACAATAACACTCCAGGGGCAGTAAACACACTAGATTGGCTCCCAGGAGAGATATGTGATTCTGCTTCTGGGGCATCTTGTGCCAGAAAGCCCGGGGAGTGCAAGAGAAAAACAGGGAGGGCCCATGAGAGGCCTCTAGCAGTGGTCCAGGTGTGGCCCAGGGTGGGGGCAGTTGAGGATTTGGGGCTGGTCTAGGTGGTGAAGCAACAGAGCTCGCAGGTGGATTAGTGTGGGGGTGAGGGGCAAGGGTGAGTCAGGGACCATGTCCAAAGCCTGGGAAGATGGTGGTGCCACTGATTGAGAAGGAAAAGACTGAGGGGCCGGCTGGGTGCAGTGGCTCTCACCTGTAATCCCAGCACTGTGGGAGGCTGAGGCAGGTGGATCACCTGAGGTCTGGAGTTCGAGCCCAACCTGGCCAACATGGTGAAACTCCGTCTCTACTAAAAATACAAAAATGAGCCGGGCGTGGTGGCAGGTGCCTGTAAGTCCCAGCTACATGGAAGGCTGAGGGAGAAGAATCGCCTGAACCCAGGAGGCAGAGGTCGCAGTGAGCTGAGATCGCAAGACTCCGTCTCAAAAAAACAAAAACAAAAACAAAACCACTGGAGCGGCAGGGGAGCAACACCCACAGAGACAGTTATACCATCAAGGAGAGAAAACAGTTCTTCAGCTACTCGCTAGAAAGGGGGGAAACCCCGCTGTGATCAGATTCTGAGTTGGGCCTGAATGAAAATGAACTGTCTGCTTGGGGTTTTAAAGGCTTTTTATTGTGGTAAAATATACAAAACAGGTCAGGTGTGGTGGCTTACACTTGTAATCCCAGCACTTTGGGAGGTGAGGCAGGTGGATCGCTTGAGCTCAGGAGTTTGAGACCAGCCTGGGCAACATAGCAAAACCCTGTCTCTACAAAAAAAAAAAAAAAAAAAAAAAATTAGCTGGGCATGGTGGTGTGTGCCTGTAATCCTAGCTACTCGGGAGGCTGAGGCAGGAGGATCACTTGAGCCTAGGAAGTTGAGGCTGCAGTGAGCCGTTGATCATGCCACTGCACTCCTGCCTGGGCGAACAAACCAGACACATATATGTCTCAAAAAAAAATACATATATATATATATATATATATATATATATATATATATATATACACACACACACAAAACAAAGTTTACCTTTTTAACTATTTCTAAGTGTACAATGAATGAACTTTTTTTTTTTTTTTTTTGAGACGGAGTCTTGCTCTGTCACCCATGCTGGGGTGTGGTGGCGCAATCTCGGCTTACTGCATACAGGCTCTGCCTCCCTCCTGAGTTCAAGCGATTCTCCTGCCTCAGCCTCCCGAGTAGCTGAGATTACAGATGCGCACCACCACGCCCAGCTAATTTTTGTATTTTTAGTAGAGATGGGGTTTCGCCATGTTGGCCAGGCTGGTCTTGAACTCCTGACCTCAGGTGATCCACCCACCTGGGCCTCTCAAAGTGCTGGGATTATAGGTGTGAGCCACCATGCCTGGCCCTAAATGAACTTTTAAGAGCACTGAAGATGGGAAATAAAGGGTCTTTAACTCTACTGTAATATTCTAGTTCTTTCTAATGGAAATTACTTGAAGCAAATATAGTATGATGATTTTCAATTCTGTGCAATGAAAGGCACATGGGTGTTTGTTAATTTGCTGGCTGCTACTTTTATAATTAAAGACAAATTTCAAAAAACCCACAAAGAAGCCTGGATTGTGCTGGGTGTGGAGTGCAGGTAAAAATGATAAAAAACGTGGATGGAGCTGGAGTCCATTGTCTTCAGTGACACAGCTCAGACACAGAAAGTCAAATACCGTACGTTCTCACTTAGAAGCAGGAGCTGAATAGCATGTGCACATGGACAGAGTGAGGAATGGCAGACACTGGAGAGACTGGGAAGGGTGGGAGGGGGTGAGGGATGAGACATTACTTAACGGGTACAATGTCCACTATTCAGGTGATGGTTACACTGAAAGCTCAGACTTCACTACTATACAATATATCCACGCAACAAAACTGCACTTGTACCCTTTAAATTTAACAAATAAAAAACAATGATAGAAAACAGGTATTCCAAATGAGTTTACCCTTAGCCCAGAGGGCCTGCCCAGTCCCAGGGTGACCTGGGCATTTGCACACCCTCACTAAGCCTTCACTGCAGGACCCAAGGGAGGGAGGCTGGGCTAGGGTGCCAGGTGACTCCCCAAGGCTGTCCCCCAGGGGGTTTATGGTGTTTGCCGAAACACAAACTTTTTCAAAGAAACCTGCCAGGTGTGGTGGCTCATGCCTATAATCCCAGCACTTTGGGAGGCCGAGGCAGGTGGATCACCTGAGGTCAGGAGTTCGAGACCAGCCTGGCCAACATGGCGAAAACCCCATCTCTATTAAAAATACAAAAATTAGCTGGGCATGGTGGTGCATGCCTGTAATCCCAGTTACTCAGGAGGCTGAGGCAGGAGAATCACTTGAACCCAGGAGGCAGAGGTTGCAGTGAACCGAAATCGTGCCACTGCACTCCAGCCTGGGTGACAGAGTGAGACTCCATCTCAAAAACAAACAAACAAACAGAAAACAAAACAAAAAAAACCCCATACACCTCTCTTCATCCTCCCTCTAATCAGAACCCCCCACACACACACAATCTTGATTATGAGGAGAACTAAATAGCTAGTTCACAAGTTCATACATTTTACAGTTGAAGTATCCTCAGAAAAACCACCTATTCAACTCCTGAGTGTTACAGATGGAAAAAAAGAAGTTCGACTAGACAGAGGAACTTGTCTGAGATCACCGTGAGTCAAAAACACACGTGTCTGTTCACCAACTGCCTTCGTCCTGAGCCAGATCCTGCAGCATCCTTCCACCTCCAAGAACTCACAGTTTGGAAGGGAGGACAAATAGGTAACTACAACATAGTTCCAGCCTCCCTTCCCCCTGAAGAAAGCTTGCTCCAGGCACAGCGGAAGCACAGGGGTGTGGATAATGAATCAGGAGTGAGTGGGCTGTCAGGGCTTATGAGTTCCACAGGTGGGACAGAGGGCTCAGGGCATGCCAGGCCAGATGGGCAGAGGCGGCACTATCAACATGGTTATAGCTCCCACCCTATCACCCGTGTGACGCCCCTCCCTCGAGGAAAAAGTGACCAATGATGCCCACCCTGTGTCACCAGAGGCTCTGGGCCTAACCCTGTCACCCCCTCCCACCTTTTCATTTGGAGAACTTTCAGGTTCATCTGGAGAACTTTCATCTTTCAGGTTCAGTTAGGATGGCACTTCTAGACCGGGCGCAGTGGCTCATGCCTGTAATCCCAACACCTTAGGAGGCCGAGGTGAGCAGATCACTTGAGGCCAGGAGTTTAAGACCAGCCTGGCCAACATGGCAAAACTCCGCCTCTACTAAAAATACAAAATATTTGCCGGGTGTGGTGGTGTGCGCCTGTGGTCCCAGCTACTCGGGGACTGAGGCATGAGAATCGCTTGAACCTGGGAGGCGGAGGCTGCAGTGAGTTGAGATAGTGCCATTGCACTCCAGACCAGGCGATAGAACAAGATTCCACTTCCCAAAAAAAAAAAAAAAAAGATGGCACTTCTGAGACACCTTCCCTGCTCCTGCCTCCCTCCCTGCTCTATGAGCCAGGGCACCCGAGCCCTCAGTGTACTTAGAACACCCCACTGTGCGTGCCAACCCCCATCTCCCCGCTCAATGCATAATGCCAGGCACAGGTGCAACCCTTACTCAACACATGCTGGATGAATAACCACAACACGGACGCAGCGCTCCACGTGCTTCTTCTGATGGCTGGAGACCTTCGACCGTAAGCTTCTAGCAAGGAGAGGCTAGCTCAGTGCTGAAAAAAAGGTGGGCTCTGAATTGGTGAATAAACAAATGATGAGTTTGGGACATATCAGTAGTCCGTTGGACACTGGTGGCTTGGAGATGGCGGAAGATGAGGTGGAGGAAGTCACTGAGGAGGGCCTCAGTGCCCCAGGGACAGTAGCATGGAGGATGGTTACGCCAGAGGATGGATCGACTTCTAGCCATGTGGTGGTCAGGTATGCAGACACCTCTCCTGCTGAAACAACTACAACTGCCAAACTGAGTATCTTACAGAAGCTGCTAGAGAAGCCACCCACAAGCTGGCAAGAAAGGAAGGAATACACAGGCTGAAGAGCAAATAAAAGTACGGGGCCCTTTTCTGTGGAGAAATCTGGCAGGCACCACCTTAACACACGACCAAACTGAGCTCAGGCCCCTCAGTGCTGCTGAGATGAACCAGCATCACGAGTAGGAGACTGAAGCTTACCGTGAGGAGACAGCAGGAAGAGTCCAGAGAGGGCGTGCCATGCAACCACGGTCTGGACTCAAGATGATGAGAGAAAACAAGGGGGTGGGGGAACATTTCTGATAAAGGAGACTGAAGGGATGACACAATCGAATACAACACACAGTCCTGGACTCTGCATTCCAGGCTCAAAGGCTCTAAAAAAGGCATTTATGGGGTATGTGGAGAAATGTAAGGTTCTGTGTTAGCTCATTGCTAAACTTCCTGAGTGTCTTAACTGTACTGTCTGCTCTTAGGAAAGGCATGCTTAAACGTTTAGGAGTGAAACAGCACGAGGACTATGACTAACTCTCAAGTGATCAATGGGCTAGGGGAAATACAGTGCCAATATGGTAACATGTTTAAAAGAAGGGAGATGACATCAATATAATCAGAAGCTATGCCAACTGACAGTAATATTTTGAAGCAGTGGTAGGCAAGCTTTTTAACAATTAAAGAGAATGCCTTCATATTACACAAAGACATTAAGAAAAAAAGCTGAAGGCTGGGCACGGAGGCTCACACCTGTAATCCCAGCACTTTGGGAGGCTGAGGTGGGCGGATCACGAGGTCAGTTCGAGGCCATCCTGACCAACATGGTGAAACCCCCTCTCTACTAAAAATAAAAAATTAGCCAGGTGTGGTGGCGCGCACAAAGGGACCGGGGCGGTGCTGGCGGCGATGCCAACAGACCTCAGTGTACTGTGGGGTTCTTTCAGCCAGAACTGTTCATGGTTTCATCAGTGAGCTCCAGTTACCACACCACACAAGTTTGGAGTGATCCACCCCGCCCCAGTTTTTCCTGCACGAACTCATGTTTTTATTGTGTGATTTACAGAACACAAGATCTTTTTCTAAGAATGCACACATCACACGTTGAAGCAGAAAGGCCTTTACAAAATCTTAAAATACCTACAAAATATGAAGTAAGGCTCTTAAGAAATAAAATATTCAATGATTTTGCTGCTAGAATGCAAACATTAGATCAAATCCTTCATTTGATCTAGCAAAGGAAAATTAGAGTTGCAGGAATCTTGTTTTCAGGCCAAACCATGACATCCTGAGGGGTCTGATGGCAGGAACTGCCTGCATTTTCCTCATGAATGTGACCTGCAGTGATCTTGTGAGAAAGGCCCGGAAGGCCGTGCAAATTACAGGGGTACAAGCAACAGCTGGCAGGTGTGGCCAGACAGGCAACTGCAGTTAAGGAAAGACTACTCAATCCCTGAGGTTTTCAGATTTTACAAAAAGGCAAAAAAGCCAGGTGAACAAGGCAGATGAAAGGTATTTTTCACTTGAATTGGAATCCAGCCCCCTCCCTGTCCCCTGGAGTGAGCTCCAGAGAAACTTCCAGAGCCCCAGCAATATCCCAACCTTTCGTAAATTCACTCATGCTCGCCACTTTCAGGAGATGGCATTTCTCAGCACCTTTCACTTCCAGTTATCCCTCGGCACAGCACAAAGAGCTAAACTACCACTCGAGGCAGTTAACCTAAGGGCAGGGTGGTGGCTACAGCTCCAGGTGAACAGTCTGGGACCAGAGGAAATAATGAGCCCCCCCTTGTACTGGCTGCTTCCACCCTAAAGTGTCATCCAGATGGTGTTTCCAATTCTTTCTACTTCCAGTATTAGCTGCAGAATTACGGAATCAAGGAGGCTTCTCTGCATGAATCAATAAAGGCTATAGCACTTTGAGACACAAGCTTTGGCCCTTTAAAAATGTGAGAAATCAAACTGGCACAGGCAGAGTGTCTCAGTGGTCTCCAGGGAGCAAGAGAGAATGAGGTTCAGCTTGAAGGCTACAAGGGTGGAGCCTGAGGTTCAGCTGCCCTGCTCTGAATTCGCAGTCCATTTCTTAATCCTCCACTTTTGAGAAGATGCGAGAAACCAGTTATGTTTTGCTAAGCTTAAATAAAATGCAGTTCTTGCCAACCAAAAGCAGAACCCTCCCCAAATACAGGCAACCAGTGCCATACAGCAAATCTCATCTTTATAGATGTGTAAAATGAAAACCGAAACACAAGCCCACCACATACAGGTTAAAAAATTCCTGCTGTGGAGAACAGTTTGGCAGTTTCTCAAATGTTAAACATGGAGTTACCATATGACCTGGCAATTTTACTCCTAGCCATACACTCTCAAAAAGCCACAACTATGCCGGGTGCGGTGGCTCACGTCTGTAATCCCAGCACTTTGGGAGGCTGAGGTGGGTGGATCACCTGAGGTCAGGAGTTTGAGACCAGCCTGGCCAATATGGCGAAACCTTGTCTCTACTAAAAATACAAAAAAATTTAGCCGGGCATGGTGGTGAGTGCTACCTGTAGTCCCAGCTACTCAGGAGACTGAGGCAGGAGAATTGCTTGAACCTGGGAGGTGGAGGTTGCAGTGAGCAGAGATCGTGCCACTGTAATCCAGCCTGGGCGACAGAGCAAGACCTTGTCTCAAAAAACCAAAACAAACAAACAAAAAACCAAAACCAGTAACCAAACAGATATCCGTACACCAGTGTTCATGGCAGCACAGTTTACAACAGCCAAATGGTGGGGGCAACCCAAATATGCATTCCCAAGGGATGGGTGGATAATCAAAACCTCATTATCTATAGGATATAATATCATTCAGCCTCAAAAAGGAAAGAAATTCTGACACATGCTACAATGCAGATGAACCTTGAGGACATTACGCTCAGTGAAAGAGGCCAGACACAAAAGGCCAAATAGTGCATAATTCCATTTATAGGAAATGTCCAGAATAGGCAAATCCATAGAGACAGGAAGTGGATGAGTTGTTGCCAGGGGCTGCGGGTAATAAGAGGTGACTGCTCCTGTGTCTGGGGTTTCTTTTGGGTGCTGAAAGTGTTCTGGAATGACACAGAGGCGATGGTTGCACAACTCTGTGAATGTACTAAAAGACACTGAATTGCACATTTTATTTTTAAACAATTTTTTCTGTGAGCCTATGAATTATACTGAAGAATGAATTGTACACTTTAAATGAGTAAATTTCATGGTATGTGAATTATATCTAAATTAAAAAAAACAACAACATTAAAACAGCAGCTGACCACCAATTATTCTAAATCATAAAGATAGGTTTTGTGATGCCTGGCCAGTGCTCAGAGCCCACACAGCTGTCTCAGAGCAAGTCTATCTGGCTGTGGCACAGAGCCCCGGCAGATAGATGGGCTGTCCGTCTGAGGAAGAGGCCAATGTGGGGACCTATAGTGATACATGACAGACTGGACCAAGCCAACCTGAATGTGAAACTCTGAAGCCCAGGACACAATAACCATGACAATCAGAAAGGAATTTAGTTCAAGAAGTTTAATGAGTAGGCATTTAGCCAAGTGGAAGGTTGTTGGCTATTCTGAGGACATTTGATCTTTTTTTTTTAATTGTGGTAAAATACACATAACATAAAATTTATCATTAATAGCATTTAGTACATTCACAATGTCATGCGACCATCACTACTCTCTAGTTCCAAAGACAACCCTTTACCCATTAAGCAGTTGCTCCCCACTCCCACTCCTCTCAGCCCCTGGTAACCACTAATCTATTTGTCTCCACAAATCTGCCTACTGTTGACACTTCATATAAGTGGAATAATACCCTCCCCTGGAAAGCCTGTCTTTTAAAAAATGATTTTCATTTAAAAAAGTTTTTTTGCTTAACACAGTGGCTCATACCTGTAATCTTAGGAAGGCAGAGGCAGGAGGATTGCTTGGGCCCAGGAGTTCGAGATCTGCCTGGGCAACATAGTGAGATCCCGTTATTCACAAAAAGGGGGAAAAAAGACCAGGAAAAAAAAAAATCCCAAAACTAAACAACGAAAAAGTTTTTTTTAGGGAGATAGGGTCTCGCTGTGCTGCCCAGGCTGGGCTCAAGCGATCCTCCTGCCTCAGGCTCTCAAGTAGCTGGGACTACAGATGAGCTACCACGCCCAACTTAGAAACATGTATTTTTTTCAGATTAGCTCATCATTCCCTGGTAACTTCTCCAATGATTTCCCCTTGCATCTCTGCCACTATATTCTAGCAGGGTTCTCACACTGATCCTACACACAAGTGGTTAGAGACTCACCAGGCCAAGCTCACCTCCAATTCCAAATACCTAGTCCTCAAGGTCCAAGTGGCCTGTTTCCATAGACACTGACACTGTGCATGACTTTTCTGTCCTCAGCTGCTGGCTTTCTCCATTTCTTGTTGATAATGTTTTTTTCTTACCTTTACATACTTCATGTAAATAAGTTTCACAGACTTTTAACAAAGTGTTGGCTGCTTTTATCAAAGAAGAGAAAATCTGCCAAAATAAATTTTCACCATGAAGGCAACACATTTTGGGGAACAAGAAAGGGCAGAAAGGAGATCTCTTTTACTAGAGAACTCTGCTTAAGGACTGGCTCATTTGATCCAAACATCTCATCAGTAACTTGGAGTGAGTGCCCTTGTTTTCGTCATCTTGCGTCTCACTAGTGTAGGTCAGTCCACATCAGCCTGCCTGACGTACTTGGTTCGTAATGCTGACATCTGAGCCCCCATGTTTATTTCACCCTGATTCTACTGAAATGACCAACGAAATGCAAAACAGGAGGAAATATCTCTATCAATGCCTTCAGAGGAACCGCTGTAGAATGTGGTGTGGCTGGGATCCATGCGAGAGAAGCAGCTCTCACACGATTCCACCACAGTTAAACACATGGGCAAAGGAGGGACCTGCCGGAGGTATGAGGATTCCGTAGCAGAGCCCAAGAAAATCTGCAAGATCAGAGAAACTGGGCCTAAGAGCCAGACTGGCAGAAGTACGGTTTGCCGGTGGCAAATAGAAGGACCTGAACCACCAGTGCCCTAGGTGGAGAGGTCAGTGACAGGCTGGCCAGGTTTTCCTGGGCACTGCTGGGACAGAGAGAGACACCAATATAGAGGAGATTCTACCTGTCTCAAGAATCTGCCAGCAGCACCCTGGGTCCCCACCCTGACTCCAGCTGCTGCCACAGGGGAAGCAGCAGGGACTGAAGCTCCACCCCATAAACAACTCTAGGGACTGGGGATCAAACAAGTACCAACAAATTAGTAACTGTCCTGTGTACAAATACAAATTAGGTGGAAACTATAATGATTGAACACCAGTCATTCCAGTCAAGATCCCAACTGGAGGCCGGGCGCGATGGCTCAAGCCTGTAATCCCAGCACTCTGGGAGGCTGAGGCGGGCAGAACACGAGGTCAGGAGTTCGAGACCAGCCTGGCCAACACAGTGAAACCCTGTCTCTACTAAAAATACAAAAAAATTTTAGCCTGGTGTGGTGGTGCGCGCCTGTAGTCCCAGCTACTTGGGAGGCTGAGGCAGGAGAATCGCTTGAACCCAGGAGGCGGAGGTTACAGTGAGCCGAGATTGTGCCACTGCACTCCAGCCTGGGCAACACAGCAAGACTCTCGTCTCAAAAAAAGAAAAAAGATCTCAACTGGATTTTCTTTGGAATCTGACATTTACCTAGAATAGGCATCTGAGGACAGCCAGAAGGAGTGTGTGTGTGTGTGTGTGTGTGTGTGTGTGTGTGTGTGTGTGTGTGCAGGGGGGGGGATGGCTTCCTTCTGGTAGCCACTGCTCTAGGGAGTATTTCTCACCATCATGTCACAAAGCACACAACAGGAGCACTCTCACATGGATTAGGGAATTAGATGCAGACCTCCTGCACAACTGCCCTCTTCCAGTCCTAGTAAGATAAGACACAAAAGAAAGGCAGGGAAGGAGAGTGTGAAGGGAAGATTTCAGCACACAAAGGAAAGGGGTGTAATTCAAAGCAGTCTGAGAAAAGACTCCAGAGGACAAAGCAGCAGCAAAGCCAGGCTCCTGCCCCGTCCCCCAGAAACCACCCTAGGGAGCGGGCAACGCCCTGGGAATTTGCAGTCAGTAAGCTGGAGAGAAGCAACCAAGTGGGAGTCCTTCACTTTTTCCTTTTAGACCCAGAAACTCCAGCTGGGAGGTGCAGGAGAAATGGCAAAGTGCCCAGTGAGCCAGCCCAGCTCTGTGGGAAGCAACTGCTCTTAGGTATACACAGATTATGGAACCACCCAGAGACTGAGGTGCCCCCTATCCCCATGGAAATGGCACACACATCCCTCGTGCAGCTAGAGTGAGCCTTAGTAAGACATCCAACACAGTTCTTAGAACAAAGAGAAGAATCCAGATAGGGCTGAAGACTACATGGCTGCAGCTCCCTCCAGCGTGCAAATTCTCTCCGGATACAAGATAACAAGCCTGCACGCGATAGCTCAGAGGGGAAAACAGCAAGAGAAGATGCCAAGAAACTGGGAAGAGAGAGCCAAGAATTCCTCCACTGTCTCAAAGCAAACAGAACGACTATGCAGAGCCATCCAAGCCTGAGCCAAGACGAAAAGAAGTGACATGGTAACTAGGCAAACATATTATGGCCAGAAGAAAAAAAAGAGGCCCAGGGAGGGAGATGGCACGAGAAAGGCAAAGTCTCCCACCAAGAAGAGAATACACAAGGAAGGGAAAAAAATTCCCCACAACTTCATAAGAACATGTTCCCAATAAAAGAGTTCAAAGATGGGATGATAAAACAGAATAAGATGAAAAGACAAATTTCCAACCTAGAGAAACAAACTGCAGACCAAAACACATCATTATGAAACTAATAAATACATTGAAAAACAGCCAGAAACAGAATATACATAGCTGAAAATCAAATTAGACAAAGTGAATGCAGATGAAAAAGACAAAAGCTAAACCAATTACGGCAAAGCTAATAGCATTGGAAGAGAGACAAAGACAATCCAACATGAGGAATTTGTGTCCCTGAAGTACAGAACTCAACAAATGGAACAGAAGATGCTGTCAAAGATCCATAAGAGAGCTGACCTGAAACAGCAACGACTACATCTGCAGACTGAAAGAATACACCATGTTCCCAGGACAATTTGATAAAGAATGCTCAATAGCAAGCCAGACTCTAGTCAACCTACTCAACTTCAAGGATAAAGAAAGCATTCTTCAGGCACCTTGGGATTCTTCCAAGGGGGAAACATCAGAAGACCAGACAGAATGTCTACAAAGTTCTGAGGCAGCTTAGCGCAGTGGTGGTGGGGGAGAGGTCAGAGGTAAATTCAGAGAGATGGACAGGGGCCAAAAGCCTCTCTGAGAAGACGAAATCTGAACACAGATCTGAAGGAAGTGAGTGGTGAGGGAGCAGGTCAAGTAAAGAGGGGTCCAGCCAATGAGGAGCAGCAAGAGCCAAGGCTCTGACTCTAGCAACATTATGGCAAGTTCCAGGAAGAGCAAGAGCAGTGGGAGCCAGGTGAGCAAGGGAGAGAATGGTAGAGAATGAGCTCAAATAGGCAAGGAGGGATCATGTTCCATGTGGCTGCTGAGGCAGGCCCAGTTACACAATTTGTGGAGCCTGGTGCAAAATGAAAATGCAGGGCCTCTTGTTCAAAAATTAAGAATTTTGAGATGGTGAGAGTAGAGTATTAAACCAAGCCTGGGTTCCAGCAAGCCCATGGGCAGTTACAAAGGCCCATGAAGCTGGCTCTGCTTTCAAGTAATGGACTTCGGGTTTTATTCTGAGAGGGTTTTTCTCAAGGGAGTAACCTGATCTAATAAACATTTTTCAAAGAGCCCATCTGAGGCTGGGCACACTGGTACACGCCTGTAATCCTGCATTTTGGGAGGCCAAGGCGGGAGGATTGCTTGAGCCTGGGAGTTCGAGACCAGCCCGGGCAACATAGGGAGACCCCAGTCTCTACAAAAAATATAAAAATTAGCCAGGTGTGGTGGTGCATACCTGTAGTCTCAGCTACTTGGGAGGCTGAGGTGGGAGGACTGCTTGAGCCCAGGAGGTTGAGGCTGCAGTGAGTCGTGACTGTGCCATTGCATTCCAGCCTGGGTGACAAAGGGAGACCTTATCTCAAAAAAAAAAAAAAAAAGCCCATTCTAACTATGGGAAGATATAGAGTAGAGGGAGTGGGGCAGGAGGGCACAAGATGCCACAGGGGGGCTCTGCAGAAGCAGATGTTGGGTCACGGTTTGAGGTGTAAGATGTTCATCAGGAACTGACATCCATAAAGGGAGGTGGGAAGAAGTCAAAGAGAAGGCCCTATAAGGGCCTTGTACCCTTACCTCGCTCAGTCACCAGGGTGCTGTCCTGGAAATGGCGTGACCTTGGGTGAGGAGGCTCTTGCAGCTGAGGCTAACCGGAGTGTCCGCAGGGCATCCAGAGAGGAGAGTGACCTCCGGGTCTGCCACGTGAGACTACTGCAGAGTCTAGGCAGGGATGCAGGGAGCTGGTCTAGGTGCCATCCCTGAAGGGCATGGGCACCGGGACAGCGAAAGGGCGAGAGATCCAGGACTCTGGCTTCCGTTTCTCATGTTTTTGATACTGAGGTATTTAGCTTTCTAGAGGCCTAAAGGGCAGCTGGATGTATGAATCTGGAGTTCAGGGGAGAGGTCTGAAGAGCCAGGCGAGTGCGTGAGGGCGTGCTGAATATAAGTGTAAACAACCCTCCCCCTGCTATTTGGAGTTGTGATGAGGAGAAAGAATCAGCAGAGGAGACAGAGAAAGAGGAGTCAGTGCAGAGAAGGAAGATCAGACATATCTGTCAAGATTATTGGTGGCAATCAATAGAAACCAACTCTAGCTGATTTATGCAGACAAGGACTGATGAAAAGCTATTGAAGATGCATGTGGTGATGGTTGCACAATATAAATGTGCTCAATACCACAGAATTGTACACTTAAAAATGGTTAAGGCAGTACATTTTATCTTTTGTGTATTTTACTGCAATTTTTAAAACTAGGGGGAAAAGGCTACTGGGTGATAAGAGAATCCCTAGAGGGTTGGAGGAACAGGTTTGAGTCCAGTTGGCTAGGAACAATACTTCAAATCCTTCTGCCAAGCCAGTCCAAACAGCCAGCACTGCCTGTGCGACCCTGCAAGGCAGCAGCACTGGCCACTGGCACTGTGGCCTAGGAGCTCGTCTTTCCTGCAGCCCCAATGCCAGGAGACACGGCTCTCCTGCCTGGCCCTGCTCCTCCTAGCATGTGAGTCTGACTGGCAGAGGCCAGGGTACATACCTACACCCTCGTGTAGAACTCAGGTAATTTCTTTCTGTAAGGGGCCAGATAGTATTTTCCACCTTGTGGGCCAGACAGTATCTGTCACAACCAGCCCACCTGCTGTTGTACAGGAGAGCAGTCTTGGACAATGCACAAAGGACGGGGTGGAACTGGGTCCTGGTAAAGCTTCATTTACGAAAACAGGCAGTGGGCCGGACTTGGCCCTTGAGATACCGTTTGCCAACTGCTGCCCTGACCGAAAGGGAAGCTAGGCAAATAAGCATCTGGCATTTGCAGTGACTACAATCAGAGGTCGCCAGGCCTCCCATCAACTCGTGAGGTGAGAATTCTCCCAAACCCAGAGGGTTCAAGATGTGAGGTGAGATGGCCACCTGGAGAGTATGAGGTACCAGAAGAGACACAAGGAAAGGGCTGAGAAGGAGTGACAGCCACTGATGACTGTTAAGATTATTTCATGGAATGTGGAAAAGCAAGTGTTCATGGAGCAAGCTGAGCAAGGAGCAGCAGGCAAGGAAGAGGGCCCATGAGTGGAGAGAACTCTTAGAGAGTTTGGCTAAAAGGAGAAACAGAGACTGAGCAGGAGCCAAGGAGGTATGCGCTGAAGGGAGCTCAGTTACGATGGTAAATTCTAAAACAAGTTCGTCTGGTGATGGGCACAGTTCACAAGAGGAGGGAAGACCAATGGAGTCCCAGGGGCATCAAACAGTGGTTGACACTGCAAGCTGGGAAGACAGTAAGTCCTCATCATAGGCAGAGCTAAGTTAGAACTCCGTGGGTGGAGTTCCAGAGATGACCAACTCCAGGATACGACCATGGGAATGAGTGGCAGAAGAGACAGGGAAGGAGCCAGGCACTAGGAGGGCGGCCTACATGCGTGTGTGTGCTGGAGTCAGGAACTGGCACGGAATCCTCAATAAGAGGACTGACTGGGGCAGTGAGCAAGCCCACAATCAGGGGTCTGTGGGCCGAGAGGCTGTGTCACAGTCCCCCTATGCCATGCCTGGAGGCACATGGGATCAGAGACCTCTGAGGACTTGGCAGGAGGCACAGGCGTGGAGAGGCAGGGCCTAACCCAGGTGTGTGTGTCGCGGGGGGGAGGGGGGCGGTGGTTAGGCAGGGCTCTTTGGGGAAGAGATACCTGACAGGGTCTTCAAGGATAAGCACGACAAGGCAAGGCCACAGGGGAAGGAAAGGAGAAGAGAAGGGGACTTGGGCAGGGGAGCCAATGACAAAGGCCAGGAGTGCAAGAAACATGGTACCTGGGAGGAACTACAAGCAGTCCTGGACTGCTGAGGGCTATGTCCATAAGAAAAGCAGCAGCAACAGAAGGGGCCACAAAGAGAAGCAGGAGCCACATGAGGGGCCCTGATGTCACTCAAACACAGGGTGCCACTCTTGGGTTTAAAGCAGGGGAATGAGATTGATGATAGGGATTGTGTGGAAGATAGAGAGGTGGAGGAAAGATCATAAGTTATCATGGGAGTCCCAGAGCAAGATGAGGGATTGAACCAGGACAGCGGTAGAAGGGATGACAGAAGACAAAAGAGGGACAAACAGTTAAAGGAACAATTTGTGGGACTTGGTGGCTCCCTTGGATGTGGGCAGTGAAGGGCAGGGGCCTGTTGGGTTTCCAGCTTGGGTGACTGGTATGGCTATCAACTGTGACAGAAAACAGTGGACATGGCATTTGTCTATTTGGTCTTCTGATCTACCTTATCTTGAAGGAGACAGGGGTGGTAGGGCGCCCAGTGGGTTGAGAAGAATGGAAGGGAGAAAGAGGGCAGAAATCTCTCAAATGTTTTGCACAGTAAAATCTGACTAAAATGCACACACGCCCCACAAGCCTTTTTCTTTTTTTTTCCCCCCAAGAAGCAAAACAAGTTTTATTTCCATAGTAGTTCCTTTTAGTGCTCTCTGTCGCCACCTAATGGATGGCCTGGTGGAAGAGGCTCAAGAGGTAGCAGCCTAGCCTATTCCACGGCAGAGGAATCAAACTCACCCAGGCAGGGAGAACGGGACTGCACCTGGGTGGGGGAGGACCAAAAGAAGCCCAGCTGCTTCTGGAAGATCATTGGGAGTCTCTTCTGGAAGACCAGGGGCTCTTGGAGCTAAAATAGACGTTCGTTCATTAATAATACCTACTTCAACAACTTAAGATCATGTTCAGCGGATGCACATCAACCTTGACTTGTCTGTGCTCCCCAAATCAATATGCCTCAATATTGAGGCATATTGAGGGAACAATCTGTAGATATTCATGAAATTGTCTGGTGGGACAAAAATTGTGGGGCACTTGAGCCTAGCTGAACTCAGTTTTAAGTTCTAGCATTTAACACACCACCTCTAAGTTTACGTGTACTTTATGAGTGCAGGAATGCAACAAAAAAATCTAGTGTAAAGTCCTGGCCCTCAGGGCAAAGCAAGGGAACTACAACTCTTGCTGCGAACTGCCTTCCTCCCACAGATGTGGCACATTCACAAATCACATTCATTGAACAAGAAATGGAACAAGTGCCACACCAGAGGTGACAAGAAGAGGGGACCATACAATAATAGGTAACTTCCCTGTCACACGAGACTGCTTGGAGACAAGGATACAGAGCCCAGCATAGGAGATGGGACAAAATGATGAGGGTCAAGGACCACACCTGGTTTAACTCCCAGTGAAGAGTTTTAGCCAGTAAAGAGCTGCAAGAAGGAAATCACACACCACGAAGAGGCCACTAAGATAAACGCTTGAATCTGATTAAGTTTTCACCTGAAAAGTGTGGGTAAGGACAAGCCTGCCTTGTTGGGTAGTACAGATTCAGTGAATGAGCCCTCAGATCCTGCTGGATCCCGTGATCAGATAAACAGCAGCTTCTCAGGAACCACTGCATGTGAGGTTAGGGTGAGGGGAGGGACCCGATGGAGATCTAATCCCAGGGGTTTGGTCACAGGGGCTGGCGAATGAGAGGTGGAGACCGGGAACATACGCCACTTTTTTTTTTTTTTTTTTTTTTTTTGAGACGGGGTCTCACTGTGTCACCCAGGCTGGAGTGCAGTGGCACCATCTTGGCTCACTGCAACCTCCGCCCCCCAGGTTCAAGCGATTCTCCTGCCTCAGCCACCCAAGTAGCTGGGATTACAGGCGCCTGCCACTGCGCCTGGCTAGTTTTTCTATTTTTAGTAGAGACGGGGTTTCACCATCTCGGCCAGGCTGGTTTTGAACTCCTGACCTCGTGATCCACCCACCTCGGCCTCCCACAGTGCGGGGATTACAGGCGTGAGCCACTGCGCCCGGCCAGCCACTCTTTTTTTTTGAGATGGAGTTTCGCTCTTGTTGGCCGGGCTGGAATGCAATGGCACGATCTCGGCTCACTGCACCCTCCATCTCCCAGGTTCAAGTGATTCTCCTGGCTCAGCCTCCCAAGTAGCTGGGATTACAGGCATGCGCCACCACGCCCAGCTAATTTTGTATTTTTAGTAGGGACGGGATTTCTCCATGTTGGTCAGGCTGGTCTTGAACTCCTGACCTCAGGTGATCCACCTGCCTTGGCCTCCCAAAGTGCTGGGATTACAGGCATGAGCCACCAGGCCCAGCCTAAGCCACTCTTTTGGAAAGCTCAGCAGAGAAGATGCATGAGGTAATACGACGCGTTAGGTGGCCTTTAAAGGGATGTTTATAGCTTTTCATAACATGGGTGTATTAGTCTGCTCAAGCTATAACAAAATAGTACAGACTGGGGGGCCTATTCAACTGAAATTTCTCACAGTTCTGGAGGCTAGAAGTCCAAGATCAAGGTGTCAGCACATTCAGCCCCTGGTGAGGGCTCTCTTTCTGACTTGGAGATGGCTGCCTTCTCATTGCATACTCACATGGTGGAGAAAGCAAGCTCTCTGCTGTCTCTTGTTATAAGGACACTAATCTCATCATGCGAAACCCACCCTCCCTCCTGATTTCATCTAAACCTAACCACCTCTCAAATACCCCATCTCCAAATAACATCACATTGGAGGTTTGAGCTTCAACACTGGAATTTTGGGGGACACAAACATTCAGTCCATAACAGTGCTGATGTTTATGTTTTAATGTTAAATGATAACAGCACAGCACAGCAGCACACACACTGTGTGATGCCAATCTGTTTGTTTGTTTGTTTGTTTGTTTTTTTAGATAGGTTCTCACTCTGTTGCCTGGGCTATAGCAGTAGTGTGATCACACCTCACTGCAACCTCGACCTCCAGGTTCAAGCAATCCTCCCACCTCAGCCTCTCAAAGTGCTGGGATTCCAGGCATGAGCCACCATGCCTGGCCTCCAATTTGTATTTAATGCCACTGAACTGTACATTTAAAAATGGTAAATTTTAGGTGATGTGTATTTTACTACAATTTTTTTAAAAGTCTAAGAGAAGGCAAGAAAGGAGAAGGAAAATTTAAAAGAACAGAAAATATGGAAAAATAGAATGCACAAATATGCTATAAATGAATCTAAATACATCAGAAATCAAATAGATGTTAAAGGACGAAACAGACAATGGATTTTTTAAAAAATCTCGAGGCCGGGTGCGGTGGCTCACGCCTGTAATCCCAGCACTTTGGGAGGCTGAGGCGGGCGGATCACGAGGTCAGGAGATCGAGACCATCCTGGCTGACACGGTGAAACCCCGTCTCTACTAAAAATACAAAAAAAAAAAAAAAAAAAAAATCAGCCACGCGTGGTGGCGGGCACCTGTAGTCCCAGCTACTCTGGAGGCTGAAGCAGGAGAATGGCATGAACCCGGGGGGCGGAGCTTGCAGTGAGCCGAGATCGCGCCACCGCACTCCAGCCTGGGCGACAGAGCAAGACTCCGTCTCAAAAAAAAAAAAAAAAAAAAAATCTAGCTATCAGCTGGGCATGGTGGCTCACGTCTGTAATTCCAACACTTTGGGAGGCTGAGGCGGGTGATCAGCTGAGGTGAGGAGTTTGAGACCAGCCTGGCCAACATGGTGAAACCACATCTCTACTAAAAATACAAAATTAGCCGGGTGTGGTGGCACGTGCCTGTAGTCCCAGCTACTCAGGAGGCTGCGGCAGGAGAATTGTTTTGAACCTGGGAGGTGGAGGTTGCAGTGAGCCGAGATCACGCCATTGCACTCCAGCCTGGGCAACAAGAGCAAAACTCCGTCTCAAAAAAAAAAAATCTAGCTATCTGACATTTTCAAAAGCTCCACCTCACTGATGCATAAAGACACAGAAAGGAGGAAAATAAAAAACTGGGATGGCCGGGCGTGGTGGCTCACACCTGTAATCCCAACACTTTTAGAGGCCAAGGCTGGTGAACTGCTTGAGCCCAGGAGTTTGAGACCAGTCTGGGCAACATGGCAAAACCCTGTCTCTACTAAAAATACAAAAACTTAGCCAGGCGCGCTGGTGCAAGCCTGTAATCCCAGCTACTCAGGAGGCTGAGGTGGGAGGACCACTTGAGCCCAGGAGGCGGAGGTTGCAGTGAGCTGAGATTGCACCACTGCACTCCAGACTGGGTGACAGAGGGAGACCCTGTCTCAAAAAAAAAAAAAAGAAAGAAAAATAAATAAAATAAATAATAATTTAAAAAAAAATAACATATTAGTATGGTCGCTTCATAATACCAAAGGGTTCAATACACCAGGAATGTGAAACTGTATCTAAAACTGAAAATGTGGCCTCAAAATAAATAATAAAATGAAAATGACCAAACTCTGTGGAGAAACTGATGTGTCCATCACCACAGTAGGTTTTAACACGTATTCCATCAGTTGATAAATCAAGTAAACAAAATGACAGTAAGAAGAGAAAATACTTTCACAACAAACGGATAAGACAGAGGTAATGAATATATGTAGAATCCTGCACCCATGCTTGGTGGTGACATATTCTGTCCACTGGTTGTGGATAATGTGTCATGGAGCACTTCTCAACCAACTGCAAGAACTGGTGTCACACAGACCAAGTTCTTTGATCACAGTGCCATTTAGTTAGAAGTTGATTTTTTCTTTTTTTCTTTTTTTTTTTTGAGACGGAGTATTGCTCTTGTTGCCCAGGCTGGAGTACACTGGCACAATCTTGGCTCACTGTGACCACTGCCTCCCGGTTCAAGTGATTCTCCTGCCTCAGCCTCCCGAGTAGCTGGAACTACAGGTGTGTGCCACCATGCCCGGCTAATTTTGTATTTTTAGTAGAGACGAGGTTTTGGCATGTTGGCCAGGCTGGTCTCGAACTCCTGACCTCAGGTGATCTGCCCGCCTCGGCCTCCCAAAGTGCTGGGATTACAGGCATGAGCCACCTCATGCAGTCAATTTTTTTTTCTAGAGCAACTAGGAAAAAAAAAAAACAAACCCAAAGCCATGTGCTTGGAAATTGAAAAACACATTTTAAAATAATATGTGAGTCAAAGGAAGAAACAAAGAAAATTTAAAATATCTTTGGGCTAACTTAAAGTGACAATACTATCAGAACTTGCTAGATACAGTTGAAGTAGTTCCAGAGGGTTAGCCTTAAATGTTTACATTTGAAAAAAGGGTAGAAAAATCAATGAACCAAATTTATAACTTAAGAAGTTAGGGCCAGGCGTGGTGGCTCATGCCTGTAATCCCAGCACTTTGGGAGGCCAAGGCGGGTGGAGCACCTGGCGTCAGCAGTTCGAGACCCGCCTGGTCAACATGCCAAAACCCCATCTCTACTAAAAATACAAAAAATTTGCCGGGTGTGGGGCAAATGCCTGTAAATCTCAGCTACTCGGGAGGTTGAGGCACGAGAATCACTTGAACCCAGGAGGTGGAGGTTGCAGTGAGCTGAGATTGCACTACTGCACTCCAGCCTGGGCGACAGAGCAAGACTCTCTCTCTCAAAACAAAAAACAAACAACAACAACAACAACAACAAAACACAGAGAATGTACTCTAAGACCATAGAAAAAATAATAAAGATAAAAGCAAAAGCAGAATTTAATGAACTAGAAAAGAGACACAGAGTAATACAGGGCAATAATGCCTACATGTCTGCTTCTTGTAAGACCAATGAACCTAATGAGCTTTTACCAAGACAAGGAAAAACGGGAGAAGGTACAAGTAAACAACAAACACTAGGAATGAAAAAGCAGACATAATTACAGATGTTGCAAATGTATAAACTATAACATGAACAACTTTATGCTAGTCAGACAAAATGGACAAATTCCTAGAAAAAAAAATTTAACAGCTTACAGTAGCCCAAGCAGGTGCAGGGAAAATAAAAATAGGTTTAGATGTGTCTGCGTGTACATAGAACACCTCAAAAGACACAGACAAGACCCTGGATGCAGCCGTTCCCTGAAGAGAGGCCTAGGCAGCTGGGAGACCAGGGCAGCAGGGACACTCAGACCTTGCATCACTCTGGAGTTTGCACTTCCTGAATTGTGAAGCATGCACATGTCTCACTTATGCAACAGTGAATCCAAACGTGCCTGTATACAAGGAAAGGCCTCACCTGGCTGCGCCGTGGAGGCTGGCCTGGCGTGTGGAGCAGGCAGAACATTAGCAAGCTACCGAGCAGGTGCAGGTATGAACATCAGCTGACGCTGGCTCTTTGCTTTCTTTTTAATCTTGACAAATTTGGTAGGTGAAAAGGCATCATTTTTGTTCTCGTTTGCATCTCTTTGATTACCAGCAGGCAGAACTCTTTTCCTATCTTCATTGGCCATCTGTATCTCTTCTTTTATGAATTTCCTGTTCATAGTCTTTGTTCATTAGTGGTGACTAGTGGTAAGTTAGCAATAAGAACTGTTTGCATTCAAGTCTAGACTGAGAAGGAAATTAAAAAATCTGCCCATGTATTCTCACAATAAATGACTACTGACTAGCCTGAGATAATTGTACCCACTGCCCAGTCACAGGCATTAAGCCTAGGATGATTCATTTCAGACTTGTCCCTGACCTTCCTCATACCCTTTCCAGAAGGGCCCCTTGAGCTGCTATGATACTCCTAAATCACTATCCCATTACCCAAATGATGGAGAGCCAATCAAAAGCTTAGACCAGGACGCTTTCCCAAATTATGTCCCAATACCTTCACAATGATCACTTTATATACAATCTCACTGAATGCTCAGCAACACACGAGAGCAATGTTTAACTGAGGGCAACACTGAGGCTCAAGGAGGGCAAGTGACTTGATTGCTGAGGTCACCTGCTAGGTGCAAGAGCTGAGAATTAATCCCAAGGCTACCTGGCTCAAAAAGCCTAAGCTCATCTACTATACTTGAGGCGAAATCATGAAAGTGTGTTTTTACCTTGCCCAGACCCTGCACACTGCATCAAGGTCCTGAGTTTCAAGCAACAGAAATCAACTCTGGTTAAATTCAATCACAAAGGAGTTCTTGGGCAGCAGATCTGGAAATGGAGAGAGAACTAGAGAACTAGGCTCAGAAAAGCAGCAGGAATAGAGGCTGCACCACTGCAAACACAGCCAAGGTTATACTGCAGGGACCTGCTGGTTGGGACACCCACCCTGGGCACTGTTGCATGTCATCACTGGACATTAGCCACCACTGCTGGTTTTGTGACTCAACTGCCACCACCATGACTAATCCCTCACTGTCCCTCAAGAGTCAAAGTCCCTGAAGGCAGAATGGGTTTGGCCAAACCTAGGCTTCATCGCCATCCCCTAGTTTCCAGAGAGCAAGGGGAGGGAATATATCCATTCCCCTGTGGCAGGCACTGCCAGTTGTCCCCCAACATCCATGTTCTCCATCTGCCTTACTAATGAGACCCTGCGCTCAGCTAAGGAGAGTTATTCCCCGCTTCCCAGCAGACCATGGGACTACGTTATGGCTAAGGAGACAGTGGCCGAGTGCACTCCTGTTCATCGTTCTCTTTCAAGCTTGCTCTTGTTCTACTGACTATGGGCGGAGCACACCTCCCACCCACTGACTCTGGGCTTGCTCACGTGTTGATGGGATGGGGGAAGAAGAGGCTTTAAGAGGCTTCTGTGACTCTGCTCACTCCTCTTGGACTCCTGACCTCCGCCTACGAAGAGACTTCCCCTGGCAGCTGCTTCTCCCTCCTGGGTCCTGGAACGACAGGCTTGAGAACAGATCTGAATCCCATCTTGCAGCTGACCCAGACCCATGTGTGAGAAATAATAATTGCTGTTATAGCTACTGAGCTGCTGGTGCTGTTTGTTCCCTAGGACAAGATGATGGGTGTGAAGATGGAAATGGAAATATTGAATGGGCCTAGAAGTTAAGATGTCAAGTGCCATTTTGCCTTTCCCCTATGACCTCTTTCTTCCTACCTGGAGGAGTGGATGCAATGACTAGAGCAGCAACCGTCATCTCACAACCAAGAGGCAATCTTGAGAAATGGAAGACACCCACTGAGGGGCCCTGGGTCCTGGATCCTTACAAAGCCACTGCAGTGGTCATGGACAGCATGAGAAGGAAGTACACCACAGGCCCCCAACCCCATCTTCAGGTTTTCTTAGGTAGAAACTAGGGTCCACCTGCCTCTTACTAAGATATACACAATGGGGAGACTTTTAACACAAAAAAAGGTATGAAGATGGTCAGAAGCCAAAAAAGCAACAAAATGTTCATGATATGCCGTATGTGGGGTTTACTCACTACACTGCTTTTCCACCGAGTTAGCATAATCACTATAACTCAACCCATTGAAAAAATGACAAAACAGATTCTGAGATTCTCTTCCTATTTCTGTTAGCTAAAAAAGCAGCCTTTGAATTGTTTATAAGTGAATTCAAGAGATAAAAATAAACCCAGATAATTCAGAATGTACTGAGTACAACACATATGCCTTCTATGTGATAAGCTCCCAGCATTATTTATTCAAAGAAAACTTGCCTTGTTGCAAAAATATAAAAAAACTTAAAAAAAAAAAACAAGTAATTACACAACACACCACCTCCTACAACACCAGATTCCTTTTCTTTCCTTTGTAACCTGACCAGAAGAAAAACAAAACATTGTTCAAATTGCTGAGACCCACAAAGTTCAATTAGAGCATAAAAAATGCTCTCCCAAAATATAGCTACTAGCAGGGAAATGAGCAGGCTAAGCCTCCTGGTGAACCTGGACATTGGGCACAAGTAACAGGCACATTTAGACACCAACGACCAGATTCCACATGACTGAATCCAGAAACCCTGCCCCTTCCCATTCCCTTGGAGATCCAGGGGGACGCCATCAATTGCTCACTCCTTCTCCTTACACATACAGTTAGGGGTGCTATACTATACAGGGGAAGGCGTGAGGAAGTCACACATGCTTTGGTGTTCAAGAAGCTCATAAAGCCATTAGGGAAAGAGCAACATGCCAGAAAGCAGTTGTCTCTTCTGGCTACAGAGGTTGCAAAAGACGTCTGCAAGGGTCAGTGAGGGCCCAAAGGAGTAGTAACCAAGGCCCTGAAGCCTGCCTGGGAGCTGAGGTGGGCAGTATCAGCCTCTTCTCAATAATCAGTTCCTAAGGTTCCATCCGAGAAAGTAGAAAACCACAGAGGCCATTCTCATGGGTACTTTAAGCAGTACATCTGTTGGCAAAACACAAATGTTGTTACACAAATACTAAGCCACAGATTGCAAAGGCACCTGACAGCCTTTAAAATTCATTTCTCTTGTTTCGCAAAGCTGCACTGGGAAACTGTGCTGTTAAATTCTACACTCATAAAGGAGGTATGTTTTAAAAGAGGGGCAAATATGTGGGTGCTATTTAGACTCTCATTGATTTGTTCCATGTTTTCAGATAACTACACACCCCTCCGCCCCCGCCAAAGTAACTCAATCTCCACATATTTGCCTTTATATGTACCTTCTAACTCATGACTATGGCTTTGATTATCTCATAAACAATATTGTTCCTGTTAGCCATGGAGAAGCTAAGGAGCCAACAGCAGAGCAGGCTGCATGTTCTTCTGTCCCTCTTATAAGACAAAACCTTAGAGCAATGTCCCACTGCAGAATTTATTTGTTAATTCACTCAATAAATTAAAATATGCATGATTCTAGGCACTGGGGATATATTGAGGAAGAGGCAAAAAAAAAAATCTCTGTCCTCATGGGACTCAGATTCTATAGGGGTGGGGAGAGGGAGGGAGGGGAAGGGAGTGGGAGAGCACAAACAAAACCAAGCAGTAACACAGCTTGTGGCAGATGGTGACAAGTCCTATGCTAGGCAGGGGGAACTGGTGGGGCAGAGGCAGGCTGCCTGACTTACAGACATGGGTGTGCTCGGGGAAGGCCACATTGGGAAGGTGACACTTGAGCAGACATGTGTGATACCTGGGACAGAGGGCAGAGGAGAGGTCAAGGCCTTGAGGCAGGGGCATACTTGGAGGGTCCAGGGAGGAGCCAGGAGGCCAGTGAGGCCGCAGTGCATGAGTGGTGGGAGAGTGGCAAGAGAGGTGATCCTGTTGGGCTGTGACTCTGAGCAAGCAGGGACCCACTGGAGGGTTCTGAACAGAAGAGCACAATATTGCAGGACTAAACAAAGAACCAGGGGGCAAGGGCAGAGGCAGGGAAGCTGGACACCTGGACCAGGGTGGGGGCCATGGAGGCAGGGGAACTCATGAGATTTTGTATCCATCTTGCAGGTGGAGTAACAGTATTTGTGAACAAATGAGGTAACCAGCGCCAGGTTTCTGGCCTGAGGAGCAGGAGTTGGAGTTGCTGTTTACTGGAAAGGAGAAGACCAGGGAAAGAGAAGGTCTAGGGAGGATAAGGAGTTCCCGTGACCCAGTCAGCCTGGAGACATAAATTTGGGAGCCATGAGGCTGGACGGAATCACTTCGGGAGTGAGGGTGGAGAAGAAAAGCCTGAACCTGAGGCCTTCCAACATCACATGCGAAACAGAAAAGACCGAGGAGGACAGACATTCACACACTCACCTAGGACTTCCTGAGGACCCACAGACACCAGGCACTGTTCTAGGAGCTTGAGCTACATCTGTGAATCAAGGAGACAATCCTGTCCTGTGGAGCTTCTGCTCCAGCAGGGGTGACAGCTAAGATAAGCACAGTCAGTCATGTATTCAGCTAGAAAGAGACAAAAGCTGTGGTTTGCACTGAGAAGGTGCACATCAGTGCAGAGACTCAAGGGAGGGAAAGGATTGTCTCGTATGGGTATTGGGGTTAACTGACGACGACAGCTCTGGGAAAAGAAGTGACAAGCAGCTCCCAGATTTAACAACATGAAGGTCATCACTGGAGACCTCATGGAGCAGCTTGGCAGAGCTGTGGCAGCAAAGGAACAACTGGAGAAGGTTGAAGAGGGTGTGGAGACAGGGACTGGAGTCTTGCTGGTAAAGGAAAACAGAGATGCTAGACAGGTGGGGGGTTGGGAGCAGCTTTTGTCAAGGTGGGAGAAGTAGCAACAAGTTTCTAGGGCAGGCGAGGGAGGAATCTCTGATGGGGGAGAGTGCAGTAGAGGACTGGAGAGATGCCTTAGAACAGGAGTGAGGGCCTGGGACAGGCGCTCCGTGACAGCATGAGGGAGGCAGAGCGAAGGAGTAGACGCTGGCCTGTAGACACTCTCTTGAGCTTGCTTCTGTGCTCTCTGGGAACTAAGATATCAGCTGCAAGGAGGTGTGACAGCTGATGAGGAGGGTGGGAGGGGCTAGGAGAGACCGGGGAACTGCAGTATGCAGGTGGGCTTGGCGGCAAGAAGTTTACCTGGGGTAGACATGAACTTAAAGGGGGAATCAATGAAGGAGTCACATTCAGCTTCAGGACGGAGCAGGCATGGGGCAGACATGACTGAATTTCATGAGGCTGGGGCTTTGTCGACTGAATATAACAAAGCAAGAAAGTGCCGAAGGGCTGAGGTAGTGTGCCAGGGAGTAACGACGTCTGACTGGCACTGAAGCTACAAAGGAGAGGAATAAGGATACGAAGGAGGTGAAGTCTGAGAAAAGATGGAGCCACTGATGGATTCTAAGTGCCTGTGAGGTCAAAGGAGTATTGGAGTTGGGTATTAGAGGCAGTGAAAAGGAAAAGGATCTCCTTTTGCAGATCACAAAAAAGATAAAATGACCAGAGCTAAACAACTTTTACAGCACTATCCACTGTAAAAGTTGTTTGAGAAAAAATAAAATGTAGCCAGCCTTCAGAGCATATATGCATCTTTATTTTATTTTATTTATTGAGACCAAGTCTCACTCTGTCGCCCAGGCTGGAGTGCAGTGGCACAGTCTCAATTCACTGCAACCTCCGCCTCTGGGGTTCAAGCGATTCTCCTGCCTCAGCCTCCTGAGTAGCTGTGATTACAGGCACCCGCCACCACACCCGGCTAATTTTTATACTTTTAGTAGAGACGGTGTTTCACCATGTTGGCCAGGCTGGTCTTGAACCCCTGACCTCAGGTGATCTGCCCGCCTTGGCCTCCCAAAGTGCTGGGATTACAGGTGTGAGCCACCACACCCAGCCCAGAGCATATGCATCTTTAAAAAGTTGTCTTCGGCCAGGCACGGTGGCTCACACCTGTAATCCCGGCACTTTGGGAGGCAGAGGCAGGCGGATCACCTGAGGTCAGGAGTTTGAGACCAGTCTGACTAGCATGGTGAAACCCCGTCTCTACTAAAATAAAAAAAATTAGCCAGGCGTGGTGGTGCATGCCTGTAATCCTGGCTACTTGGGAGGCTGAGGCAGGAGAATCGCTTGAACCCGGGAATGCGGAGGTTGCAGTGAGCCGAGATCACACCATTGCACTCCAGCCTGGGCAACAAGAGTGAAACTCCGTCTCAAACAAAACAAACAAACAAAAAGTTGTCTTCAAGAGCATAATCAAAGATACTTTCACTTCTTAATGTTTTGTTTCCATGTCTCGTCACAGAACATGGTACAGACAAATATTAGAATAGACTCAAGGGATCACTTGATTTTAACTACAGAAACTTTCCGGTGAATCATGAGCACTGTCTTGTTTCCAGCTGCTGAAGTATATGGGCACCAGACAAGAGCACAGCGCTGTCACTCAAAGCCAGGAGTAATATGGCTGTTACCATGAGGACTACTTAGCAGAAGATAAGCATCTCATTATGTCTACAGTGAACTAAACTATTGTTGCCAATGGTATATGGATTAGGACCGACTGCCACTGCCCATCTGCTTATAGCTTAGAATCTGGTGAATGCAAACAACTGTTTTGGGGGGACTTCTGGCCCTTCCTTGGGCTCTGCTATCCTGGAAATGGACAGGCTTCTACAGGGGTTCGATGGTAGCCCCGAATAGTTAGGTGTATGTCTTAACCCCCAGACCCTGTGGCTCTGACCTTATTTGGAAGGTCTTTGCTTCTGTAATTAAGTGAAGGATCTTGATATGAGATCATCCTGGATTTAGGGTGGGCCTAATACAGTGACAAGCATCCAGAGAAGAATACGGGGACACAGAGAAGGCCATGTGAAGACACAAGCAGAGAATGGAGCAATGCAACTGCAAGCCAAGGAAAGTCTAGGACTGCCAGGCAGCCACCAAAAGCTGGAAGAGGCAAGGAAGGATCCATGCTAGAGGCTCTGGGGGGAATGGAGCCCTGCAACATCTTGATTTCAGACCCCTGGCTTCCTGCACTGTGCAAGAATACAGTTAGGGGTACTTTATTCTGACTACTCCATAAACTTAAGCTCTAATTCTCGCTCAGCTTCTGAGCTTTAACAAAGGGTCCGTGCAACTTCTACCGTTCCCGTTCCCCGTCTTTACCAAAGAGGAAGCATTTACTCAAAGCCCACCTCCTGCAACAGCTCTAGATGCCGCTTCCCCCCTCCACACAAGGAGTCTGCTCCTCCAGGTCCCCATTTCCTCCTTCTCACGCTCCCCTCTCTCCTGGGCCATTCCCAGAAGGATGTAAACATGCTCTCATATTCACCCACGTGAAAAACACCCTCATCCCCCTCTACCCCACTCCTATTTTTCTGGTCACCATCACAACAAAACTTCTTAAAGAGAGTTGTCTATACCCAATCTCCACTCCCTCACCTTCCACTCACTCCAATCTGGCTTCTGTCCCCATCACCTCTAATTCAGTTCACCATGTGACAGGTAGGGTTTTTGCTAGTTTTAGACATAATGGATCTTGTTATTCCTGGGCTTTAAAGCCTTCACCAGAGGATGGCCAACTGCCTACATGTAATTGCCACTTGACCCTTCAAACCTCAAAGAAACCGAAGTACAGACATATGAAAGGGAAGAAATTTCTAACAGAGGCAATAGCAGGAGAGGACCTCTGAACGGATAAGATACACTCAGCAAATTTCTAGATGCTGGAAGTAGGCAAGAACATGTTGACTAATGGAACAGAGAGGAATGTACTACAAGAGAGCTGTAGAGCAGATGAGAGCCTGTATACCTGTCAGAGCCCCAAAGAAGCTCTCAGACCAGACCAGACCAGACCAGACCAGACCAGACGAGAGGAGGGGCAAGCAGTGCTGTCATGTGTGCAACACCTGGGGGCTGCTGACTGCCAGATCCCGACCCACAAGCTTTGGGGCAGGGCACCTTCAATAAGCTCCCAGGTGAGGCTGATGCTGTTGGGGCTGGTGAGCAGAGCAAACTTGGAGTGGCAAGGTGCCACTTCTTCCCTCAGGCAAGAAATCAATGGGTCTTTTCTAAATCAACAGCTAGAACCTTCCCTTCCCCGGCCCCCACCCCACCCACCCCAAAGGCTCTTGATGTGGCTGGCAGCAGCCCAGGTGATGCCTACCTTTTCCCAGTCTCTGAGGGTCCATGGGGCAAGAGCTGACCCCTGCCTCGCCTCCACAGAACTTCTCCAAACCACCCTTCAGAGACAGACCCCGCAGGCAACGGGCCACTCCACCACAGCAGAGAAGGGGCAGCGCAGCAGCTACCCAGGTCCTCCCCCCATCCCTGGCGGCTCAAGAACCAGCCCCATGGAAGAGAGACCAAGTCTGTCCTTAGAGGAAACAAATAATATTCTCAGAGAAATCTTAGAATACAGAATAGTCATAAAATCAGAACAGAAACACCCATAAACAAGAAATAAACAGATGATAAAAGAAAAGTATCAGGCAGGGCATGGTGGCTCATCTCTGGTGACACCACACCAGGCGTGGTGGCCCAGCACTTTGGGGGGCAGAGGTGGGAGGATCACTTGAGCCCAGGAGTTCAAGACCAGCCTAGACAACACAGACACACACCAGCCCATGTCTACAAAAAATTTAAAAATTAGCCAGGCATAGTGGCACGTGCTTGTAGTCCTAGCTACGCAGGAGGCTGAGGCAGGAAGACCACTTGAGCCCAGGAGTTCGAGTCTGCAGTGAGCTATGTATGATGGCACCACTGCACTCCAGCCTAGGTGACACAGTGAGACTCTGTCTCAAAAAAAAAAAAAAAAGTATCCATTAAAATATTTTCACCCTTTAAAAATCAGGTTGTCTTTTTATTACCGAGTTATAGGAATTCTTCTGAATACAAATCCTTTGTCAGATATGACTTTCTATTTTTTCTATGACTGGTCTCAACTGTTTTCTTGGTGGACTTGTCTTTTCATTTTCTTTGAGACAGGGTCTCACTCAGTCACCCAGGCTGGGGTGCGGTGGCGCGACCTCAGCTCACTGCAGCCTTGACCTCCTTGGGATCAAGCAATCCTCCTGCCTCTGCTTCCCGAGTAGCTGGGACTATGGACTACGGGTGCACGCCACCATGGTTGGCTAATTTTTTGTATCTTTTGTAGAGATGGGATTTCACTGTTGCCCAGGCTGGTCTTGAACTCCTGAGCTCAAGCAATCCATCTGCCTTGTACTCCCAAAGTGCTGGGATTACAAGCATGAGCCACAGCTCTCAGCCTATTTTCTTTTGTTTTTTCTTTTTCTTTTTTTTTTTAAGAGACACTGTCTCACTATATTGCCTATGTTGGCCTAGAACTCCTGGGCTCAAGTGATCCTCCTGCCTCAGCCTCTCAAGTACCCAGTAGTGACTACAGGCAAGCCTCACCACGCCCAGCTCTGTCTTTTCATTTTCTTAATGGTATCTTTTGAGGACCAAAAGTTTTAAATTTTAATGAAGTCCAATTTATTTTTTCTTTTAATAGCTATTGCTTCATGTATCCTAATAAATCTTTTTTTGGCCTGGCACGGTGGCTCATACCTGTAATCCCAGCACTTTGGGAGGCCGAGGCAGGCAGATCACTTGAGGTCAGGAGTTTGAGACCAGCCTGGCCAACATGGCAAAACCCTGCCTCTACTAAAAATACAAAAATTAGCCAGGCATGGTGGCGCACACCTGTAATCCCAGCTACTTGGAAGGCTGAGGCATGGGAATCGCTTGAACTCGGGAGGCAGAGGTTGCAGTGAGCTGAGATCGCACCACTGCACTCCAGCCTGGGCAACAGAGTGAAATTGTGTTTAAAAAAAACCTTATTCTTTGGACTGCACAGATATTCTCCTATGTTTTCTTGCAGAAGCTTTATATTTTTAGCTTTTAAAACATTTAGGTCTATAATCTCTCATGAATTAATTTTTATGTATGGTGTGAAGTAGTGTCATGGGTTGGACTATGTCCCCCAAAAAAGATATGTTGAAGTCCTAACCCTCAGTACCTCACACTGAGACCTTAGTTGGAAACAGCGTTGTTGCAGGTGTAATTAGTTAAGGTGAGGTCACACTGGAGTAGGGCAGGCCCCAATCCAATATTACTGTTGTTCTTACAAGAAGGAGGCCATGTAAAGACAGAGACATACATGGAGAATGCTGTGTGATGAGGAAGACAGATATTGAAGTAATGCAGCTGCAAATCAAAGAATGCCAAAGGTTGCCAACCACTGGAAGCTAGGAAGAGGCAAGGAAGGACTCCCCTACAGGTTTCACAGAGACCATGGCCCTGATGACAGTTGATTTTGGACTTCTAGACTCTGGAATTATGAGACAGCAAATTTCTGTGGTTTTGTTTTGAGACGGAGTCTCACTCTGTCACCCAGGCTGGAGTGCAGTGGTGCAATCTTGGCTCAGTGCAACCTCCCAGGTTCATGCAATTCTCCTGCCTCAGCCTCCTGGCTAGCTGGGATTATATGTGTGCACCACTACACCTGACTAAGTTTTTTGTATTTTTAGTAGAGACAAAGTTTCACCACGTTGGCCAGGCTAGTCTTGCACTCCTGACCTCAGGTGATCTGCCCGACTCGGCCTCCCAAAGGCCGGGATTACAGGCGTCAGCCACCGCACCCAGCCAAATTTCTGTGGTTTTAAGCCACCTAGTTTGTGGCAACTCTAAGAAACTAATATTTAGGGTAAGGTCAAGGTTCATTTTTGTCTGGTATGGATGTCATTTGCCATCATCCGGCACGTGCTAAAAGACTTTCCTTTCCCGCACCGGACTGTTCTGGTGCCTCTGTTAAAAATCAAATGACTATAAAGTCACATCACATAAGCCCCTTAATTTTGTTCTCTTTCAAGTTTACTTTGGATGTTCTAGGTCCTTTGCATTTCCATATACGTTTTATTTATTTATTTATTTGAGGCAAAGTCTCACTCTGTTGCCCAGGCGGGCGTGCAGTGGCATGATCTTGGCTCACTGCAACCTCCACCTCCGGGTTCAAGTGATTCTCATGCCTCAGCCTCCCAAGTAGCTGGGATTACAGGTGTGTGCCACCATGTCTGGCTAATTTTTGTATTTTTTGTAGAGACGGGGTTTCGTCATGTTAGCCAGGCTGGTCTCAAATTCCTGACCTCAAGTCATCTGTCTGCCTCAGCCTCCCAAAGTGCTGGTTTACAGGCATAAGCCACCGTGCCCAGCTTCCATATACATTTTACAATCAATTTCTACAAAAAAAACCCTGCAGTTATGACTGGGGTTATGAATCTACAGTTCAATGAAGGGAGAACTGACACTGTAAAGACACTTAGTCTTTCAGCTGATGAACATGGTACAACATTCCATTTATTTAGGTCTTTAATTTCTTTCAGCAACATTTTCAGTTTCAGCGTGTAAATCTTGTACATTTCTTATTAAATTATTCCTAACGATATTGCATTTGAAATTTCATTTCTGATTAGTTTTTGAATGATCTCGTACCCTGAGACCTTGCTGAATTCACTTTTTAGTTCTAGCAGGTTCTGATAGTTTCTTTCACATTTTCGACATTACCTACAAATAGAAACAGTTTTACTTCCTTTAAATATTAATGCCTCTTATGTTTTTTCTTGCCTCATTATACTGGCTATGACCTCTAGTATAATGTTGAATAGAAGTGGTTAGAGTGGACATCTTTGCCTTTTTCCTGATTTTCGGGGTAACATGTTCAATATTTCACAATTAAGTACAATCTATCTGTAGCTCTTTCATACATGCACTTCCTCTATTTCTAATCTGCTGAATTTTTATCATGAAAGGGCACTGAATTTTGTCAGATGCGTTTTCTGTATTTATTGAATAGACTATATGGTTTTTCTCCTTTATTATCTTTTTTTTTTTTTTTTTTTTTTTTTGATACTGGGTCTCACTGTTGCCCAGGCTAGAATGCATTGGCGTGATCTCAGCTTACTGCAACCTCCGCCTCTTGGTTTCAAGGATTCACCTGCCTCAGCCTCCCGAATAGCTGGGACTAAAGGTGCGTGCCACCCTGCCCGGCTAATTTTTCTATTTTTAGTAGAGACAGGATTTCACTATGTTGGCCAGGCTGCTCTCAAACTCCTGGCCTCAAGTGATCTGTCCACCTCGGCTTCTGAAAGTGCTGGGATTACAGGTGTGAGCCACCGCACCCGGCCTCCTTTATTATCTTAATGTGGTGAATTACACCAACTGATTTTTGAATGTTGAAGCACACTCGTGTTTCTGCGAAAAGCCTCTTGGTTGTAATATGCAGGCGCACCTCATTTGATTGTGCTTTGCTTTACTGTACTTCGCAGATACTGAGTTTTTAACAAATTGAAGGTGTGTGGCAACCCTGCATCAAGCAAGTTTACCAGTGCCATTTTTCCAATAGCATGTGCTTACTTCATGTCTCTGTCACATTTTGGTAATTTTCACAATGTTTCAAATTTCTCATTATTATATTTGTTATGGTGATCTGTGATCAATGCTCTCTGATGTTACTACTATCATCATTTTGCGGCACCACAAACTGCACCCATAAAAGATGGCAAACTTGGCCGGGCGGGGTGGCTCACGCCTGTAATCCCAGCACTTTGGGAGGCTGAGCCGGGCAGATCACCTGAGGTCAGGAGTTGGAGACCAGCCTGGCCAACATGGTGAAACCCCGTCTCTACTAAAAATACAAAAAACAAGCTGGGCGTGCTGGCACATGCCTGTAGTCCCAGCTACTCGGGAGGCTGAGGCAGGAGAATCGCTTGAATCCAGGAGGCAGAGACTGCAGTGAGCCGAGATTGCATCACTGCACTCCAGCCTGGGTGATGGAGTGAGACTCCATCTCAAAAAATAAAAAAAATAAAAAAGGTGGCAAACTTGGCCAGGCGGCAGTGGCTTACGCCTGTAATCCCCGCACTTTGGGAGGCCAAGGCGGGTGGATCACTTGAGGTCAGGAATTCGAGACCAGCCTGGCCAACATGGCAAACCCTGTCTCTACTAAAAAATATAAAAATTAGCTGGGTATGGTGGCGCACGCTTGTAATACCAGCTACTCGGGAGGTTGAGGCAGGAGAATTGCTTGAGCCCAGGAGGCAGAGGTTGCAGTGAACTGAGATCATGCCACTGCATGCCAGCCTGGGTGACAGAGCAAGACTGTCTCAAAAAAAAAAAAGAAAAAGAAAAAGAAAAGATGGCAAAACTTAAGTGATAAATGTGTATATTCTGACTACTCCACCAATCAGCTGTTCCCCCATCTCTCTCTCTCTCCTTGGGCCTCCCTATTCCCTTGGACAAGACAGTACTGAAATTAGGCCAATTAATAACCCTACAATGGCCTCTAAGCATTCAAGTAAAAGGAAGAGTCATATGTCTTTCTCTTTAAACCAAAAACCAAATGATCAGGCTTAGTGAGAGGCATGTTGAAAGCCGAGAAGCCAAAAGCTAGGCCTCTTGTACCAAAGTTAGCCAAGTTGTGAATCAAAGTTCTTGAAGGAAACTAAAAGTGCTACTCCAGTGAACACACAAATGATATGAAAGTGAAATAGCCTTATTACTAATAAACGTTAAGGAAGTTTTAATGGTCTGGATAAAAGATCAAATCAAACACAACATTTCCTTAAGGCAAAGCCTAATCTAGTGCAAGGCCCTAACTCTCTTCAATTCTATGAAGGCTGAGAGAGGTGAGGAAGCTGCAAAGTGTATTGTTTAATTTTTAAATATTTGGGGCTTTCTCTGGATCTTCCATTATTTCTTTTTTTTCCCCCCACTCACTCTGTTGTCCGGGTAGGAGTACAGTGGCACAACCACAGCTCACTGCAGCTTCAAACTCTTAGGTTCAAGCAGTCCCTCCACCTCAGCTTCCTGAGTAGCTGGGACTACAGGCGAGCGCCGCCATGCCCAGCTATTTATCGTAATATTGGTATTATAATTTTGTAATTTTATGTCTATTACAAGATAAAGCAAATAAGTAACTATGTTAACATTAGTAAGACCCAACATTTTCAGTGTAAGGAAAAGATATATACAGATCAAATAAAAGTTGGCCAGGCATGGTGGCTCACACCTGTAATCCCAGCACTTTGGGAAATCGAGATGGGAGGATCACTTGAGGCCAGGAGTTCGAGACCAGCCTGGGCAACGCAACGAGACCCCCCATCTCTACAAAAAATTTTTAAAAATTAGCTGGGCATGGTGATATGCACCTGTAGTCTTAGCTACTCGGGAGGCTGAGGGAGGAGGATTGTTTGAAGCCTAGGCATTTGAAGCTGCAGTGAATTAGGATTGTACCACTGCACCACTCCAGCCTGGGCAATAGAGCAAGACCCTGCCTCAAAAAAAAGAAAAAAAAAAAAAAAAGTTAAGGAAGAACCCTGTAATGTTAAATTGCCATAGAAGACATCATTATGTATTTATGACTTAAAAAAAAAATGGAGGGCACAGTGGCTCACATCTGTAATCCCAGCACTTTGGTTTTTTTATTTTTCTTTTGTGAAAATATTTACCAGCAGTTTGCCCTGACAGATGTAATCCCAGCACTTTGGGAGGCTGAGGTGGGAGGATCGCTTGAGCTCAGTTCGAAACCAGCTTGGGCAACATAGTGAGACCTTGTCTCTACAAAAAAATTAAAAATAAAAAATAAAAACTGAATATATTTTCTAGCGATGTCCTCTGAAAGTGCCTAGATATAATGTTACCCCAGTAAGAATCAGCACATTTAGTACCCACATGTTGGATTCTAAATACCGTTGCCACTATAAGGAACCAGAGCTCCTTGGAATCAGTTCTAGGACACGAAAAGCACATATTGGGATGGAATATCTTGTGCCAGAAAACAAGAAATTGCTCAAAGACTAATTAATGAGGGTATGCCAGGAGAATATAGGAACCAACATGAAGGGACTCTTGTTGACCCAATTTGAATTGTAAAACATTTAATAAATAAATCCCTATGAGTCCATATTGACATGAAAGAGAAAAGGAAACACAACAGCAAATATTTTGCCACCATTTGAGGTGATTATTCTACCAACTCCTTACTCTGAAATGTAATAAAGGCAAAGATTAAGCATCTATACTGTCTTTTTAGGAGGAAATATAATGCCTCCTTATTTGATGAGGGAAAATTCATTACAGAGGAATGACAGTACTAAATGTAGAAGAGGTGACAATTAAAAAAACTATCATTTTGCAACCCCCAATGTAATAATGGTTTCAGGCAAGGATCAATGAATGCTAAAATAATTATGCAAATGGCTGTTGGGCAATAGGATATTTGTATGGTGCCAAAGCATCACATCACAGATTATATATCAATTACCACAGGAAAACTGTATGTCTACAATGGGGAGATTTGGCAGTCACCTCCTTCTTTAATCAAGTGTTAAAACGTAGCATCACAAACCACAGGGTAACCAACCATTAAGTGCCTGGTGAGCTGATGCTATATGAAGTACACAGTACTGCCTATGAAATATTCTTGCCCAAAATGTTTAACCTGAACATGCCTGTAGACCTAACTTCTTGTCTACAAGTAATATATATGGACAAACAAGTTAAATTATATCACAAGAAAAGAGAGACATCTAAAATGTGGGCCAGCTAGTCGTGGTGGCACAAGCCTGTAGTCCCAGCTACCTGGGAGGCTGAGGCAGGAGGATTACTTGAGGCCAGGAGTTCAAGGCCAGCCTAGGCAACATAGTGACACGCCATCTCTAAAAATATGTATCTTAAAATGTGGGCCCTTCTAGATGACAATTGGGCTGACTGCTTCAAAAAGTCAGTATCACAAGTGAAGGAGAGGTGGGTAGGCTGTTCTTGTTAAAAGAGACAAAGGGGCTGGGCATGGTGGCTCACGCCTATAATCCTAGAACTTTGGGAGGCCGAGGCGGGCAGATCACTTGAGGTCAGGAGTTCAAAACCAGCCTGGCCAACATGGTTTAGTAGAAACCCTGTCTCTACTAAAAATACAAAAAAGTTAGCTGGGCGTGGTGGTGCGTACCTGTAATCCCAGCTATTTGGGAGGCTGAGGCAGGAGAATCGCTTGAACCTGGAAGGCGGAGGTTGCAGTGAGCTGAGATCACACCACTGCACTCCAGCCTGGGAGACAGCGAGACTCTGTCTCAAAATAAAATAAATAAATAAATAAGAGACAAAGGAAGCATATTCAAATGCAATGTATAAATCTTAATTGCTTTGGAGCCCCTCAACAGCGATAAGAGACATTTGGAGGAAATCTGAATTTAAAGTGGGTGCCTGATAACATTAGAGAATTATTGTTAACTTTTAAAGATGTGATCGGGGTATTGTGCTTATATTGGAAAATGTCCTTATTTTTAGGAGATGTATACTGAAGTACTTAGGGGTGAAATGTCGTGACATCTGTGAGTTCCTTTTAAATGGTGAGCAAAAAGGTATAAAAATGCACCCTATCTATACAGACCAGGAAAATACGCCAAAATGTTAACAATTGTCTAATCTAGGCAGTAGGCACACAGGCTTCACAGTAAGTTAAAAAAAAAAAAAAAAAGGTTTGGCTGAAATAAAGAATTTAACAGAAGGGATAGAAAATAAAGTCAGGAGGCTGGGTGCGGTGGCTCACACCACTTTGGGAGGCTGAGGCGGGCGGATCACTTGAGGTCAGGAGTTCGAGACCAGCCTGGCAACATGGTGAAACCCCATCTCTATTAAAAATACAAAAATTAGCCGGGCGTGGTGGTGCAGGTCTGTAATCCCAGCTACGTGGGAGGCAGAGGCAGAATTGCTTGAACCTGGAAGGCAGAGGTTGCAGTGAGCCGAGATCAGGCTACTGCACTCCAGCCTGGGTGACAGAGCAAGACTCTGCCTCAAAAAAAAAGAAAAAAGGAAAAAGAAAATAAATGCAGGAGATCTTCCAAAATTCAGAGCACCCCCCACCGCCCAATAAATGAAAAATATGAGAGAAGACAGAAGACCAATATAAGAGGTCCAAAGTTAAACAGTAGTCCCCATAGAGAAAATGAAAGCATGTAAATTAGTAATTTTTTTTTAAAAAAAAGAGTTGACAAAAGTATTCAGATTGAATGACCACAGTACAACGAGTGAACAAGACACAACTCTAGACATATTCTCATGAGATTTCAGGACACTAAAAATAAGGAGACGAAATCCTAAAAACTTCCAGGGAAGGAAGAGAAAAGAAGGGCACCTACAAAAGAACCATAATAAGATTGGCATCAGGCATTTGTTGCATTTGTTACTCTGCATACTAGAAGAGATGCCTCCAAAGTTAGGAGAAAAAATGATTTTCAACTTGGAACCCTATACTCAGCCAATCAAGTGTAAGAGTAGAAGAAAGGTATTTCAGGCATGCAGTGACTCAGAAGACCTATCTGTTACAATGCTTTTGGTTACAAGTAACAGAAAAGAAAACTGAAGCTGGCTCATTCAGTAAGAAAGTCCATCCTATCTGAGTCCCTAGCTCAGGTAGGACAGGCCCCAGCCACAGTGCAATCACCAGCTAAGCAACGGCATCAAGACCCAGGTTCTTCCCGTTTCTCTGCTCCGCCTTCCTTGGTGAGCAGGCTTTATCCTCAGGCTTTGTCCCTCAGTCTGAGGTTACAGAAGAGCCCCCAGCAACACCTTTCTCACTTACTCCAGTGAGAGAAAAAGAGAAAGTCTTCCCTGAACGTGCCATGGAAGTCCTTCCCTTCAGTCTGAGTGAACCAACTTAGATCGTATGTCCATCCTTGACCAGTAACAGTTGCCAAAGGAATGCAATGTGTGGAATGACTTAAGGATCCTTTCTGAAGTTGGGAATAAGGTAGAAAGGTGAATAATATCAGGATTCTGTTAGGAATGGGCAAAGAAGAAATGGATATGGGGTAGGTGACAACGGTATCCACTACAGTTTACTCCCCATGCACTCTATCTGAGCACATTATTTAAGGATGCAGTCCAGAAAACGAGGGAGTAAACCATGTGAAAGGAAGATATGGGTTTTAAGACACGGGCTCCAACCCAAGAGCCCAGTGAGGAGAAGGTCCAGGTACAGCTGTATATGCAACCTTAAATCAAAGAGCAGATACTTGCCCAGATTGCAGAAGGGCAGAGGCCTTCCAAGAGAAAGGTCTTCAGTGGGGAAAAAGCCGAATCGTACGAAATAAACAGCACTGCTAATAGCATTTTACAACATAATCAAGGAGGAATAGTAAACAAAATAAAAAGGCAACTAGAAATGGTGGGCAAAACAAAGAGCTATATAAGCAAGCCAAGGTTTGAATATGAAGTAGATTAAATCCTAGCAAGGATTTTAAGCAGGTGACAGAGTCTAAGAAAAGGGAATCCATTTGACCTTGATTGGTCATTCTCCTTTGAGTGGTCCAGATCTGTAAAGAAGGAAATGTAATCCTGGGCACATTCATTATTTGGTCTCGCCAAGAACAATACTCACATGTGTAATAATGTAAATAATGTTATTTTCGACTTTAGAATTAAGCTACAACTTGGCTGTGGTTGCAGGGCAGAACACACATGTTAACAAATGCAAGAATGGGTATGGTCAAGTACAGCTTTTAAGACGCAGAAGTTAAGGAGGGAAAGTGGAAGGAAAAGTAGGGTTATTAATATCCTTATCTTAAACAGAGGGGAACTGACATATGGACTAAAATACTGTTTAAAATTTACAGAGAAATGTGGGCTTGGCATGGTAGCTCACACCTGTAATCCCAGCACTTTGGGAGGCCAAGGCAGGCAGATCACCTGAGGTCAGGAGTTTAAGACCAGCCTGGCCAACATGGTGAAACCCCGCCTCTACTAAAAATACAAAAATTAGCCCAGTGCACTGGTGTGCGCCTGTAGTCCCAGCTACTCAGGAGGCTGAGGCACGAGAATTGCTTGAACCCGGGAGGCAGAGGTTTCAGTGAGCCGAGATCACATCACTGCACTCCAGCCTGGGCGACAGAGTGAGACTCCATCTCAAAAAAAAAATTACAGAGAAATGTGAATATGAATTTCAACATGGGGAGGTAACGTAAGCTAAGTCATTCTCTTTCATTTCAGGGAGTTAACACAGTTCCCTAAAGTTGGCAAATCAAGAAAGATGTATAAGCATATGATTTAATTTTGGAGGTAACCATCAAAGGAACTAAAATCAGAAACAGTTAAAAGCTGTCATGTCTGAGTCAGGGAAGGGAAGGGGAAGGGGTAGACTGCTGTTTTTACGATGACCTCTTTTGTTATATCTAACTTGTTGCCGAGTAGTTGCAATATTTTGATAAAAATTCAAAACCCAAACCACCTTACCCTTCATGTTTTCTATCGCTCTGATGTTAACATTCAAAATCCTGCATGATCCAGCCCCTGTTGACCTCTCTGATGGCCCGGACCCTTTGCCACTCTCCCCTAACCCCTCGTTCAGCTCCTGCCACACAGGACTAAGCTCTTGCCAGACTGAGGGCCTTCACACATGCTCTTCTCCATCTGGAAAGCCTTTTTCCTCTCTGCACCTTGCCCACTTCTGTTCAACCCTCGGTTCCCTGCATCGGCGTTGCCTCCTTGGGGAAGGCAGGCTGAGCTGTTCCCCCATTGTACAGTCATGAGTCGCTCAACAACAGGGATATGTTCTGAGAAATGTGTCATTGGGCGATTTATTTGTGCTAACATCAGAGAGTGTTCTTACACAAATCTAGATGGTGTAGCATACTACACACCTAGGCTATACGGTATATAGCCTATTGCTCCTGGGCTATAAAACTGTACAGCATGGTACTATACTGAATACTGTAGATCACTGGAACACAATGGTAAGTATTTGTATATCTAAACATAGAAAAGGTACAGTAAAAATATGGCATTCTAATCTTATGGGAACACCACTGTATGTGTGCTCTGTTGTCGGTTGAAACGTTGTTGTGCAGCACGTGACTGTAGAGGACTGGAGTGGCTCCCACCTCCATACTTGTCCTTCTGAACACTTAAGTACTGGTACAATTATCTAAGATCTGTCTCTGCCGCTAAAGTCAAGCTCCATGAGGACAGGTACCAAATCTGTCTAGGTTACCCCATCCCTGCCTAACACAGGGCCTGAGGTACTATAGATACCTTACTTACTCAATTGTGGAATGAATTGATGGACTATAGCCTGATGTACTGCAAATCCTTCAGCATGCAGCAGGAATGGAACTTGGTGTTTAAACTAAACTATAATGGCTAGATGAAAAAGAGACTAAATGTGAAATAATTCCATCATTCAGAATTGAGTGTTGGTATAACAAACAGACCCATGAAATATGTAGCGTTTCACAAGGATATCAGTGAGGAAGTTGTTCAATATGTCATCCGAAGTCCCGTTGCATAATGATACTTGCACACGCATGCTTATAGCAGCACAATTCACAATTACAAAAATATAGAACCAGCCCAAATGCCCATCAATCAGAAAGTGAATAGAGAAATTGTGGCATATATATACAAAGGAATACTACTCAGCCATAAAAAGGAATGACTTAATGGCATTCACAGCAACCTGGATGGAACTAGAGACTATTATTCTAAGTGAAGTAACTCAGGAATGGAAAACCAAACACTGTATGTTCTCACTCATAAGTGGGAGCTAAGCTATGAGGATGCAAAGGCATCAGAATGATACAATGGACTTTGGGGACTTGAGGGAAAGGGTGGGAGGGGGTGAGGGATAAAAGACTACAAATTGGGTTCAGTGTACACTGCTCGGGTGATGGGTGCACCAAAATCTCAGAAATCACCATTAAAGAACTTACTCATGTCACCAAATACCACCTGTTCCCCTAAAATCTATGGGAATAAAAAATTAAGAAAATAAATAAAATTTTAAAAGGAAGGTCATCCCTACACTTCAAGTTATAAAATAATTCTACCGTAAAAAAAAAAAAACACACACACACACAACAACAACAAAGTCCTGTTGCGTACCTCTGAGAGGTGTTTTGTGGCTTGGACTAGCATACTGGCAGTGCAGATGCTGAGAAGTGGTTGGCCTAACAGGACTTGCTGACAGATCAGGGATGATGAGAGAAAGAGCAGAATCAGGGCGGGTGCAGTGGCTCACGCCTGTAATCCCAGCACTTTGGGAGGCTGAGGTGGGCGGATCACAAGGTCAGGAGTTCAGGACCAGCCTGGCCAACATGGTGAAACCCCATCTCTACTAAAAATACAAAAAATTAGCCAGGCCCAGCTACTCAGGAGGTTGGGGCAGAAGAATTGCTTGAACCCGGGAGGCGGAGGTTGCAGTGAGCCAAGATTGCACCACTGCACTCCAGCCTGGATGACGAGAATGAGACTCCGTATCAAAAAAAAAAAAGAGGCCGGGCGCGGTGGCTCACGCCTGTAATCCCAGCACTTTGGGAGGCCGAGGCGGGTGGATCATGAGGTCAGGAGATCGAGACCATCCTGGCTAACAAGGTGAAACCCCGTCTCTACTAAAAATACAAAAAATTAGCCGGGCGCGGTGGCGGGCGCCTGTAGTCCCAGCTACTCGGGAGGCTGAGGCAGGAGAATGGCGTGAACCCGGGAAGCGGAGCTTGCAGTGAGCCGAGATCGCGCCACTGCAGTCCGCAGTCCGGCCTGGGCGACAGAGCGAGACTCCGTCTCAAAAAAAAAAAAAAAAAGAAAGAGCAGAATCAAGGATGACTCCTAGAATTTTGGACTGAGTAACTGGGTGGATGTTGATATTGTTTACTGAAATAGAGACAACATGAGGAATAGGTTTGAAGGGGGAAAAAAATCAAGACTGGGACTTGTTAAATTTGAGACACTTATGAGCAACTCAAGTAAATGCTGACGAGGCCATCAAATCTGGAGCTCAAGAGAGAGGTTTGAAATGCAGAAACAGGGTTGTAGCCATCAGCAGGCAGACATATCATCATTCAGAGTCATGAACATGCAGAAATAATGGAAATGCCTCTTAATTAAATGAAGGCATAGACATACAACGAAATGTTATGTGATTACTAAAAATGATGGTAGAAAAACATTATCCAGAAGTTATCTTTATCTGTAGATGACAGATTTATGGACAATTTTTACTTTTCATCTTTGCATATTTTCTGAAAATTTTTTGTCCATTGAACATGTATTACTTTTATAATAAGAAAATGCAGGCTGGGCACAGTGGCTCACGACTGTAATCCCAGCACTTTGGGAGGCCAAGGCAGGAAGATCACTTGAGGCCAGCAGTTTGAGGCCAGCCTGGGCAACATAGTGAAATCCCATTTCTGCAAAAAATATTTTAAAAATTAGCCAGGCGTCGTGACATGTGCCTGTAGTCTTAGCTATCTTGGAGGCTGAGGTAGGTGGAATACTTGAAACTGGAGGTGGAGGCTGTAGTGAGCTGTGACATCACTGCACTCCAGCCTGAGCAACAGAGCAAGAGCCTGTCTCAAAACAAAAACAAAAACAAAAAAGAAAATGCAAGTTAAGTTATTTTCATTTTAGGGAAAAGTGAAGATATACGTCTATTTTTATGGACATGGATATTTACAACATTTTGTTGAGGAAAGGTAGCAAGTTACAAAAGTACATATATGATCTCATTCATCTAAAACAACATGTGGGCCAGGCACAGAGGTGCACACTTGTAATCCCGGCACTTTGGGAGGCCGAGGCGGAAGGATCGTTTGAGCAAAGGAGTTTGAGACCAGTCTGGGCAACATGGTGAAACTCCGTCTCTACAAAAAAAATACAAAAATTAGCTGGGCATGGTAGCGGACACCTGTAGTCCCACCTACTTGGGAGGCTGATTGGGAGGATCACTTGCACCCAAGAGGTCGAAGCTGTAGTGAGCTGTGATTGCACCACTGTGCTCCAGCTTGGGCGACAGACCTTGTCTCAAAACAACAACAACATGTGTACGTGCTTACAGGCAAATAAGAAAGACTCTAGAAGGATGTTTAAAATGCCAACAGCAGGCCCAGCGTGGTGGCTCATGCCTGTAATCCTAGCACTTTGGGAGGCCGAGGTGGGCAGATCACAAGGTCAAGAGATGAAGACCATCCTGGCCAACATGGCGAAACCCTATCTCTACTAAAAATACAAAAATTAGCTGGGCATGGTGGCGCGCACCTGTAGTCCCAGCTAGTCAGGAGGCTGAGGCGGGAGAATCGCTTGAACCAGGGAGGCAGAGGTTGCAGTGAGCTGAGATCGCACCACTGCACTCCAGCCTGGCGACAGTGTGACTCTGTCTCAAAATAAATAAATAAATAAATAAATAAGTAAGTAATAAAATAAAATGCCAACAGCAAAAGTAACTTTTAGGCTATTATGCACCAACAAATTTATGTGATATCGAGAAGTGTTAAACAGTTTTAGTTGCATTACACTTTGCATAATATACACAAAACACTAAACATGTTAATAAATGTTTGATATAATAAGATGACCTAAGTTTAAGTGTAATTTTGACTCCTTTTACTGTACCTGTGTTTTCCCCCACTAACTGACTAGTCAAGTGCTGACTGGTTTTTAAGAGATGGGGTCTTGCTCTGTTGCCCAGGCTGGCCTCAAACTCCTGGGCTCAAGTGATTTTCCCACCTCAGCCTCCCAAGTAGGTGGAACTACAGGTGTGCATCACCATACCCGGCTTAACGTCTGTTTTTATATTTGTAGCCACATGGTACAAAGTACAGAACAGGTGTTCTTAACCTTTTTCTGCCATGGACCCTTTTGGCCTTCTGGACCCCTCCTCAGAAGAATGTTTTGAAATGTGTAAAATGCACAGAAATTAACAACATATTTCAAGAGTTCGTTCTCAAATAATATGTGCTTCTTCAGTAAATCATTAAATAACCAGATCTAGAGATGGGTCTAATAATTACCTTAAGTTTGAAGCAGTGATGGACATATATATTTCAAAATATCTGTAACAACTATAATATGATATGAAAGTATCTTTGATCTCTACTGGTGACAGTCACTGCTATTCTAATACTACCATGATCTGTTGCTTACAATTGTCATTGAAGAAAATGTGGATTTTTTTTTTTTTTTTTGAGACAGAGTCTCGCTCTGTCGCCCAGGCTGGAGTGCAATGGTGTGATCTTGGCTCACTGCAACCTCTACCTTCCGGGTTCAAGTGATTCTCCTGCCTCAGCCTCCGGAGTAGCTGGGATTACAGGCGCCCACCACCATGCCCGGCTGATTTTTGTATTTTTAGTAGAGACAGGATTTCACCATGTTGGTCAGGCTGGTCTCAAACTCCTGACCTCAGGTGATCTGCCTGCCTCAGCCTCTCAAAGTGCTGGGATTACAGGCATGAGCCACCACACCCGGCTGGATTTTTTTTTTTTTTAAAAGACAGGGTCTTGCTATGTTGCCCAGGCTGGTCTCAAACTCCTGGGCTCAAGTGATCTGCCCTCCACGGGCTTCCAAAGCACTGGGATTACAGGCACGAGCCACCATGCCCAGCTAAAAATCTGGGTTTTCAGAGACATTAGTGAAAATAAAGAGTGAATGTTTTTCCCATCCAAGGTCACAGACCCGGCTGAATTCTCAACCAAAGTTGGAGGCCTTGGTCTAGAAAGATACATACCAAATATTAACAGCAGTTTTTTTTTTTTTTGGATAGTGGAATCGCCAGAGTGATTCTATTTTGTTTTATGATATTTTTGTAGAGATAGGGTCTCAATATGTTGCTCAGGCTGGTCTTGAACTCCTGGGCTCAAAAGATCCTCCCACCTTGGCCTCCCAAAGTGCTGGGATTACAGGCGTGAGCCATGGCATGCCTGGCCTAATTTTTTATCTTTGTACCTATACGCATTTTCAAAGTTTTGTACAATGATGTTTTACAATTAAAATTTATAAGAGCTTAATAAATACTATGTATTTGTTTGTCTTAAACAACCTGGAAGGATGACTAGGAAATTTTATACAACTGACTACAGATGTTCAACCTTCTATAACTACTTAAGTGTTATGATGACTCTAATCATTCCCATGTTCTTACAAGCCAAGAAAAAAACTCACTAGAATTATTTATTCTGGAGTTAAAAAGAACAAAAAAACAAACTGTCACAACTGCAGACATTTGTCTATTTTTTTGCCAAGTGTAATTCCAAAAACAGCTGAAAATATTAGAACAAATTAGTACTTAATATGGACTAATACCTTCTGCTGTTTACAAAAACACAAAACCCGGAAGTACACAGAAACTTGTATTTTAAAAATAAGTTATTGTGTGTAGAAAGACTTAAAATACAACTTATCTAAGTAATGCCAAAACTTACATACCACCAGACAAAGTGCTTTAATGCTTTATTTTTATTTTTTTGAGACAGAGTCTCGCTCTGTCACCTAGGCTAGAGTGCAGTGGCTCGATCTCTGCTCACTGCAACCTCCACCTCCTGGGTTCAAGCAATTCTCCTGCCTCAGCCTCCCGAGTAGCTGGGATTACAGGCGCCCGCCACCATGCCCGGCTAATTTTTGTATTTTTAGTGGAGATGGGGTTTCACTATATTGGCTAGGCTGGTCTTGAACTCCTGACCTCAAGTGATCTACCCGCCTCGGCCTTCTAAAGTGCTAGGAATATAGGCGTGAGCCACCACACCCGGCCGAAAATGCTTTAATGTTTTAAAAAATGAGTCATACATAGAAAGTAAGCACATGCTTGAAAGTGCTCATGTTCAAGTTTTAGCAGCAATGTGGAATGTTGCAAAAGAGACAGGGACACAGGGAAATGTGCATATCTCAGAAGCCTACTTTGCTTTCTTTCAAATCTAAAAATAAAACCTTTGGACTGCCCTATTAATAAGTCTAGAAAATGGATGCTTTTTTTGTGGAAAGCTTTCGCAAACATGGAAATAAAAATATCTTCTTCTCGGTTAACAGGACTAAAGGATGTAAACATAAACCAGATGCCAATCCTTGTTTCTCTACAATCCCCTTCTCCCTCATGGCTCTGGACAGGCTTCTATTGTAAAACTATTTCTATGGCACAAGGAGACATATCAAATGAATGAACATTGGTCTGCACGGAGCAGTACAGACCAGGTTCAAAAGTCAAATGTTGAGTGAAAAGAGTAAGTTGTAGGATGTTCCACATAGTAGGATATCATCCAGTAAATTTGCAAAACACTTTATTCCATGTTGTCATGTGTAATACAACAAAAACCTTGCATGGGGAGTATCTCGGTGACCTTTAGGGAGCAGGCTACCTTGGGGAAGCAGGGCAGACAAAGAGTGCAACCACAGGGCTGGGAATTCAGCTGAATCTGTCCTATTTGAGTTCCATAGTAAGAGGGCTGACAGGAATACGACCAACTGATAACATTTCCTAAGTCTGGGTGAAAAGTACCCAAACAGCTACTACTTGAGCTGAGCGTAGAAGCCAGGAAGGAAGAGGGCGGGGGAAGACAGGACCTTAGAATGACGCCAGGAAGAATGGTGGAAGAGCTGACAGCATGGAGGAAGAGCTGGGAACAGCGCTTAGGGCCCACCTCCTGAGCCCAGGCTTGGGGAGTTACAGCAGTGCTGTCCACAGGGGCTCATCAGAGTGGACCTGGTACTTGACAAGACAGGAGTCAGCTTGCTCACACACTGCTTCCTTTACCATCAAAGTCTTATGTAAAAATAAAAAATAAAAAATCAGTAGAACTAAGCAGCGTACTTTGTACCACAGCTGACTCCCATTCCATGTAAGCTCCTGACCTTCTCACAGCCCAGCACTTTCGTGCATTAGACAATGAACTGTGCTGGAGAAGATGATGCCTGTTCCCATGAGTCTCCCAGGTCTCCTGGGACAGAAGTGAAGGGAAAGAAGGGTCCATGAAGAGACCTGGAGTGGAGTGGGAGCCCCAGGGGCCCAGTGGATAGGGTGGGGTGGAAAAGGACAGCATAGATGGGCAGAGCACCTCACGCTGCCTTCTGGGGCCCAGGGAACATCTAAGAGTGTGACGGGGCCTGGAAAGAAAGCCGAGCCTGGCCGGGCGTGGGGGCTCTCACCTGTAATCCCAGCACTCTGGGAGGCCGAGACGGGTAGATCACCTAAGGTCAGGAGTTTGAGGCCAACATGGTGAAACTCCGTCTCTACTAAAAATACAAAAATTAACCGGGCATGGTGGCGGGTGCCTGTAATCCTAGCTGCTTGGGAGGCTAAGGCAGAAGAATTGCTTGAACCCTGGAAGTGGGGGTTGCAGTGAGCCGAGATCATGCCATTGCACTCCAGCCTGGGTGACAGAGAAAGACGTCTCAAAAAAAAAAAAAAAAAAAAAGAAAGAAAAAAGAAAAAAAGAAAAATGCTCCTCTCCACATGTCCTGGCTGGTTGTTCATGCCTCGTCTTCACACAGTGGACTCTCTGAATGGGCCTGAGAGATTCTCTCCTGTCAGAGCCTCTACACATGCTGGTCCTTCCAAAAGACTCATGCATCTCTCCCCACTGATGCTTTGTCCTTGACCTAGCTAATGTTTCCTTGCTGTTCAGGTCTTAGATGCCATTTTTCAAAGAAGTCTCCTCCCTGACCTACCTCCCAATTCTTGGTAGGATCTCCTCTGATTTTTATGTGCTCCCTTAGTGGCTGGAACTTCTCTCCATCACAGAAGTTAGCCTCTTGTAAAGTCATAGCCCATTTGCCTGTCTGTACCTCCCATTAGACCAGAAGACTGCTGAGGGTAGGATAGTTTCCAGCAGCTAGCACAGTAACTGACACATAATAAATGCTCAATTAGTACAGCTTAAAAAAGTACTGCTATATAAAGAGTTCAACAGTCACAGAACAACAAAGCAACCACAGCCTGTTCCTGAATACTTCTAGGACACCTCTTATGCATATTACAGCATGAGGAGGCAGAAGGTCCAGCAGCAGAGGGAGATTCTCCAACCCCGAGTACCAAGGAACTACCACAACCTAGAATGGTCCCAAAATAAAAATGCTCCACTTTCTTCAAGGTTCACAAACAAGAACTGGGCAAGTTCCCCTTGTCGAGTAAAAAGGTCCTTCCCTCACATGCCCTACTCAGATGAGGTCACTTTTGATGAAATGGAAGTTTCCAAAGTTTTGCTTTCTAGTGCTAACTGCTAAAAACTTCTTCCTAGCCTAACAGCTCTGTGATCTCTACAAACAGTATTGCAGTGATAAATTCGTATGCTTATCTACTTACACGCAACTTTTTCTCTAATGGTCTGCAAATAAAAGGCTACTCTTGTCGGGCTCCATGGCTCATGGTTGTAATCTCGGCACTTTGGGAGGCCAAGGCAGGAGGATTACTCAAGCCCAAGGAGTTCAAGACCAGCCTGGGCAACACAGTGAAACCCCGTGTCTACCAAAAATAAAAATAAAAATAAAAATAAAAAATTTAGCCAGGCATGGCGGCACATCCCTGTAGTCCCAGCTACAAGAGAGCCTGAGGTGGGAGGATCACATCAGCCCCGGAGTTCAAGGCTGCAGTAAGCTATGATCATGCTGTTGCACTCCAGTCTGGGTGATGGAGTGGGATCCTGTCTCTAAAAAAACATTAAAAAAAATAAGTAAAAAATTTAAAAACTGGTTAAATAAATTGTGGTACATCCATAACAGACTATTTAAACCCAACCCTTAAAAGGAATGATACGGCTCTGTATGAACCGATTCTAAATAATCTACAGGATACATTAAAATAAACAAATGTGCACAATATTTTATAGTATGTGTAAAAACACAACGCCCACATACCCTTGTGTATTTATACACACATGTAAAATATATACACAAACCTAAACACACAAAAATATGTCCAATAGAGACAAAGAGTAGAATAGTAGTTGCCAGAGGGTGGGGTGGGGGAAAGGGGAGAAGTGGGAGTTAGTGTTTAATAGGTATGAAATTTCAGTTTTGCAAGACGAAAGGTTGTAGAGATGGATGGTAGTAATGGCTGTACAACAATGTGAATGTACTCAGTGCCACTGAACTGTACAGTTAAGATGATTAAAACTGTAAATTGTTATATATATCGATATATATTTTTTGAGACGGAGTCTCGGTCTGTCGCCCAGGCTGGAGTGCAGTGACGCGATCTCGGCTCACTGCAAGCTCCGCCTCCTGGGTTCACGCCATTCTCCTGCCTCAGGCTCTCAGAGTAGCTGGGACTACAGGCGCCCGCCACCATGCCCGGCTAATTTTTTGTATTTTTAGTAAAGACGAGGTTTCACCGTGCTCGCCAGGATGGTCTCGATCTCCTGACCTCGTGATCAGCCTGCCTCGGCCTCCCAAAGTGCTGGGATTACAGGCGTGAGCCACCACGCCCAGCCTGTTATATATATTTTATAATAAAAATTTAACACACGGGTACACACACGCTTTTTTTTTTGAGATGGAGTCTCATTCTGTTGCCAGGCTGGAGTGCAGCGGCGTGATCTCAGTTCACTGCAACCTCTGCCTCCCAGGTTCAAGCGATTCTCCTGCCTCAGCCTCCCGAGTAGCTGGGACTACAGGTGCCCGCCACCATGCCCGGCTAATTTTTTGTATTTTTAGTAGAGATGGGGTTTTACCATGTTGGCCAAGATGGTCTCGATCTCTTGACCTCATGATCCACCCACCTCCACCTCCCAAAGTGCTAGGATTACAGGCGTGAGCCACCGTGCCCGGCCACAATTTTTTTTTTTTTTTAAAGAAACAGGTAATAGTGGCTGCCTCCAGGGAAAGAAATGAATGTTTGGGGCAGGGTAGCAGAGATACTTTACAATATAACTCTTTTTTTTTTTTTTTTGAGACGGAGTTCCGCTCTTGTCGTCCAGGCTGGAGTGCAACGGCATGATCTTGGCTCACTGCAACCTCTGCCTCCCAGGTTCAGGCGATTCTCCTGCCTCAGCTTCCCAAGTAGCTGGGACTACAGGCACGCACCACCACGCTTGGCTAATTTTTGTATTTTTAGTGGAGACGGAGTTTCACCATGTTGGCCAGGCTAGTCTCGAATTCCTGACCTCAAGTGATCAAGCTGCCTCAGCCTCCCAAACTGCTGGGATTACAGGCATGAGCCACCATGCCCAGCCCCATATAACTTTTTTCTATTATTATTTTTCTGAGATGGAGTCTCACTCTGTCGCCCAGGCTGGAGTGCAATGGCACGATCTTGGCTCACTGCAACCTCTGCCTCCTGGGTTCAAACGATTCTTCTGCCTCAGCCTCCCGAGTAGCTGGATTACAGGTGCATACCACCAAGCCCAGCTAATTTTTGTATTTTTAGTAGAAATGATGTTTCGTCATGTTGGCTAGGCTGGTCTCGAACTCCTGACCTCAGGTGATCCACCCACCTCGGCCTCCCAAAGTACTGGGATTGCAGGCGTGAGTCACTGTGCCCAGCCCCGTATAACTTTTTACACCACCTTTTTAATTCCGTATTGTCCATCTAACTATTCAAAAAATCATTTAAAAAACCCCGGCCTTATACAAGAAGTCTTTTCCTTAATCGTGTCATTTATTCTATCCCTCTTCCTTTAAGTAAAAAATATTTTCAATCAAAATCAGAATTCGACTTCAGCTTTGAGGGTATTTATTAGATTCAAATAATGCAATTTATAAAAATTACACTTGCTACCCTAAAAATATATTCACTAAAAGCCTTTTCTTTTTTTCTTTTTTCTTTTTTTTTTTTTTTAAAGAGACAGTGTCTTACTCTAAAGAACGAGGCTGCCCAGGCTAGAGTACAGGAGTACAGTGGTGTGATGATGGCTCACTGTAGCCTAAAACTCCTGGGCTCATGGGATCCTCTCACCTCATCCTCCCGAGTAGCTGGGACTACAGGCATGAGCCACCATGCCTGGCCCCTCTATTTTTATCAGGTGTTACAGAAAAGCTTCAAAATCATCATGGAAGAAAATTATCATTTTTACCAGTACAAAACTTTTATTGCATCCCAACCAAGCTAAGATGAATACAGAATTGTTTCAACAGAAGTTACCATTATCATAATTCAAGACAAAAATCAGCCGGCAATTACATGAGTTGGAAAACAAACTACTCTTATGTCACAGTCTACCCTAAAGCTCCAACTTATGTCAGAATTTAAAATACACACACATATACACAACCCTGTGGATTCCTCCTCATTTATGTAAAACCTACTTTTGTGATGATCTGCTATTTTCTTGAGTCTTCTGGAATGAACACTGTAGCCCCACTCCCGGATAAGGAGAAGATACCACTTCCAGGGCTTAGCACTGCCCCTGGCTTGAAGCAGATACTCAAATATTTGTTGGGTGAATGAATGATTGTCTGCTGATAGGGCTGCCCATCAAGCCTCATAAAGAAAAAATTCAGAAAAAAGCAACTTTATAGAGAAAATAGGAAAAAGTTTAAGAGATATTTTGCTCACTTGAAGAAATCAGCATTTGTTAAAGGTGAAGACTGGATTGACTGGTTCATCAAGTGGCTTAGACACAACTGACTAAGTGGGCTATACCTTATCCCACCCCAAAGTTAAATACAAAACAGGTATTTTTTTTTTTAATCACAGGAAAAACACAGGGCAACTTAACTATAAAATTATTATTTTTATTTTTTATTTTTGAGACAGAGCCTCACTCTATCGCCCAGGCAGGAGTGCAGTGGCGTGATCTTGGCTCACCGAAACTTCTGCCTCCTGGGTTCAAGCGATTCTCCTGCCTCAGTCACCCCAGTAGTTGAGATTACAGGTGCCCGCCACCACGCCTGGCTAATTTTTGTATTTTTAGTAGAGACGGGATTTCACCATCTTGGCCAGGCTGGTCTTGAACTCTTGACCTCAGGTGATCCACCCGCCTCAGCCTCCCAAAGTGCTGGGATTACAGGCATGAGCCACCGCATCTGGCCCTTTTGTATGTATTAAATACGTATGTATGAATATAATACATCATCAGGTTTTTTAGGAAGAAAATATAGATGACTATTGATCTGTTGTTAAGAGTAGGAAAGGATTTCCTGGCGGGGCGCGGTGGCTCACGCCTGTAATCCCAGCACTTTGGGAGGCAGAGACGGGCGGATCACAAGGTCAGGAGATCGAGACCAGCCTGGCTAACATGGTGAAACCCTGTCTCACAAATACAAAAAAATTAGCCAGGCGTGGTGGCGGGCGCCTGTAGTCCCAGCTACTCGGGAGGCTGAGGCAGGAGAATGGAATGAACCCGGGAGATGGAGCTTGCAGTGAGCCAAGATCACGCCATTGCACTCCAACCTGGGCGACAGAGCGAGACTCCGTCTCAAAAAAAAAAAAAAAAAAAAAAAAAAGAGTAAAAAAGGATTTCCTAAGTATGAAAGCAAAAGAATAAATCATAACATAAATTTTATATATCAGAAAGACAAGAATCAAGACGTAAGACAAAACAGGAAAATATCTGCATGACAAAGAGTTAACATCTTTAATACATTAAGAGCTATGACAATGATTATTGAGGTTTAGCCTCAGTAATAATCCAAGCGGCACCAATTTAAAAGATGTATATCCAATTCTGGGACGATATGGGAAAATGGCACTTTCTCAGACTGTTGTGGGAACTGGGATAGCCATTTTGGACAGTGATGTGGTGGTATCCACCAGAAATTCCAAGTCTAGGCAGCCATTCTTCAAAATGACTGGCACATGAGGAATTTCAATCCTGTAGCATTTTTAATAACATAGAGAGACAACGAAATGCATGACGGTAAGTCAGCCCTGGACTACACTGCTATTTAAAAGAAATGAGGCAGAGATGAATATATGAGATGGAAAAATGCAGAATATGTATATATAACACCATCCTGAGGCCAGGCACGGTGGCTCACGCCTGTAATCCCAGCACTTTGGGAGGCCAAGGCAGGTGGATCGCCTGAGGTCAGGAGTTCGACACCAGCCTGGCCAACATGGTGAAACCCATCTCTACTAAAAATACAAAAATTAGCTGGGTGTGGTGGCAGGCGCCTGTAATCCCAGCTACTCAGGAGGCTGAGGCAGGAGAATCACTTGAACCCAGGAGGTGGAGGTTGCAGTGAGCCAAGATTGTGCCACTGTACTCCAGCCTGGATGACAGAGCAAGACTCCATCTCAAAAAAAGAAAAAACAAAACAAAACAAAAACCCTCCTGTTAATTACAACACAAAAAGTACACAGTTTAGTCTTAGAAGACTTAGAAGGATCTACATTAAGCTATTAACAGCAGTTATTCTGGGTAGTGGGAGCAGAGATTAAGCGGGGAGCTTTCATTTTTTTACCTGATACTTTTTTTTTTTTTTTTTTTTGAGACCGAGTCTCACTCTGTCACCCAGGCAGGAGTTCAGTGGTGTGATCTTGGCTCACTGCAACCTCCGCCTCCCAGGTTCAAGTGATTCTCCTGCCTCAGCCTTCCGAGTAGCTGGGACTACACGCTCAAGCCACCATGGCCAGCTAATTTTTGTATTTTTAATAGAGATGGGGTTTCGCCGTGTTAGCCAGGCTGGTCTCGAACTCCTGACTTCAGGTGATCCACCCGCCTAGGCCTCCCAAAGCGCTGTGATTACAGGCATGAGCCACCTTGCCCAGCCACCTGATCAATTTTTAAGTGGTTTGATTTTTCTATAAATCCATGTATTATTTTAGTAATTCTTTAAAAAGTAAAAGAAGAAAAATAGATATCAAGCATTTATCTACTAAAGACGGGTACTGTCCTTTGAGAATTCCCTCAAAAGTTCTTTGAAGCTCAAATGGCTACATCTTTCCCATTCATAAGATACTTTTTAAATTTCCTCTTTCTACATTTCTTTTTAAAAGTTTATTTTCAATTAGCTTCCTCAGGTTGAACTCTCTGTACATTTCTTAGGAGAAACTGTATGGTGTCAACACTGCCTGTTTTATAACATCCATTCGTAATCTGTAATCTGAGAAAAAGACTCGTAAAAACCCAAACCACCCTCCAGGCCTAACATCTTCCAGAAGAAACCCATTCACTGCCCATATTACATTTAGTCCACACAATTTCTGAGACAAAGCACAAAGCACTAGCCATACAACTCCCACCAGCATAAATACGTGGAGTACAAAGAATGTCCTGTCAGCTGGGCCCAGAGCACACCCCACAGCAGTAAAAGAGAATGACAATTTGAGTCACAGGATCAGGAGCAGAATCAAATTTGGGACTTGAGGCAGTGTGATGCTCTTCTGGTCTTCCGCTTCCTTCCACACCTTCTATTCTCCTTCAGCCAAACCTTGCCCTCACATAATCCCTAAGCAGGCTATTTCTTATGGATGTCTACAACAGCTTCACACTGAGGTGTCAGAAACCACTAGAGAGACAACAAAGAACGACTTAGGGTCTCAGTCGGAATCACAATGGCCGCATAAGTGAAAACTCACATTTTTGCTTAGGGGAAAAAAAATGGGAAAATTCAATTGGAACATTCTGCTTTACCACACAGAAGTTCTGAAATCCACATGTCAAAACATCAAATGCGGAGTGACCACTAATCAAAAAGACAAAACAAAACAACAACAACAACAACAACAACAAACAGCTTGAGATGTTGAGCCTGAAGGTTGAGAAATTAAGGAACCATTCATTTTTACAAAACTAAAGTCCACACAATGGTGCCAAGTAGTTCAAACTGCAGCTGATACAGCACCTGAGTGTCAGACCTAGAATGACTGGGGCCCCCAGGTTTTTACAAAGTACTCATCCTCCTCTAGAGTCCCAAGAACCAGATGTATATCTGGGTACTCTCTTTAGTTACCATGGGAGGAGTGTAGCAAGCACATGACATTAGCCATGGCCCCCGGTGTTCTGAGACAGCTTTCAGGAGGGTGTCCTTCTAGGGAACCAACCACATACCAGTTCCCATATCTGAAAATGCATTACCACTGCTCACTAATGTTGACCACTAAGCCATTTACCCCAAACCAAAGCAAACACATGCTGAAGACCGCTAAGGCAACAGCAGCAGCGCAAAAGGGCTCAGTGCAAGCGCTCTCAGCTCAGCTGACCTGCTTCAAGGTGAACTGAAGTTGCAGATCACCAGTTCCGGCTCTAATCTGACGCCCGCCCCCAGATCACGCTGTGGCGACCAAGTAACCCTACACACACTGACCTTTCAGGGCTCAGGGAAGTGACTTTTTTTTATTATATGGCACAGTTTGGCACAGTTATGTCTTTAGTCTTTGGGGTACTTTTATACTGTCCAAGAGTAGTATATTTTTTTCCTCTTTTCCTTTTTTTTTTTTTTTTAAAAAAAAAAAAAACAGATGGCCAAACCAGGACATATACTAAAAAAAAAAAAAGGAAGGTTACTTACCTGAGCCCTAACATCCCAGCTACCATGGAATCCTGTTGGAGCTGGTCTACAGAAGCAAGGTGTATTCTGGGGAGTCACATGTCACATCAAAGCAGGAACTGGTGAGTCTGTATTTTTATGGAGCCTAAAACAAAGAAAATTGTAAGTTGAAAGCCCCCATTGAGCTGCACGACCTTTTTCCCAGGGCTATTTGGGACATTTTGAAGATAAACACATAGACAAAGTACTAGGCTATTTCCCAGCTTACCTAGCTAGAAACAAAGGATAAGCTGCAAATTACTGGCACGTAACACACAGTGCTAAAATAAAGGAAAGATTCATGCTTGTTAGAATCAACACTATCACAAGCCTTGTCACCTCTAGGGGACACTTCGACACTACAAAAGCATACCATGAGTGGCGATTTCTGGCAAGTATTTCTTCTACCACGGCACACAGAAATTCTCAGGGAAGAATACATGTTCAAGAGAATACGCAACATCAAAATACCATCCCTGAAAGAACACATGGAACCTAGAGGCAGTCTCCCTTCTTTTTCAAGCAGCTGAATGAAGTTGCAATAAGCTGCTGTAACAACATCACATAAAGGGGCTTTAATCCTGAGAGAAAAAATCAGCACCAAGGGAAACCAAGTGCTCTGGGAGACCCAAAGCCATCATCCAAAACATGCAAGTCTATTTCAGGGCAATCAGTTTTAAGCCTCTCAGATCAGTCAATCTCGATGTTCAACAAACTCAGTTATTAGTTTGATAGTTTCTCTTTTTCTTTTGAACACATGTTCAAAAAAGGACTTTTGTCAGTACCTTTTTTGTCATTAAGATAACCATCATTTCCTAGTTAAAGCCTAAACTGCCCCATATGAATTAGCTAATTTCTGATACTATGCTGGCCCAAGAGTAGCACTTTTATAAGCTAAAAACGAAAGCTCAGAGCATACAACTTAGAGACTATTCACACAATTACTCATGTAATCAAACCCAGAAGAAGGGCAACACCAACCAAGTCTTTTACTGGTCTGTTGCTGCTCTACAGCTACCAGGATGGTACCTAAAATTATCTTTTGAGGTTCAGTGAGGCCTCATAATTCCCTTAAACAGTCAAGTCATAGAATACTTTGAAATCCCAGAAGTCAAGTTAATAGTATTACTCGGCTAGCTATATAATAAAAACCAAACTGGTATCCTGGCTAGGAGGCCCTGGAAAAGTCACAACTTCTCAGGGACACAAGTTTTTTTTGTTTGTAAACTGATGGTGCTGGACTAAGAATCCTTCTAGTTCTTAAAGTTTAAGATAATTAACTTAAGATTTCATGTCAAAAAGAAAAGAGCCAGAGGCTGGGTGCGGTGGCTCACGCCTGTAATCCCTGCACTTTGGGAGGCTGAAGCGGGTGGATCACGAGGTCAGGAGTTCAAGACCAGCGTGGCCAAGATGGTGAAACCCCGTCTCGACTAAAAAAAAAAAAAAAAAAAAAAAAAAATACAAAAATTAGCCAGGCGTGGTGGCAGGTGCCTGTAATCCCAGCTACTTGGGAGGCTGAGGCAGAGAACTGCTTGAGCCCGGGAGGCAGAGGTTGCAGTGAGCTGAGATCGTGCCACTGCACTCCAGCATGGGTGACAGAGTGAGACTGTCTCAAAAAAAAAAAAAAAAAAAGAAAGAAAGAAAAGAGAAAATGAGAGCAGTTTATGAAATCTAAAAAAGAAAGTTAATATATATATAAAACACCCCTAGCTCTTGGGCTAGGAAGACAAGTGCATCCTTACTAAGGCTTGGTCCTGTCAACTTCAGAGGCAATAATGAGAGCCCAGACTACAGTGTCTACAGTAACTGCAAAACAGCCACACAGCACAGCGGGAACACATTCACACGCCAGGAGACCCAGCATACATGTGCTTGAAGAAGTTATAAGACTCAGGCTTTATTCTCTAACGAAATGGTCATTCCCCCTTTGATGTGGGGGTGGGGGTGGGGATGCCCTGCCCACCCCCCAATTCCGGCTCCCACTCAGTTATCCCACATACCATACATACCATCAAAGTATTTAAGCAATGGCATGCAAAGCAAGCTTTCGACAGGTTTCTTGCAAGAGAAAGGCAGAAGAGAACAGGTAAAAGCAGAAGAGCACACAGGTAAAAGCAGAAGAGCACAACTTCTACTTAAGCCCAAAGAAGAGGGACCTGTTCACATCTTGTCCTACCCGGAATGATGCACACGCACAGGGGCTTGCCGGGACAGCAGTAGTTTCACTGGAAAGGGCTGGTATGGAGGCACCGAGGACAAGGTCCTTCCATCGCAGCGGTGATAATGCTCTACCCAAGAAAAAAAGATTGCGTCTGCCAGCCACGCAAGACTGGTCTGCAAGGATGTCACCATAGCAGAGGGCAGGGAAAACAAGCAGGTGTCCTGCCACACTCTTTGGGACTGGCCAGTCTAGGAGTGTGCTTTACCCCACGCACTGAAAACACTGGTTACTAGAAATATCAAACATTTCCTGTGATTCTCTCCTCCAAGATAACTCGGGCAGCTTGAGAACAAGCTGCTCTTAGCTAATTAAAAGATTTCTGCTGATATTAACCTTTATAAAAGATTTCAGGTTCCAGGACACGTCATTTATCATGCAGAGTCCCAAGCAGGTACATTAGCAATGGAAACCAGGCTCCAATAAGGAACTAACAATTTTATCTCTGTTGTTCTTTATTTTAGGTTAAAGAAATGAACTTCTCGTTTCATCTCCACATGGGAGGAATGTTCTGGAGGGGGTAACAGCCTATTAAACTCATCTAGCTTTTTTTTTTTTTTTTCAAACTCCACAGCTTGCCTCCCTACCCTACTAGACTAGATTGCACAGAGGCAGGGCAGGCACGGGAAACGACTCTGGTTGGAAATTACAAACATATACACACAGAATGCAAGCACCATAACCCTTTGAATACACAGTGGTTTGTGCCTTGCCCCAGACCTACCTAAGGATTTAAACAGCACAGAAGTCGGAGTTCGGCTGACTGCATGACACTCTCCTATCAATCGGGTGAAACAAAGACCCAGTACTCTAAGCTTAAAGCATTCCAGGCAAAATTTTAGTTAACAGGCAATAGGAAGGTGTGATAGGCCAGTGCTAACAAGAAAGCCACAGATGGGTTTCTTTGAGCTGTTAAGACACTGGAAAGGGCTGGTATGGAAGCCCAGTGGAGCCATTAGGACAATGGAAAAGGAGGTACCCCTCCACCAGGCACTTTGCAGAGAAAACTATACTCTGGAAGCTGCCTGCACTGTTGATAGGGCTAGACGTATGATAAACAGCTAACCGGAGGGGCACCCGAGGAGACAAACTGCCAACTATGAAGAACAAAGCAGAGACCTCAACTTGTCACGTCTCAAGCTCAGATGTACAAACTTTGGGATCGTCAAGTGAGGCTCGTGTGTATGCCTGGGGATATGACTGTATTCCAGTGATCAGCCACCTAGCTGACCTGCCACGAATGGGTGACCTGTGGTGACTTACTTTAATCAACTGTAGTACTTCTAGATTGATTGGGTGATTTAAGGTTCTGACATATTCAGGCAAGAAAATAAAAGCAAGTGTTTCCTAGACTTCCTCATTGGGATTTGAAATAGAAATCCTGAAAAGCCCATAAAAGCCTATTTCCCTAAATCCTTGGTGGAAATTCCCAAAAGATTAAAAAATCCAGACCCTGTCTTATTATAGGGACCCAGCAGATTTCAAAAGACTCAAGAGGTCAGCTTAATCTGGTTATTAACTGAAATTGCTGAGATACTGATGAACATTCCAGCCATGGAACCCAAAATTCTCTAGAGTAATAATTACCTATTAGTGCAATGTTACTACTGAGGCCGTATATGCTTCATTTTTACAGTATAACAAAATGTCTAAAACTTATGAGAGTCCTACAACGTCTAGGCCACTCAGTATCACATCCAAGTAGGTATGGTTCCTGGATCACCAACCAACCCCTGAATTCGATCCTGTTATCTCACAGTCTGGGGTACTGATCCCGCACAGCAGAGACACAACGTGTGAAAGGCTCGGCAGAGCCCATTCCTGTTCCTGGAAAAATAACCAGAAGCACACATCTGCCTGACCATGAGTCAGGAATATCAATTTTGTGGTGGAGCCCATTTCTGCTGTGACCAACCCACACCCGAACACACTCGCAACAGAAGCAACCGCCACAGAGCAATTCCAGAATGAGCTTTTTCCCCCTCGGGGTCCATACTTAGCAATGTCATAAACGGTCTCCCCTGCGACAGCAATCCTTTTACACTCTTCATAATGACCTTAAGTCTTTAGTGCAAAACCACAGAAACATTGCCACTGCCATATAAAAGTCATCTGAGTTTCAGTTTGGGTGATTCGGTCATGACCAAACTGAACAGAGGATAACCTTTCAGGCACAATTAACAGGAGCCACAGCGTCGCGATGAACTTGCCCCATCTGGTACCGGTGATCCCGAGCGCTCCAGGGCGATGAGAGCCCGTTACCTACTATGTCCCACTCCACTTATGTAACTGGAAGATCGCCGGCGAAGGGGAGGGTAGGATGGGAGGGTGCTCACATTCCGAGGCCACAGCACTCCAAAGAACCTCTGAGCACCCTGGGGACACGCTCGCACCTTAGAGCCTCTGGCGCCGAAGAGCCTCGGGTGCTGCTGGACGCACAGTCCCCTACCCACGGCTCCTGATGGGAACTATAACCACCTCTTTATGATGAGTTGTGGGACCCAGAACACAATGTCTAGTCCCTTTTGTGGATAATAATCCCCACCTACTTGTTCCTGCTAGATGGGGAAAGGAGCCGGTGGACCTACTCGCTCGCGGGGGGGTAGCGGGGGGCAGAAATTCATGGAATGGGCGAGAAGGAGGGGGAGGCAAAGCCCAGAGATGGGGGTGAGAGCTCAGGAGCCCTTGTGGCGCACTCTCCCGACGGGAGGCGAAGTGCGCACGCGCGCCGGTGGGGGGGCCGAGTAACGGGAGAGGGGGCGCGCGAGGGAGGGAGGGGGAGAGCGCGATCCAGGGAGAGGCCGGGGCCGCGGGCGCGCGACGGCGCCGCGGCCCAAAGCCCCGAGAAGGGCAGGAGCGCGCGCAGCCCCGACAGGCGAAGCCCCGGCGACAGGGGCGCCCGCGGGGCCGGGGGCCGGGATGCGCGTCGAGGGCGGGAGGAAGAGGGGCGTCAGGCGAAGGCGGCTCCAGGGAGGCCGCGCCGAGGACGGTCACCCGCGAGCAGGGGTGACGGGCCGAGGGGAGAGTCGCCACCGGCGGCGGCGGGAGGGGGAGGGTAGAGAGGAGGGACGCCATCCGCCAGCCGTGTCGTCCGACCCCGCGGGCCCCTCCCGCGCCACGTCCCGCCCCTGACCCCCGCCCCCCGGCAAGGGTCCCCGCCCGCGGCCACGGCGGTCCCACTCACAGTCTCTCCTCCTCGCCTCCTCCTCCTCCTCCGCTCGGCGCGGCGGCGGCGGCGGCGGCCATTTTCCGGACGGCTTTTACCACAGCCCTCTCTCCGAGAGGAGGGAGCGCGCGCGCCGCCGACGCCGGGACCCCGCACGGCCGACGTCGCGCCCCGCCCTCTTGGCCGGCCCGCGCGCTGCTGCACCTGCGCGCCCGCGCCCCGCCCTCGGCGCCGCTGCGAGCCCGCCCGTCATTGGCTGTGATGGCCGGGCTGGGACGGGGAGGACGGGGGAGGGGGGAGTCTCAGCGGCGATGCCGTCAATTGGCGAGATTTCCTGTCCATTTCGGCCAGGGAAAAGGGGGCGGACCCCTCCAGCTGTTGATTGGCTGCTTTCGGCCGTCGTTTGGGGAAAAGAGGCGGCTTGGGCGCGGAGGGACTGGTTTAGTGGGCGGAATTTGAATGTTAAGGATTAATGGACCCTTGCGGATGCTGGGGCAAGTGAAGGCCTAGGCTTGGGACGCCTGTTTGCGCTGCTCTGAGGGGCGATTGACCCTCTGTCCACAGATGCACCGAGTGCGCTGCAATAAGCGTTTCATTGCACCCACATTTTCTCAATATCACTATCTTCGGCAGAAGCAGCAAAGTTGCCCACCCTGGAGCCTGACGTTGCCCCAGCTGAGGGGCCTTGGTTTCAGAGGCCTACTCAATGCATTATTTCATCCGAGCCTGCCCAGTGCTCACACTCTCATAGAGGCGGGGAATAAACTGACAACAAATCGCAACCCTGGCTTTCGCAGAACTCTGGCGGGGGAAGAGAGTGCATGCCAAGGCCTCGTGACACCTGTCACTGTTGGATCAGATGGTTTGGTGGAGGTGTGAATAAGGGGCAATGTTAGCTCTGCCTGGAAGATATGATTTGGGAGCTGAGATCCAGCAATTTTTCACTTTCCTAGAAGAGTTGATTTGGAGCTGAGATCCAGCAATTGTGTTTTGGGAAAATAAGAGTATGAGAAAACTGTTAGCTAACCAGGTGTTCAGGACAGGAGTGTTTGTTAAGGGGACCTTACCCTGATGCCAGTCATTATCCAATCCATTCAATGATCCTTCTGTTAGTTCTATGCTTAGCAAGAAAACCTGATTCTGATTTGGCTGCTTGCCCCCATTCATTTATTGACTACCTGCTATGTGCCAGGCACTCTTCCAGGCTCTGGATGCACGGTACTGAACAGACAGCAAACTAACATTCTTGCCGGGAAGATTCATACTAGCATACAAATAAGTATAATATATCATTTCACATAGTGATAAGGGCTTTGAGAAAGATAAACTAAGTGAAGGGGGTGCTATTTAGATATCTGCTGGTTTTCACCCTCATTTTACTCCCTCATATGAATATCTGGGGAAAGAACATTCCAGGCAAGTTCAAAGGACATGAGGAGAGACTATGCCTGGCATGTTGGGGACTAACGAGGAAGTCAGTGTTGCTGGAGAGTGGTAGGGAATGTGATTGGAAAGGCAGCTGGGGCCACTATGAGAACTGGGAGTTCATTCTTTTTTGGGGGGGGTGGGGATGGGGTCTCATTCTGTCACCCAGGCTGCAGTGCAGTGGCGCAATCTTGGCTCACTGCAACGTCCACCCTGAGCTCAAGCGATCCTCCCTCCTCAGCGTCCTAAGTAGCTGGGACCACAGATGCGAACCACCACGCCTGGCTAAGTTTTTGTATTTTTGATAGAGATGGGAGTTCACCATGTTGCCCAGGCTGGTCTCAAACTCCTGAGTTCAAGTGATCCGCCCGCCTCGGACTCCCAAAGTGCTGGGACTACAGGCGTAAGCCACCGCACCCGGCCAGAACCGAGAGTTTATTCTAAGATGAGAAGCCCTCAGAGGATTTTGAGCCAGGAGCTGTCTGATCTATGTTGCAGGTGTAGAGTGGAGAACTGGACGTGATGAAACAAAACTACAGCACAAGGCTAGTTGCAAGGCCCTGGAACAGTCTAGGAGAAAGAGTTGATGGTAGCTTTAACTAGGGTGGCAGCAGTGCAGCTCTGAGAAGTTGTGAGATTCAAGATATGTTTTCAGAACTGAACAAAAGGATTGGATGTAGGGCATAGAGCAAGGGAAGAAACAAGGATGATTCCTGAGATTGGGGCCTGAGCAACTGGGGAAATAAGGGTGCTTTTCACCATAGTGGGGAGAACTACAGGAAAAGTACATTTTCAGAGGTGCAGATCAAGAGTTCTGCTTTGGCTGTATTAAGCTTGGGGTGCCCAGTGGTGTGAAAGTGGAGATGTTGAGTAAGCCATTGGGTGTGCGATGCTGAAGTATAGAGATGCGGCTAAAGCAGTCCAAAAGTCATCACGCTGAACATCCAATTCAAGAAGCCATAAAGAAATGACAGAGTAAGCCTGCAAAAGTAGAAGAAAGAAAAATAAGGATGAATAAAACTTAATGAAATAGAAACAAATGATGGAGAGGATTGAGAAAATTTTAAACCTGCTTCTTTGAAAAGCTGAAAAACAAAAGCCAACCCTCTAACAAGCTGGATATAAAGAGAAAAGAGAAAAGTAAATTATGTTACTCATGAAAAGGTTTTATTATGCACTGTGTGTCAGTAAATTTGAAAACATAAGCAAAAGGAATACATTCCTAGGAAAGTACAGCTTACCAAAACCGACTTTAGAAACAGAAAATCCCTGTAACCACAATGAAATTGACTATGTATTTAAAAAGCTACCCATCCTCCTACACACAGACACAGACACGCAGACACACACAGACACACACGCACACAGAGAGAGAGAGAGAGAGAGAGAGAGAAACAGACCAAGAGGGCTTTATGGATGACTTCTACCAAATCTTTAATGAGTAGGCAATTCCAATCATACACAGAAAAGAAATAAATGTCTCCAAACTTATTTTACTAGACTAATATATCTACTATGATGAGCCAAGAAAAGTATGACACAAGATGTGGAAATAAGTTTTAAAATTCTAGACAAATAAACTGAATCCTGCAGTATATGATCTATCACAACCGAGTTGAGTTTTATCCTAAGAATGCAAATATGGTTTAAAATTAGAAACCCAACCTTAACAAACTTAAGGGGAAAAACACTACATAATTATTTCAATAGATGCAGAAAAAGCATTTGATAAAATTCAACATCTACTTATGATTTTTTTTAAAAATCAGAGAACTGGAGTTCAAGACAAGCCTGGGCAACATAGCAAGAAGCAAGACCCCGTCTTTACAAAAAAAATTTAAAAATTAGACAGACGTGGTGGCACACACCTGTAGTCCCAGCTCCCTGGAAAGCTGAGGTGGAAGGATCACTTGAGCCCAGGAGTTTGAGGCTGCAGTGAGCTATGATTGCACATTGCACTCTAGCCTGGGCAACAAAGCAAGACCCTGTCTTTAAAAAAAAAAAAAAAAAAAAAAAGGTGACCAGGCACGACGGCTCACGCCTGTAATCTCAGCACTTTGGGAGGCCGAGGCAGGCGGATCACGAGATCAGGGGATTGAGATGATCCTGGCTAAAATGGTGAAACCCCATCTCTACTAAAAATACAAAAAAAAATTAGCCGGGCGTGGTGGCACGCACCTGTAGTCCCAGCTACTCTGGAGGCTGAGGCAGGAGAATCGCTTGAACCTGGGAGGTGGAGGTTGCAGTAAGCCGAGATCGTGCCATTGCACTACAGCCTGGGTGACAGAGCGAGACTCCATCTCGAAATAGATGGATGGATGGATGGATGGATGGATGGATGGATAGATAGATAGATAGATAGATAGATAGACAGACAGACAGACAGACAGATAGATAGATAGATAAAATAAAAGGTTAGGAGAGGGCAAAAAACCTGAATAGACATTTCTCAAAAGAAAACATTTAAATGACCAACAGGTATATGGGAAAAATCTCGCCAGGCACCTTGGCTCACACCTGTAATCCCAGCACTTTGGTAGGCCGAGGTGGGAAGATCACTTGAGTCCAGGAGTTCAAGGCCAGCCTGGTTAACATGGCAAGACCACTGTCTCTAAAAAAACAAAAAATTAGCCAGGCATGGTTGTGCACACTTGTCATCTCAGCTTCTTGGGAGGCTGGGGTGGGAGGATCACTTGAGCCCAGGAGTTTGAGGCTGCAATGAGCCAGGATCGTGCCATTGCACTTTGGCCTGGGTGACAGAGTGAGACCCTGTCTCGAAAAAAGAAAGAGAAGGAAGGGAGGGAGGGAGGGAGGGGAAAAAAAGTTCAACATCACTCATCATCAGGGAAATTCAAATCAAAAGCCCAATGAGATACCCCTTCAATTCAGTTAGAATGGCTTTAATCAAAAAGACAAAAGAAGACAAGTTGGCAAAGATGTGGAGAAAAGGGAATACTTTCATACTGTTGGTGGGGTAGTAAGTTAGTATAGTCAACTATGGAGAACAGTATGGAGGTTTCTCAATAAATTGAAAATAGAACTACCAGCAATCCTACTACCGGTATATATCCAAAGGAAATGAAATCAGTATGTGGAAGAGTTATCTGCACTCCCATTTTTATTGAATGACTATTCACAATAGCCAGATACAGAATCAACTTAGGTGTCCACCAACAGGTGAATGGATAAAGAAAATGTGGTACATATATGCAATGGAATAATATTCGGCCATAAAAAAGAATGAAATCCTGTCACTTAAGACAACATGAATGAACCTGGAGGACATAAAGTTAAGGGAAATAAACCAGAAACAGAAAGACAAATACCACATGATCTCAGTCATATGTGGAATCTCAAAAACAAAAAAGAGTTGATATCATAGAAGCAGAGAGTAGAACAGTAGTTACCAGAGACTGGGGAGAGGATCGGGGAGAGGAGGATGGGCAGAGGTTGGTCAACAGGTACAAAGTTATTATTAGATAAGATGAATAAATTCTGGTGTTTTGACCAGGTGCAGTGGCTCACGCTTGTAATCCCAGCACTTTGGGAGACTGAGGTGGGTGACTCACTTGAGGTCAGGAGCTTGAGTGCAGCCTGGCCAACATGGTGAAACCCCATTTCTACTAAAAATACAAAAATTAGCTGGGCATGGCGGCGGGTGCCTATAGTCCCAGCTGCTTGGGAGGCTGAGGCAGGAGAATCGCTCGAACCCAGGAGGCAGAGCAACCTGGTGAGCTGAGATCACACCACTGCACTCCAGCCTGGGTGACACAGCGAGATTCTGTCTCAAAAAAAAAAATTATGTTGTTCTATTGCACAGCAGGGTGACTATGGTTGACAGCAATATATTGTATGTTACAAAATACCTAGAAGAGAGACTTTTGAAAGTTCCCACAACAAAGAAATGGTACATGCATGAGCTGATGGATATATTAACTACCCTGCTTGGACCATTGTGCAACATAAATATATATTGAAATATCAAATTGTACTCCCTAAATATGTGTCAATTAAAAAACAAAAATAAAAAGCCCCACATACATCCTTCTTCCATTCTCTTTTAAACCTCATTCTTGGTGCGTCTCTGCGGGGAGAAAGGCCCATTTCAAGTCAGTTCCCCGGTGTTAGGATGCAGGCATGTAAACACGACCAGTAATAAAAAGCTGGAAAATGTAATGAGGGAAAAAAGATTCAACTCACTCTCACTACAAAAATTATAAAACAGCTGGGAATAAACTTAATAAGAAATGTCAAAACCTGCATCAAAAAGCTATAAAACTTTACTGAAAAATCTAAAAGAAGACCTGAAGAAAACAAAAACAAAAACAGACGCTACCGTATTCCTGGAGGGGAAGCATTAACATTATAGAAATGTTAATTCTTCATCAATAACTCTGGAAATTCTTTGCTCAATCAAAAGTCAAGAAGTTTCATGGGCTATAACAACTTAAATCTAGATTGGAAAGAATAATGTACAAGACTAGAACTCAAGAAGTTTTTGAAATATTAAAAAATAATGAAGAGAATCTTGCTAAATTCCTTAGGTTGAATAGAAGGAACTTAAGTTATACAGTTTCACACTTGCCATTGAAAAGTAGAAAAATATACTATAATCGGCTGGGCATGGTGGCTCACGTCTGTAATCCCAGCACTTTGAGAGGCCGAGGCGGGCAGATCACGAGGTCAGGAGATCGAGACCATTCTGGCTAACAAGGTGAAACCCCGTCTCTACTAAAAATACAAAAAATTAGCCGGGTGTGGTGGTGGGCGCCTGTAGTCCCAGCTACTTGGGAGGATGAGGCAGGAGAATGGGGTGAACCCAGGAGGCGGAGCTTGCAGTGAGCCGAGATCGTGCCACTGCACTCCAGCCCGGGTAACAGAGCAAGACTCCATCTCAAAAAAAAGAAAAAAAAGAAAAATATACTATAATCAAAATTATTTACTATTAGAATTAAAAATCAGTAATTTAAAAAATGGGACTGTAATAGTTTAAGGTCCTCTTAAAAACAGGACTGTAGAAGATAAAAACCAGGAAAATCTAGTATAGATGGTAATTGACAGAAAGCCCACAACCAGAAGGATTTTATCAATATGACAAACAACACAAACTTTTACTCCATTTGTCTAAAAATCTCTTAAACTGATAGAGAATATATATATTTCAGAAGAGCTAATCCAGGCCAGGGGCGCTGGCTCATGCCTGTAATCCCAGCACTTTGGGAGGCCAAGGCAGGAGGATCGCTTGAGCCCAGGAGTTCGAGATCAGCCTGGGCAACAAAGTGAGACCCCGTTTTTCCCAAAAATGAAATAAATTAGCTGGGCACGTGCGCACCTGTAGTCCTAGCTACTCAACAGGCTGAGGTGGGATCATGCCACTGCACTCCAGCCTGGGAGAAAGAGCAAGCCCCTGTCTCTAAAAACAAAAGAAATGACCAACATTGAGAGCCCTACATATTAAAACCTAGGAGATAAGGCTACAGAGGTCACCTAGAAAAATTAATAGCCTTAACCATATTTGTTAGAAAATAGATAAGAAATGAATAAATTCTGATATAAGACACCATGAGCAGGCACAGATGTGCATGAACACACACACACCCAGACACACAGACACACACACACAGTCACATACACAGACACACAGACACACACACAGACACACAGACACAGACACACACACACACACACAGTTTTCCTTCTTTACTCATAGAAGTGCACTAAAAGAAGAATGTCAAGAAACAGAAAGGAGGCAGGGTGTGGTGGCTCATGCCTGTAATCCCAGCACTTTGGGAAGCCAAGGAGGGTGAATTGCTTGAGGTCAGGAGTTCGAGACCAGCTTGGCCAACATGGTGAAACCCTGCCTCTGCTAAAAATACAAACAATTAGCCAGGCCTGGTGGCACGCACCTGTAATCCCAGCTACTTGGGAGGCCGAGGCAGGAGAATCGCTTGAACCCAGGAGGCAGAGGTTGCAGTGAGCCGAGATCGTGCCATTGCACTCCAGCCTGGGTGACAGAGCAAGACTCCGTCTGAAAAAAAAAAAAAAAGGAAAGGAATAAACCCACCAGAGTGAAGAGAATGTGGTGAGGATGAGAGGTTATCATCAAAGGACAACAACTTTATAGAAAGCATATGGGAATTGATTGATGAATAAAATAGGCAGTAAAAATCCAGGTGAGAATATTTGACAAGGGAGCCACAGAAGAAGTGGGAGTGAGTTTGCTAGATATAACACCAGACAATCAGAATCAGTAGGCATGTGGTAGAAAACGATAGAATTAAATAGGACTGAACACATGGGGATTAATTGAAGGCACCAGTACAGAATGACTGTACCAGTTGGAACCTCCTCTCCCCACCAGACAGCTGAGCTGGGAGCTGGCACAGACCTACAGGGAAAACACCTGACAGTTCTGTAAAGAAATTGATTGAAATGTCGGTGGAGAGCTAAGGCTTCCAGCATGGATGCTGACAACCCCTGAACAATTGTTTCCTCATTCCGGCATCTAGGGGATACTCTGTTCGTCACCTCCCTGTCCTACACAGAGAAGAGTCACAGCAGGAAAACAGACCTATTTGCCCAACAGCAGATTAAATCCACAATACTTATCCAGTCCTTCCTTATTAAATATAAACCAGTCAGTAAATATTATCAGAAATTTGATGAAAGCCTTCAACAGGAAAAAGAGTCAAGATAAACCTGTAGAAAAAATATAAACTTGGAATTCAAGAAAATTCAGGGAATGTATCAAAAAATTTAATTTAATTAACATATCTACAGAACTAAAAGAAAATGCTGTATTCATAAAACAAGAACAGAATATTATGTAAAAAGAGCAATCAGAGAACAAGAAGGAATTATTGAAATTCAAATTTCAATAGAAATATTGGAAAATAAAACTGAAGAAGTCTCCCAGAAAATAGAACAAAACAATAGAGACAAAGATATGAGAGAAAATATGAGGACTTTGAGGAGTGATCTAGGAAGTCTGGCAAGCAACTAACAAGAATTATGGAAAAATGAAATAAAGAAAAAGGAACAGGAATCAGAGTAGCACCAGAGTTCATAACAACACTGAATGATAAAAGATCACAGGACAACAAGAAAAGAAAAAGATAATAGGGCAATGCTTTCCAAATTCCAAGGGAAAATGATTTTCCACATAGAAGTACACCATCCAAAATATCCATTATGTGTGATAATGGAATAAAAATGTTTTTAGATACACAAGAGCTAAGAAAATTTGCCTCTGAAATGTACTTTCTTAGGAAGCTACTTGGGGATGCTCTGCAGCAAATCAAGGGTGCAAGCCAAGAAAAAGGAAAATGTGGGATCCATAAGACAATGGATCTAATCCAGGAGAGCTGTGATGGGAAATACCAGGGATGCCAACTGGGCAGAAAGCCTGGTTGGCAATCAGTCCAGGTTGGAGTAGGAGAATGGTAGGCTCTGGGAGAGAGGACTCCAAGAATTAAATATATATGTATAGCCGGGTGTGGTGGCTCACGCCTGTAATCCCAGCACTTTGGGAGACTGAGGCGGGTGGATCACCTGAAGTCAGGAGCTCGAGACCAGCCTGGCCAACGTGGCGAAACCCCGTCTCTACTAAGAATACAAAAATTAGCCGGGCATGGTGGCGGGTGCCTGTAATCCCAGCTACTCAGGAGGCTGAGGCAGGAGAATCGCTTGAACCTGGGAGGCAGAGGTTGCGGTGAGCCGAGCTTGCGCCACTGCACTCCAGCCTGGGCGACAGAGTGAGACTCCGTCTCAAAAAAAAAAAAAAAAAAAATTGTGTATATGTGAATTCAACATATTAGATGGTGTGATTGGGAGTCTGAAGTTGGATACGATGATGGCAAATAGTACAAGAAAATAAGGAAAAGCAATTAAAAATACCAGAAGGAAAGAACTATACAAGAAAGTTATGATCCGCAAGGAGCCGTGGCTCACGCCTGTAATCCCAGTACTTTGGGAGGCCAAGGCGGGCGGATCACGAGTTCAGGAGATCGAGACCATCCTGGCTAACGCAGTGAAATCCCATCTCTACTAAAAAATACAAACATTTAGCCGGGCGTGGTGGCGGGTGCCTGTAGTCCCAGCTACTCGGGGGCTGAGGCAGGAGAATGGCGTGAACCCGGGAGGCGGAGGTTGCAGTGAGCCGAGATAGCGCCACTGCACTCCAGCCTGGGCGACAGAGTGAGACTCCATCTCAAAAAAAAAAAAAAAAAAAAGAAAGTTATGATCAAAACAAGAAGCAGGCCGGGCACAGTGGCTCAAGTCTGTAATCCCAGCACTTTGGGGGTCCGAGGTGGGCAGATCACTTGAGGCCAGGAGTTCAAGACCAGCCTGGCCAACATGGCGAAACCAACATGTCCCTACTAAAAATATAAAAATTAGCTGGGTGTGGTGGTGCACACCTGTGATCCCAGCTACTCAAGAGGCTGAGGCACAAGAATTGCTTGAACCTGGGAGGTGGAGGTTGCAGTGAGCCGAGATTGCACCACTGCACTCCAGCCTGGGTGATAGAGCGAGGCTCCATTTCAAAAAATAAAAATAAAATAAAGAAAAAAGAAAAAAGCCAGAAGTAAAGTAAAATAGATCATAATTTTCCTAATTCATGGTAAGAAGAGAATCATTGGGACCTGGGTGCTAGGAAAGTTCTCTTTTCAAATGACTCAGGGACTATCGAATTAGACGTATAAGAAAGAAATATAATCCTAGCATTCCTCTTCTTGACCTGGCACTGAAAATATTTACATAGACTTTCTAATGTGAATTTTTGTTTTTGCTTTTCAGGTTTTAGCGTCAACCTATACACAAAACATGGAAGGATAGGTTTTTGTTGCTGGATGGGACACATTTCTCTCCTCTTTCTGTGTAGCAAGAGTTAACTCCAGCAGGCCTGGGTGTTCCTGCAGGTGGTATTGGGGACCCCCACACCTGATATATGACCATGTATGTAACACCATCCACTGTTATCTTTAGTTCTTTGTATGTTTAAATAATACATTTAAATCTCTTGTTCCATTAGCTTTCACTAGTAAAGTTATCTTTGACCATTTTGCATCAGCTACACTTTAATTTTACATTGTCGGGGTTACTTTTTTTTTTTTTTCTTTTTGAGACGGAGTTTCACTCTGTTGCCCAGGCTGGAGTGCAGTGGATGGTGCTATCTCGGCTCACTGCAACCTATGCCTCCCGGGTTCAAGTGATTCTCCTGCCTCAGCCTCCTGAGTAGCTGGGGCTCCAGGGTGCCACACACTCTTAAACAACCAGATCTGGTGAGAATTCACTCACTATTGTGGGGATAGCACCAAGAGGATGGTGCTAAATCATTCATGAGAAACCCACCCCCGTGAACCAATCACCTCCCACTTGGCCCCACCTCCAACAGTGGGGATTACAATTCAACATGAGATTTGGGTGGGGACACATATCCAAATCATATCAGTCTCCAAGTGACTATTTCATCAGTTTAGAGTCGCCCCAGGAAAACAGAAACCACTTCGACTTAGGGCACTAAATACCAGGGAAAGGGTACCCAGGACTACTTGGAGGTTGATAGGGGATCAGCACAGCCCACCCGAGGTTGGGGGGCCACAGAGAGAAGGCCTAGAACCACAGGGGCCTTTTGGTAGGAGCTGCAGCTGCCGCCGAGCTGCTCCCCCCACTTCTTCTTCCCTCTAGTCTCCGGCTCGGGTCTCCTATGGTCAAACCCAGCCAGAAACCAGCTGAGCCTGGATCCTGGGACAGGCAGGCAACAGGACCTGCCCCTGCAGGGTGAGGGAGAGGGAAGGCCAGATTTCTTTTTAAAGACTTTATATTTTAGAGCACTATTAGGTTCACAGCAAAATTGAGAGGAAGGTACAGAGAATTCCCATATTCTCCCTGTTTCCATAGTTTTATCTTTTCCAGAATGTCATAGAGTTGAAATCCTACAGTCTGTAGCCTCTTCAGATTGCCTTCTTTCACTTTGTAATATGCATTTAAGCTTCTTTCAATGTTTTTTCATGGCTTGAGAGCTCATTTCTTTTTAGCACTGAATGATATTCCATCAACTGGATATACCACCGTTTATTTATCCATTCACCTACTGAAAGGCATCTTGATTACTCCCAAGTTTGAGCAATTATGAATAAAGCTGCTATAAACATCCATGTGCAGGTTTTTGTGTGGACATAACTTATCAACTCCTTTGGGTAAATACCAAGGAGTGTGATTGCTGGATCATCTGGCAAGTGTATGTTTAGTTTTATAAGAAACCACCAAACTGTCTTTTAGGGTGGCTATACCATTTTGCTCTCCCACCAGCAAGGAATGAGTTTCCATTGCTCCACATCCTCACCAGCATTTGGTGTTATCAGTGTTCTGGATTTTGGCCATTCTAGTAGGTGTGTACTGGCGTCTCATTGTTGCTTTAATTTGCATTTCCCTGATAATGTATGATATGGAGCATCGTCTGATATGCTTATTTGCCATCTGTCTATCTTCTTTGGGGAGGTTTCTCTAAAGATTTTCGACCCAATTTTCTTGTTTGTTTGTTTTTTGTTTGTTTGTTTGATTTGAGACAGAGTCTCACTCTGTCGCCCAGATTGGAGTGCAATGGCGCAGTCTCGTCTCACTGCAACCTCTGCCTCCAAGGTTCAAGCGATTCTTCTGCCTCAGCCTCCCGAGTAGGTGGGATTATAGGAGCACACCACTACGCTTGGACAAATTTTTCTTTCTTTCTTTTTTCTTTTCTTTTTTTTTTTTTTTTTTGAGACAGAGTTTCGCTCTTATTGCCCAGGCTGGAGTGCAATGGCGTGATCTCGGCTCACTGCAACCTCCGCAATTCTCCTGCCTTGGCCTCCCGAGTAGTTGGGATTACAGGCACCCACCACCACAGCCAGCTAATTTTTGTATTTTTAGTAGAGGTTCACCAGGTTGGTCAGGCTGGTCTCAAACTCCTGACCTCAGGTGATCCACCCGCCTTGGCCTCCCAAAGTGCTGGGATGACAGGCGTGAGCCACCGCGCCCGGCCTCTTTAATTGATTTTTGAATGTTGAGCCAGCCTTGCCTACTTGGGATAAATCCTACTTGGTCATAGTCATAATTCTCTGTATACATTGTTGAATTCTATTTGTTAATCCTTTGTTGAAGATTTTTGCATCTATGTTCATTAGGGATATTGGTCTATAGTTTTCTTGGTATGTCTTCTGGTTTTGACATCAAGGTGATGCTAGCCTCATAGAATGCATTAGGAAGTATTCTCTCAGCTTCTTCTGAAAGAGATCATAAAGAGCTGGTATACAGTTATGCATCACTTAATGATGGGGATATGTTCCAGGAAATGCATCATTAGGCAATTTCATTATTGTGTGAACATCACAGAGTGTACTTATACAAACTTAAATTGTAGCCTATATGGATTAGCTTATTGCTCCCAGTCTACAAACCTGTACAGCATGTTCATGTACTAATTTTGTTGGCAATTGTGACACAATGGTAAGTATTTGTGTATCTAAACATATCCTAAGCATTGTAATCCCCATCATATATGTGGTCTGTCATTGAGTGGAAGGCTCTGATGTGCCACATGACTGTAATTTCTTCCTTAAATGTTTGGTAGAATTCAACAATGAACCCATCTGGGCCTGGTGCTTTCTTTTTTGGAAGGTTATTAATTATTGATTCAATTTCTTTAATAGGTATAGGCCTATTCAGGCTGGGCGCAGTGGCTCATGCCTGTCATCCCAGCACTTTGGGAGGCCAAAGTGGGCAGATCATCTGAGGTCAGGAGTTCAAGACCAGCCTGGCCAACATGGCGAAACCCCATCTCTACTAAAAATACAAAAAAAATTAGCCAGCTGTGGTGGTGGGCATCTTCAATTCCAGCTACTCAGGAGGCTGAGGCAAGAGAATCACTTGAACCTGGGAATCAGAGGCTGCCGTGAGAGGAGATTGCACCACTGCACTTCAGTCTGGCCAACAGAGTGGGACTCTGTCTCAAAAAAAAAAAAAAAAAAAAAAAAAAGATATAGGCCTATTCAGATTGTTTATTTCTTCTTGTGTGAGTTTTGGCAGATTGTGTCTTTCAAGGAATGGATTCATTTTATGTAGATTCCAAATTTGTGGGCATAGAGTTGTTCATAGGATTTCTTTATTATCCTGTTAATGTCCATGGGATCCACAGTGATGTTCTCTCTTTCATTTCTGATACTAATAATTTGTGTTCTCTATTTTTTTCCTAGTTAGCGAGAGCCATACAAATTGTATTATTCTTTTCAAAGAACCAGCTTTTGATTTCATTGATTTTCTCTATTAATTTACTGTTTTTAATTTTATTGATTTCTGCTATAATTTTTACTTTAAATTTTATTTTATTTTTATTTTCTGTAGAGATAGGGTCTCACTATGTTGCCCAGGCTGGTCTCAAACTCCTGAGCTCAAGCAATCCTTCTGCCTCAGCCTCCCAAAGCACTGAGATTACAGGCATGAGCCACAGTGCCTGGCCTGCCATAATTTTTATTATTCCTTTTCTTCTGCTTACTTTGAATTTAATTTGCTCTTCTTTTTCTAGTTTCCTAAGGTGGAAGCTTAGATTATTCATTTTAGATCTTTCTTCTTTTCTAATATATGCAGTCAATGCTATAAATTTCCCTCTAAGCACTGCATTCACAGCATCCCACACATTTTAGTAAGCTGTGTTTTCATTTTCATTTAGTTCAAAATACTTATAAATTTCTCTTGAGATTTCTTCTTTTACCCATGTGTTATTCAGACACATGTTGTTTAATCTTCAAGTATTTGGGGACTTCCAGTTATCTTTCTGTTATTCATTTCTTGTTTAATTCCAATGTGGTCTGAGAGAAAACACTGTGTGATTTTATTCTTTTACATTTGTTAAGGTGTGCTTTATGGCCCAGAATGTGGTCCATCTCGGTGAATGTCCCACGGGAGCTTGAGAAGAACATGTACTCTGCTGCTGTTGGATAAAGTATTCTATAGATGTCAATTATATTAGGTTGATTGATGGTGTTGGTGAGTTCAACTATGTCCTTCCTGATTTTCTGCCTGCTGGATCTGTTAATTTCTGACAGAGGGGTATTGAAGTCTCTAACTTTGTCAATGGACTCATCAATTTCTCCTTGTCGTTCTACCAGTTTTTGCCTCATGTATTTGAACACTTTGTTGTTAGGCACTTACATATTGAGGATTGTTGTGTATTCTTGGAGAATTGACCCCTTTATTGTTATGTAATGCCTTTTTTTTTTTTTTTTTTTTTTGAGATGTTGCCCAGGGTGGAGTGCAATGGCACGATCTCGGCTCACTGCAACCTCCACCTCCCGGGTTCAAGCAATTCTCCTGCCTCAGCCTCCTGAGTAGCTGGGACTACAGTCACCCACCACCACGCTCGGCTAATTTTTTGTATTTTTAGTAGAGACGGGGTTTCTCCATATTGGTCAGGCTGGTCTCAAACTCCCGACCTCAGGTGATCCACCCTCCTCGGCCTCCCAAAGGGTTGGGATTACAGGCGTGAACCACCGCTCCCAGCCTGTAATGCCCTTTTTTATCCATGATAACTTTCCTTGCTTTGAAGTCTGCTCTGTCTGAAATTAATATAGCTGCTGCTTGCTTTCTTTTGATTATCTGTTAGCATGATATATCTTTCTCCATCCACTTACCTTTAATCTACAGGTGTCTACATGTCAAATGGGTTTCCTGTAGACAACATATAATTGGGTCATGTTTTGTGACTTCCTCTGACAATCTCTGTCTTTTATTATTTTATTTATTTATTTATTTATTTTTTGAGACGGAGTCTCACTCTGTCACCCAGGCTGGAGTGCAATGGCGCAATCTTCACTCACTGCAACCTCTGCCTCCCGTGTTCAAGTGATTCTCCTGCCTCAGCGTCCCAAGTAGCTGGGATTACAGGTGCCTGCCACCATGCCTGGCTAATTTTTGTATTTTTAGTAGAGACGGGGTTTCCCCATGTTGGCCAGGCTGCTCTTGAACTCCTGACCTCAGGTGATGCACCCACCTTGGCCTCCCAAAGTGCTGGGATTACAGGCCTGAGCCACCATGCCCAGCCAATCTCTGTCTTTTAATTGGTGTACTTAAACTATTGACATTTAATGATATTTGGTGCTGTTTTCTAATTTTTGCTTTTGTTTCTATTTTTGTTTTCTGCTCCTTTTCTTCCTTTTGTGGTTTTAATTGAGCATTTCATATGATTCTATTTTCTCTCCTTTCTCAGCATATCAGCTATACTTCTTTTTTAATACCTTTTTTAGCAGATGCCCTAGAGTTTGCCATATACATTTACAACTAATCCAAGCCCACTTCCAAATAACACTGTACCACTTCCCAGGTAGTGTGAGTACCTTATAATAACACAATAATCTTAATGCTTCCCTCTCATCCCTGCGCCATTGCTGTCATTCATTTCACCTGTATATTAGGCTACATAATCAAATAGATTGTTGCTATTATTATTTTGAAGAAAATGTTAGCTGTTAGATCAATCAGGAATAAGAAAAATAAACGTTTTTCTTTTACTTTCATTTATTCCCTCTCTGATGCTCTCCTTTCCTTACATATATCCAAGTTTCTACCCTATGTCATTGTCCTTCTCTTTAAAGGACTTCTTTTACCATTTCCTGCAATGCAGGTCTACTGGCAACACATTTTCTCAATATTTATTTGTCTGAGAAAGTCTTTATTCTCCATCACTCTTGAAGGATAACTTCCGGGAGTACAGAATTCTAGGTCGGTGCAGAGTCTCTCTCAACACTGAAAACATTTCACTCTGCTCCTTCCTTGCTTCCAGGGTTTCTGAGAAGTTGGAGGTAATGATTTCAAAATGGTTCCTTTTCCCTCCCCCTGCCAGAAGCATGAGGAAGTTATTCTCTGATATTTACTGTGAGAACCTGGTCAAGCTCCTGGAGGTAAAACTCACAAAAGTGTGCTCACCCCATCAGTGGCCACCCCTGAAGTTTTTCGCTCTGAAATTTGTCCATACCTAGCCTCCAGCAATTCGTCAATTACAGTTCAGGTCTCCCCTCCAGCAGTGGTTCCCACGGATGTTTCTGCCCAGTCGTGATTCTCTGTATCCACCTGTCTGTCTCTCCAACTTCCAGGGCAGTGGAAGTGAGCTTTTCTTATAGGTCTAAGAAAAGCTGTTGATTTTTCGGTTTGTTCAGCTTTTCACTTGTTGTTACCCCACAGCTTTAGACATTTTGGCTTTCTCACAGTAACAACAACGTAGATGGAGAACTGCTCACCGCCACTGTTCAGACCGCTGTTGCTCCTCGCATCTGAGTTTGCTAGACTTGGTTCCAGAATGTTTCCTTCCAGATAATCACTTATTTCGAAAATGGGGATGATTTCCTGTGAACCAGCTACTGACTTATGCCCTATGGCCCTGCCATTCCAAGAAAAGGGTCACTGGTTTGTCCCTCAGAAGTGCCAGTTAATTGAACAACTGTCTGAACTCTTCAGAGACCCATCTGCTCTCAGCAACCTCTTTCAGTTTGGGTGAATAAATGTAAATTAATGAAAAAAGTAGTAATGGTGTCTGGCAAAGCAGAACTCAAAGAACATTAAATGGTATCAAAAAAGTATAATTTTATGTCAATAAGGAGACCACTTTGCCATAAAGAGGTAACTGTAATGAATCTTTATGAACCGGGCAGCATTTATTAGAGAAAGCACAATTTGCTGGAAGTAGGTGAAGAAGAAATGGGCAGAAGTATGACACAGTCTTTTTCTTGGGGCAAAACCAAGAGAAGGAAACAAGCTGGCTAAAACTATGTGTCAAACTGTGTACACTACAGAGAATGTGCGCTATCTAGTTCCAAGGACAAATTTACAAAGGAGGATAATATATCATGCTGCAAAGGAAATCAGAATCAATTACTCAAATGGCCTTGGCCACTGAGAAACCCTCTCCATCCAGCACATATGGAACAGCAGCTGCCACTGCCACTGCTACCTGGTCCTGCTCTCCGCCTTAGCTCTGCCTTCCTTCCAAGCACCTATCGCTACTGAACGTTCCAGATTCTAGAGGTGTTCACTTTGGTCTTCTCCGCTCAAAGGAGCGTGCCCCAAGAACAGGGCTCAAGCCAGCATCTGGAAGTGCCTGGCCCATCCTCGGCACTCACATGTCAGTTCACTGAATGAATAACTTCCGCAAACACACTTGCACCTCTCTTGCCTTTGTTATCGGTGTCAAGGAGGAAATGGCATCTTTGCGGATTTCTTCAGTGTTCTAGCCCCAGAGTCTAGCATGACAGGCAGTGGGAGGGTTGTGAGTTTAGATGGAGTGACAGGGAAGTCTCGCTTTGTAGAAATGCACAAGAAAGGTGATGCATAGAAAACCAAGTGGTGAGTAAGGAAAGGGCAACCGCTTGCCCTTTCTCTAGGCCAAGGCTCCCAGGAGAAGGAAGCTGGACGGAGTTTCTGGGTCACGGCCTGGCCTCGGCTTCCCTGACAGTTCATTTCTGGGAAAGCCAGTGGGCAAGGTTGTTAGCGACTCCTGGGAAACAGGGGTCTGCAGTCGTGCACCTGACAGGGCTGGGATGGGAACCAGAGACTGCACACCTCTGTCTCTAAGTCACACTTTGCCGTTCCAGGCTGGCTGCCCTCAAGCCTGGGAGCTGGTCAGGCTGAACCCTCCTCCCGGGGTCTCCTTTGTGTCTCCTGTCTGTTGGCACTGGTGTCCCTGTAGCCCTTGTCGTCTTGTTCTTGTCTACCCCCTGAGTTTGGCGCACTGAGAAAGAGTGTGTGGGAGAGAAATGTTTGAGAACGTGCATGTCTGACAACCTTCTGTCCACTGATGCCGTTGATGATGTGGCTACATGTGGAATTCTAGGTTGGAAATGATTTTCCTCCAGCATTTGGAGGGAATTGCTCCATTAGCTCCAGGTGTTGCCATTGCAGTGTGTGTATTGTGTGTGTGTGTTTGCGTCTGTGTGTGTGTGTGTGTGTGTGTGTGTGTGTGTGCACATACATTACCTGTATATTATAATGTTTAGACATCTTTTCTAAAAACTCCAAAAACGAAAACAAAAAAACTCTTTCTGGCTGGAGAGACTGTCCTCCCAGGGCCAGCCAATTCTTAGAGAGAAGGAAGGGCCCTGCTGCTAACAGGCCTTTGGTGTGCAGACTGAGCAGCCCAGGCCCTTTCGTCCTCCCTCTGCCTTCATCATCCCAGAGCCAGGCGCCAGGCAACCAGGGACAAGCCCTGTGCCCTTAAGCTCTTTAAACTGCTGGCCTTGCCTTTGCTGTGGAAACCCCAGTAAAGGCTCTGGCCTCAGTCTTCCTGTCGCCCCTGTATTCTGCCTCCCGACCCCCTGGTGCTTCCCCATGGGGCCTCGTGTGCCGGGCCGTGTCTCCCATGTCTAGGACCTGTGAGGATGATCGACTCTTTTTTCCTGAGCCTGTGCTGTTTCTCACTTGACTGACCGTTTCATTACAAAAATATAAGCCGGCCATTCTGCTTCCTGCCTCTACACTGAACTCTCCTTGGAAGCTCGTTGAACCTTCCTCATGTCCTCCGTGCTCTGAGATGTCATGGTGATGTGCCTGGGGGAGGCTCTGTTGTCAGCCACACGCAGGGCATACTGTGGGCCTTTTCCATTTGGCAGCTCCTGCCTTTCAGTCTGGGAGAACGACAAGAAGCTCTGGGGACATCAGATTCCCTAGAGAAGACACTTGTAACAAGCTGCCTGGAGGGCCGGGACCTGGTTGCAGAGATCTGGGAGCAGAGCAGGGGAGGGGACGTCGCTCAGTGCTTGCAGGCAGTGCCGGCTCACAGCGTCGCTCTGCTCCGGGTACAATTTCACTGCCTTCAATTGGACCTGGTGTCCCACAGTTCACTGACTCCTTTGCCCTCTCCAGAGAATAAAGTCCCCCATTTCTGTCAGGATGGAGGAGGCACAGTTGCCCAGGGGCACACGGGCAGAGAGGTTTGCCTGGGACTGAGGGCGTTCAGAGGACATGGGGCTGGCAGCACTGAAAGTGGCTGGGACAATAGGTTACCCTAGCACCCGGAGCTCAGAGTGCTTAGTAACCATTAGTAACCAGCTTTCACCCAGTCCTTTTTCTTTTCTTTTCTTTTCCTTTTTTTTTTTTTGACAGGGTCTTGCTCTGTCTCCCAGGCTGAAGTGCAGTGGCGTAATCTCAGCTCATTACAACCTCCGCCTCCCGGGTTCAAGCAATTATTGTGCCTCAGCCTCCAAAGTAGCTGGGATTACAGGCATGTGCCACCACGCCTGGCTAATTTGTGTATTTTTGATAGAGAAGGGGTTTTGCCATGTTGCCCAAGCTGGTCTGGAACTCCTGGGGTCAAGTGATCCACCTGCCTCAGCTTCCCAAAGTGCTGAGATTACAGGTGTGAGTCACTGCGGCCAACCTTCACCCAGTCCTCTTTATTTTAGTGCCCCCTCCGCCCCCAGCTCCAGTTCCTGGGCCCTGGGCTCCCTCTCTGCAGCTTGCCCTCTGACATTCGGAGAGCTGTTTGTCCGGCTCTCCAAACCTTGTTCCTGTTGTGTCATCCCCTGCCCTTCCCATTCATGTCGAGTTATGCCCCTTTTTTTCTCCCCAAAGCTGCTTTACTACAGCTTTACTGTTCAATCTGCATTCTCGACCCAGAATTAACCTCTCTGTGAATTTTTATATTCATAGCAGCTTTATTTGTAGTAGTTCTGACTGGAAACAACTCAAACGTCCTTCAGAGGGTGAATGATAAATTGTGGTACATCCATGCAAAGGAATACTATTCAGCAACCAAAAGGAATATGATATTCAAGCAGGCAACTACCTAAATGCATGTCAAAATAATTACACTGAAAGAGGCCACATTGAGAGGATATACTGTATGATTATATGGAACTCTAGAACATACAAACTAATCTATAGTGACAGAAAGCTGATCGGGGTTGCCCGGAGATTGGGATACGGGGAGTGTTGGGAGGGAGGATTTACAGAGATGCAGGAGGAAGCTCTTAGGGTTGATAGCTATGTTCATTACCTTGATTGTGGTGGTTTTAAGGGTGCATACCTGTGTCAAAATGGACCAAATGGTATACTTTATGTTATTTATTTTTTAAAATTAGAGATGGGGGTCTCACTATGTTGCCCAGGCTTCCCTATGTTTGTTGCCCAGGCTGGTCTTAAACTCCTGGGCTCAAGCAATCCTCCTGCCTTAGCCTCCGGAGTAGCTGGGATTACAGGCGCATGCCACGGTGCCCAGCAAAATTATATACTTTATTATTATCATTATTTTAGAGATAGGTCTCACTCTGTCTCCCAGGCTGGAGTACAGTGGCAATCATAGTTTACCGTAACCTTGAACTCCTGGGCTCAAGTGATCCTCCTGCCTTGGCCTTCCAAGTTGCTGGGGCCACAAGTGCATGCCACAATGCCTGGCTAGTTTTTAAATTTTTTGTAGCAACTAGGCTTCCCTATGTTTGTTGCCCAGGCTGGTCTCAAACTCCTGGCCTCAAGCAATCCTCCTGCCTCAGCCTCCCAAAGTGCTGAGATTGCAGGTGTGAGCCACCACACCCAGCCTCTGTATACTTTAAGCAACACACACTTTGTTTTATGTAGGCTATACCTTGATAAGGCTGTTTGAAATAGAGTGCATCAAATATATTGCGCAGTTTAAAGAACAATTCTAAATTGAACACCCATGCAACCATTTGCTTACCCCTAGTAATGGAGCTATTCTCATTTTATTCTTAAAGATTCATCGTTTTGCCCTTCATATTTAGGTTTTCAATCTGTGTAAAATTGATTTTTGTAATGGTGTGAAGTAGAGGTACAGCTTCCTTCCTTTTCCTTTTTTTACAGTTTCTCTTTCTTTCTCTTTTTTTTTTTTTTTCAGACAGTCTCAATCTGTCACCTAGGCTGGAGTGCAGTGGCGAGATCTCGGCTCACTGCAACCTCCACCCCCCGGGTTCAAGTGATTCTCCTGCCTCAGCCTCCCAAGTAGCTGGGATTACAGGCGTGTGCCACCACGTCCAGCTAACTTTTGTATTTTTAGTAGAGGCGGGGTTTCACCATGTTGGCCAGGCTGGTCTCGAACACCTGGCCTCAACTGATCCACCCGCCTCAGCCTCCCAAAGTGCTGGGATTACAGGCGTGAGCCACTGCGCTGGCCTTTTCTTGTTTATGATCTCCAGGGGATGCTTTCAACTTTTTGTCATTAAATATGATGATGCTATAACTATTTTAATAAATCCTTTGCTAAGGAAGTTCATTTTAATTCCTAGGCTCCTGACTTTTCTTTGTAATCATGAATGGATATTGAATTTTATCCAGTGCTTTTTCTGTGCTTATTGTGGTGATCATGTAATTGGTATTTTTTTTAATTTTTTTTGAGACAGGGTCTCGCTTTATCACCCAGGCTGGAGTGCAGTGGCATGATCTCAGCTCACTGCAGCCTCAACCTCCTGGGCTCAAGCGATCCTCTTGCCTCAGCTCCCCAAGTAGCTGGGATGACAGGCATGTGCCACCACCGGCAATTTGTGTGTGTGTGTGTGTGTGTGTGTGTGTGTGTGTGTGTGTGTGTCTATTATTTGTAGAGATGAGGTTTCACCATGTTAACCAGGCTGGTCTCAAACTCCTGAGTTCAAGCAATCTGCCTGCCTTAGCCTCCCAAAGTGCTAGGCTTACTGACATGAGCCACCATGCCCTGCTGATCATGTAATTTTTCTTCTTTAACATTAATTTGGTTAATTACAATAAATGATTTTATATTATTAAACTAACTTTGCACTCCTGAGATAAACACATCTTGGTCACCATGTATTATCTTTTTTTTTCCTTTTGTTTGGTTTTTTTTGAGACAGCATCTCGCTCTGTCTCCCAGGCTGGAGTGCAGTGGCACAATCTCGGCTCACTGCAACCTCCACCTCCTGGGTTCAAACGATTCTCCTGCCTGACCCTCCCGAGTAGCTGGGATTATAGGTGCACGCCACCAGGCCCAGCTAATTTTTTGTATTTTTAGTAGAGACTGGATTTCGCCATGTTGGCCAGGCTGGTCTTGAACTCCTGACCTCAGGTGATCCACCCGCCTCAGCCTCCCAAAGTGCTGGGATTACAGGCGTGAGCCACCGTGCCCAGTCCAGTCACCATGTATTATCTTTTTTACATATTGCTAGTATTCTGTTTGGGATTTCTGAATCTCTGCCTACAAGTGAAGTTGGCTTATAATTTTCTTTCTCATAATGTCCTTGACAGGTTTTGGTTTCAAGGTTATGTTTGCCTTCTAACAAGAGTGGAGCCTCTTTTTCTTAATTCTCTGAAAGAGTTTGTGTAAAATTAGAACTATTGCTTCTTGAATATTTGATAGATCTTGCTGATGAAGTCATCTAGGCCTAGAGTTTGGTTTGAACGGAAGATATTTTATTACTAACAAAAAATTTATAATTATATGACTATTTAGGGTCTTTGCTTTTTCTTGAGTCAATACTGGTAATTTCTTTTTCTAGGACTTTGTTCATTTCAACTGTATTTTCAAATGTATTGGCACAAAGTTATTCACAATAGCCATTACTTTAAAATCCTGTCTGCATCTGTGGTTATAGCCATTTTCCATTCATAGTATAGTTTCCATGTGCCTTTTCTCTTGTTTCTCTCAATGAGGACTGTAAATGTCATTAGTCCTGCCAGGGAAGCTTCTGCCTCTGACAGGCGTCACTGCTTTGCTCCCTGCTCTAAGGAGTCACCTGTGTGAAGTTTTTCCTTTTCCCATCAATCATGTCGCCATCCTCCTGGCAACAGTATAGATTGGTGTCTGACGTAGGAATGACACAAAGACCCCATCCAAAAGTAGCCAAACTTTATTTCAAGCTTAAGAAAATGCATATTTTCTCCAAACTTAAGCAGAACATTGTTATGAGAAAAAAACTGGACTTTCTTGCACTGTATTTCTTTTTTAGGGGGAGGGGGGAAGGGGAGATGGAGTCTCGCTCTGTCGCCCAGGCTGGAGAGCAGTGGTGCGATCTTGGCTCACTGCAACCTCCGCCTCCTGGGTTCAAGCAGTTCTCTGCCTCAGCCTCCCAAGTAGCTAGGATTACAGGCGCCCACCATCACGCCCGGCTAATTTTTGTATTTTTAGTAGAGACAGGGTTTCACCATGTTGGCCAAGCTGGTCTTGAACTCCTGACCTCATGATCCACCCGCCTCGGCCTCCCAAAGTGCTGGGATTACAAGCGTGAGCCACCGCACCCGGCCTCTTGCACTGTATTTCTGTTGGAAGATCACAACCATGTTGCTCATTCTTTCTTATTAAGATTCCCATATCTGGTGTTTCTTGGAGATGTATCTAGGTCAACATGACCCAGGTTTAACCCAAACAACTCATAAAAACATGGCAGACTTTTAGCCCTTGGGAAATGAACTTGCTTTGGCCCTACTGAAGAGACTCATTTAAACCCTCCTCTTCCTCTGAAGCCTGTCCCTGAGAACTCCACCTTCCCTTTCTCTTTTCAGGCTGCCTGGCTGCACTTGGACCTACGCTCATCATCTCTTTGGCTGTTTCCATTGTTTAGAGGTTCCCCTCAATGTCCCTGGCCTCAGGATAGCTGCCACTGGAGCACAGCCCTGGCCTGGGAAGTCCCAGCAGGACCCCAGAGGCTCCTTGAGTCTCTTACCTTCCTTCCCAGGAGGACTGTCACTGAGGGGGGAGCCGAACTTTGGTCACAGCAATTGAGCTGCTTTCTAAGCTCTCATCTGTCCAAGTGTGATGTCCACTGGAAGTTTCTGGTCCTTTGGCCCATTTTGATTAGTTCCTCTTGTCTTCCAGGGTGAGAGACCAAAAGTCCTGTTTCTGTAAATCATGGCTGTGTGCCAGTATACAAAACTGACAAGACCCCTTAGGACATTTGTCTTCCAATTTTGAAACCGGAAGCCTGGATGAAGTGTCCTGTCTCCCAGATTGAAATCTTGGAAAACCTGTTTGTGACACCATTGGTTATCTTCTCTGTGCTTCCCGTCTGTGGCCAGAATTGTGCCCAAGAGCCTGGGCCAGAGCCAGCCGAGTAGCCCTGCCCTGTGGACCCAGGGGTCTTTTTATAGTTAACTTGTAGCTACAGCTGGAGAACTGGTTCTGCCTGTCTTCTGTGGTTTCCTGGCTGTGCACACTACTGAGTCGTCACCGAAGGGGATCAGGGCTTGTTCCGTGCCTGTGTTCTCCAGGGAACAGGATCACAAGACAGCTGTCCCCGGGATAATGGACTCTTGGGAAGAATTTGGCTCCTGGGGGGGGTGGCTCGAGGGCACCCGAGACATCTCAATCATGGTCATGCGGGTCTGAGTCTTGTACTGGGAGGGAAGCGAGTGAGTGGTGGCCAGCTCGGCCTGTCTGGCCCCCATGAGACTGACCTCTACTTGAACTCCTTGAGGCTGGTCCTTCTGCTCTGAATAACTAGAGAAATCCCAGGAAAATACATACATTGGATTGCATGGAATAAGGTGATGGGATGGCAGAAGAAGCTGTGGGAGCCAGTGTGAGCTTCAAGCTTCAGCACTGAATAGCAGCTCATCCTCCATCCACACTTTCTGTAGTGCTGTGCACAGTAGGGAGCAGCCCCTCTGCCTGCCAGTCCTTACCTGGGGGTTCCTGAGCTGACCAACTCTGTAGGGACACCGTGAAACTCTGTAGCCATCAAAGACCCTCAGTCCGGGCACAGTCACAGGGGAGGGACTCATGTCCTCAGGGGAGGCCTCCTTGACACTCTCCAGCATGCTGGAGGGTTTGATGAGATTCTTCTGCTGGGTGGCTGGGCGTGGTGGCTCATGCCTGTAAACCCCAACCCTTTGGGAGGCTGAAGTGGGAGGATCACTTAAACCCAGGAGTTTGAGGCTGGAGTCAGCTATAATCATGCCACTACACTCCAGCCTGCGTGACGGAGCAAGACCTTGTCCCTAAATTTTTTTTTAAATTAAAAAAAAAAAGACGATCCTGCTGGGTGATGGTGGCTTTTTTTCTGTACAGCTAGAACTAGAGTAAAGGGGAGGAGTTTCCCCCAAAGGATACTTTTGCCCATTTGCAAAGGAAATGAATGAATGAAGATGCTGAGGCTCTCCCAGCTGATGGAACCACTATTCTGATTGATTGGCTTCAAAGACTCACCAGAGAAAAACATTTTAAAATGTAGGGCCAAACCTCTGATACTATAAAAGTGCTGGCCTTTTAAGACAAACTCTCAAAGTTAGAGTTTCCCCACGGTGAGAATCTCTCCACACAGTTGGGGACTGGGCAGCTACCCCAGCTGGGCACTAGAGGCCTGGGCCACCCTCACACCCTGGTCAGTGGTAGCACGGGGGCTGCCAGACCTCATCAAAAGCTTGACTTTTCTTTGACTTCCAGGAGGAGGAACCCTGTGAGGCACTGCTCCACTCCCTGCATGGTTGAGGACAGGTGGGAGAGGGGAGGCTACAATCAGGCTTCAAGGTTATTAGGATGGGCCGGGCGCGGTGGCTCACGCCTGTTATCCCAGCACTTTGGGAGGCCAAGGTGCGCGGATCACTTGAGGTCGGGAGTTCGAGACCAGCCCGGCCAACATGGTGAAACTGCTTCTCTACTAAAAATACAAACATTAGCCGGGCGTGGTGGTGAGCACCTGTAATCCCAGCTACTCGGGAGGCTGAGGAGGCTGAGGCAAGACAATCGCTTGAACCTGGGAGGCGGAGCTTGCAGTGAGCTGAGATCATGCCACTGCACTCCAACCTGGGCAACAGAGAGAGACTCCGTCTCCAAAAAAAAAAAAAGAAAAAGAAAAAAGGAGAAACGGTTATTAGGATGGTCCTGGGATGGAGAGAACCAGGGACAGTAAGGGCCTGGCCAGGGTAGGGCAGCTGCTGCAGGAACAGCAACCCAGCAACTGGCCACACAGAGGGCGAGTGACCCCTGGGCGGACTGATGGGCCACACCACAGGCCACACCACGGACCACAGGCCACACCCAGAGAGCTAGTCCTGGGGCAGGGAGCGCCTCTGAGCAGGAAATGACAGAGGAAGTTTCTGGTGCAGCTTTACTGATAAGGAAACAAACAAAGACTGTGTGATAGCAATCAGAAAACATTTCAGTCAAGCAGAGTGGAAGGAAGACTGCTTTATCTTTCTGTTCCCTCTAGTGAGAATTATGTCACAATATCATTGTCAGATGAAGATGCGATCTAACACTATGCAGCCAAAATGTGGGGAAAAAAGATAACACAGGTAGCTTCAGTACAAAATATAATAGGAACAAAAACATTGTACTTTGCTGCCTTTTGTTGTATTTGTCAGCTTTTTAAAATTTGTAATTTGTTGTGATTTCTTATCTTTTTCTAAATGAATGGACACATTTGCAAGTGATTTAGTATTCTTAAAGAGGAACCCTAAATTATATAAATTTTGGTCTCTATACAATGTGGGTTTTCCTTCCTATATACATGGTAACCTGTTTAGAAATTTTAATTAAATTAAATAAGTTGAAGTTGTGGGGAACAAATCATCATGTTATCTCTTTTCTGTGCACAAAAGTCGTTTTTAAATACTGGAATGGGGCGGGGTGTGGTGCCTCATGCCTGTAACCCCAGCACTTTGGGAAGCTGAGGCAGGTGGATCATCTGAGGTTGGGAGTTTGAGACTAGCCTGGCCAACATGGCAAAACTGGGTCTCTACCAAAGATACAAAAATTATCCGGGCATGGTGGGGTGCACCTGTAGTCCCAGCTACTCAGGAGGCTGAGGCAAGAGAATCGCTTGAACCCGGGAGGCGGAGGTTGCAGTGAGCCGAGATTGCACCAGTGCACCCAAGCCTGGGCAACAGAGAAAGACTCTGTCTCAAAATAAATAAATAAATAAATAAATATTGCAATGGGAAAAGAGAAAAATAAATCATAGAATTTTGGGATATTACACTTTAACAAGTTAAATCAAAACATTTATAAATAGCCATATAAAACCAACCATATAAAACCAGGCTATTAGTAAAAATCTAAATGGTCGTCCTGCTTCCTAAATGTACTCTTTCTCTCAAAAAGTTTTTGGATGAGAGAACATGGAAAACTGGGGATTTTTCCTCCACTGTTACAATGTCCTGCTTGCTCAGTCACAGGATAAGAAACAAGGAAACGCATATTGCTATCAGGCCCAAATTGAACAGTCATGAAGAAGCTTCAGGAATCTCTACTGTGTTAAATACACTTACTAATATTGAAAGGGCTTTATCAACACAGAAGATAGAGAGAGAGGCAGAACAGCATGGCCAAATAGAAGCCTCCAGTGATCATCCCCACTGCGGGAACACCAAATTGAACAACTAGCCACACAAAAAAGCACTTTCCTAATATCCAAAAATCAGGTGAGCGATCACAGGACCTGGTTGAACTTCACATCACTGAAAGAGGCCGTGACAAGGGTAGGAAGGACAGTCTTGAATCACTCCCCGCCCCGCGCCCCAGCCTCAGCCCCGGCACCCCCCACCCCCAGCCCCCGCTCCGCAGCAGCCTCGTGGTGCAGAGAGAGAAGCTGTACACTTGGGGGAGGGAGGGCACGGTGACTGTGGGGCTTTGCGTCGGAACTCAGCGCTGCTGCCGTGTCCCAGCAGAAAGCAACACGGGGCAGAAGTTAGCGGGCGCCCACGAAGGGAGGATTTACATCAGCCCTAGCCGGAGAGGAATCGCCCATCTTCAGCGGATGGAGCCTGAGCTCCAGCAAAGCCTCACCACTGCGGCCTAAAGTATTCAGGGGCCTGAAATATACTTGAAAGGCAGTCTAGGCAACAAGGACGGCAAGTCCCGGGCAAGTCCTGCTGCTGGACTGGGCTCGGAGCCAGCGGACTTGGGGTACAAGCGACTTAGTGAGATAGCAGCCGGGGTAGCTCGGGCCATGCTTACACCTCCCCTCCCCCAAGGCCAGGCAGTGCCGCTCACAGCTCCAGGAGCCCCTCCTTCCTCTTGCTTGAGGAGAGGACACGGAAAAGTGGGGAGGACATTGTCTTGTGTCTTGGATACCAGCTCAACCACAGTAAGATGGGGCACTGGTCAGAGTCGTGAGGCCCCCATTCCAGGCCCTAGCTCCCAGACGACATTTCTAGACACCCTCGGCCGGAAGGGAAGAGAAGGACCCAGTCCTAGCGGGACTCATCACCTGCTGACTGAAGGGCTCTTGGGCACTGAGGAACCAGCAGCCATACCCAGGCCGTACTTGCTGCAGGCCTCGGCTGACACTCAGAGCCGTGCGGGCCCAGCACACTCCCAGCTGCGGTGGCCACAGGCAGAGACCCCTTCGGTTTGAGGAAAAGGGAGGGAAGAGTAAAGGGGACTTTGTCTCGCAGCTTGGGTACCAGCTCGACCACAGCGGAGTAGTGCACCAAGTGGGCTCCTGGGGTCCCCAGTTCCAGTTCCAGGCCTGGGCTCCTGACCTGCCCTAGGGCTAGAGGGGATCCCACTGCCCTGAAGAGAGAGGCTCAGGCATGGCAGCATATTCACCACAAGCTGACTGAGGGCCGTTGGTCCTCGAGTGAACACGAGCGATAGTCTGGCAGTACTCCCCGTGGGCCTGGGGCAGTGGTGGCTGTGGGGTGAGGGTTCTCTGCCTGTGGAAAAGGGAGGCAAGAGTGGGAAGGCCTGTGTCTCGCAGCTTGGGTGCCAGCTTAGCCACAGTAGAATACAGCACCAACTAGATTCCTAAGACTCCCAACTACAGGCACTGGCTCCCAAATGGCATCTCTGTATCCGCCCAGGACTGGGGGGAACTCGCCACCCTGGAGGGGACGACACTGGCCTGGCTGCCTTTGCCACCTGCAAGAACCACAGGGTTACTCGGCTTGGGGTGCCCCCTAAAGCAGATACAGCTGCAGTGACCAAACACTTAGATCCCAAAGGTTAAGGATAAAGAAAGGATCCCAAAAGCAGCAAGAGAAAAGAAACAAATAACATGCAATGGAGGCCGCTGACTTCTCAGTGGAAACCTGACAGGCCAGGAGAGAGTGGCATGACATATTTAAAGTGCTGAAGGAAAAAAAGCTTACCCTAGAATAGTATAACTGGCAAAAATATTCTTCAAACACAAAAGAGAAATAAAGACTTTGCCAGACAAACAAAAGCTGATGGATTTCATCGGTCCCAAACCTGTCCTACAAGAAATGCTAATGGGAGCAGTTCAATCTAAAAGAAAAGGATGTTAATGAGCAATAAGAAATCACTTGAAGGTATAAAATTCAGTGGTAATAGTAAGTACATAAAAAACACAAAACGCTATAACACTGTAACTATGGCATGTTAAGTCCCAGCTACTTGGGAGGCTGAAGTGGGAGGATCAGTCAAGCCCAAGAGTTTGAGGCTGCAGTAAGCCATGTGTGTACCACTGTGCTCCAGCCTGGGTGATGGAATGGGATTCTGTCTCAAAAACAAAACAAAACAAAATGGGGCCTGGCGCAGTGGTTCACGCCTGTAATCCCAGGACTTTGGGAGGCCGAGTCAGGAGGATCATCTGAGGTCAGGATTTCGAGAGCAGCTTGACCAACATGGTGAAACCCCATCTCTACCAAAAATACAAATATTAGCCTGGCGTGGTGGCAGGTGCCTGTAATCCCAGGCGCCTGTAATCCTGCCTCCCAGAGGCTGAGGCAGGAGAATTGCTTGAACCCGGGAGGCCGAGGTTGTAGTGAGCCAAGATCGCGTCACTGCACTCCAGCCTGGGTGACAAGAGCGAGACTCTGTCTCAGAAAAAAAGCAAAAGACCTTAATAGACATTTCTTAAAAGAAGGCACAGAAATGGGCAACAGATACATGAAAAAATGCTCAACATCACTAATCATCAGGAAGACGCACATTAAAACCACCATGAGATACCATTTTACTCTAATTAGAACAGCTATTTTTTAAAAGACAAAAGAAAACAAGTGTTGATGAGGATGTGGAGAAAAGGGAACACTTGGTGTTGGTGGAAAACAATATGAGGCACAAGAAATTTAAAATCGGCCAGGCACGGTGGCTCACACCTGTGATCCCAGCACTTTGGGAGGCCAGGAGGGAGGATCACTTGAGCCCAGGAGTTTGAGAGCAGCCTGGACAACATAACAAGACCCGATCTCTACAAAAAATTAAAAAAAAAAAAATTAAGGCCGGGCGCGGTGGCTCACACCTGTAATCCCAGCACTTTGGGAGGCCGAGGTGGGCGGATCACCTTAAGTTGGTAGTTCAAGACCAGCCTGATCAACATGGAGAAATCCCGTCTCTACTAAAAATACAAAATTAGCCGGGCGTGGTGGCACATGCCTGTAATCCCAATTACTAGGGAGGCTGAGGCAGGAGAATTGCTTGAACCCAGGGGCGGAGGTTGTGGTGAGCCAAGATCACGCCATTTCACTCCACCCTGGGCAACAAGAGTGAAACTCCATCTCAAAAAAAAAAAAAAAAAAATTAAAAAATTTAGCCAGGCGTGGTGGTGCACACATTTAGTCCCAACTACTCAGGAGGCTGAGGTGGGAGGATTGCTTGAGCCCAGAAGGTTGAGGCTGCATGAGCCGTGATAGTGCCACTGCACTCCAGCCTGGGTGACACAGTGAGACCCTGTCTCAAAAAAAAAAAAAAGAAAGAAAAAGAAAAAAGAAATTAAAAATAGAGCTAACTACCATCTGATCTAGCAATCCCACTGCTGGGTATATATCCATAGGACATGAAATGGTGTGTCAAGGAGATCTGCACCCTCATGTTTATTGCAGCATTATTCACAGTAGCCAGATATGGAATTAACCCAAGTGTCCATCGATGGATGAATGGATAAAGAAAATGTGGTATCTATACACAACGGAATCCCATTCAACCATAAAAAGAATGAAATCCTGTCATTTGCAACAACATGAATAAACCTGGAATACATCATGTTAAGTGAAATTAGCCAGACACAGAAAGACAAATACTGTGTGATCTTATATGTGGAATTTTTTTTAAAGAGTTGAGGGTAGGTGCAGTGGCTCACAAGTGTAATCCCAGTGATTTAGGAGGCCAAGGCAGGAAGATCCCTTGAGGCCTGGAGTTTGAAACCAGCCTGGGTAACCTAGAGAGACCCTGTCTCTACAATATATATATACACACACACACACACACACACACACACACACATATATATATATATATATATATATATATATACATATATTTTTTTAATTAGCTGGGCATGGTGGTGTGAGCCTGTAGTCCCAGCTACTCAGGAGGCTGAGGTGGGAGGATCATTTGAGCTCAGGACTTCAAGGCTGCAGTGAGCTAGGATCATGCCACTGCCCTCCAGCCTGAGTGACAGAGTGAGACCCTGTCTGTATACAAAACAAAAAAGGCTGATATCTTAGAAGCACAGAGACTGGAGAAGGGAGCACAGGGAGAGGTTCGTCGACAGTACAAAATAACAATTAGATGGGAGGAATAAGTTCTGGTGTTCTGTGCACAGTGGGATGATGATGGTTAACAGTAAGATATTGCATATTACTGTTAAAATAGCTAGAAGAGGCCTGTCATCCCAGCACTTTGGGAGGCCGAGGTGGGCGGATCACCTGAAGTCAGGAGTTCAAGACCAGCCTGGCAAACATAATGAAACCCCATCTCTACTAAAAATACAAAATTAGCCGGGTGTGGTGGCGGGCACCTGTAGTCCCAGCTACTCTGGAGGCCAAGGCAGGAGAATCGCTTGAACCCAGGAGACGGAGGTTGCAGTGAGCTGAGATCGCACCACTACACTCCAGCCTGGGGGCAAGAGAGCAAGACTCCATCTCAAAAAATAAAAAATAAAAAATAAAATAAAATAGCTAGAAGAGAGGTATTTGCATGTTCGCATTGTCAAGAAATGATACTTGCATGAGGTGATAGGTACACTAACTACCGTGATTGGGTCATTGTGCAACGTGATATGAATTGGCACCATAAATATGCATGATTACAATGTATCAAGAAAAAACAAATAAAGCCAAGAAAATAATCTAAAACTCCAGGTTTCCTCAATATTTCTTTATAAGAAAAATCCTTGAATAGATTAAATTGTTTTATTCTTCATTTAAGAAATAGCTGTATGTCTTTGTCTTCTCTCCAGTTTTATCACAGTACGAAGTATGTAAAAGTGACAATGGGAACACTGTGCTTTGGTTTTTGCAAGATTTGAGATGTATCCATTATGATTTTCTCATGAGAAATTTTATTATGTTGACCTTTCTAAACCCATAATACTTACCTTGCAGATCACGTACGTCAGCATTTCTTACACTAAATATCTAAGGTTTTGTAAATGTAAACACGAGTTGAGCTAAACTGAGTTATAATAATGAATATCTGTATTTTTAAAATCAACCTTTTAAACTTCCAACAATAGCAGTAATTGTGTAGCCCTACAAAGTTACTCCACCTTGTAAACGGAATAAATTGTAGTGTCATATTTGTCAAATTTTATTCATGAAGTGTGATCATATTGTGCTACTATCATTTCTTTTTTTCTTTTTTTTTCTTTTTTTTTTTTTTTGAGATGGAGTCTTGCTCTGTTGCCAGGCTGGAGTGCAGTGGCATGATCTTGGCCAACTGTAACCTCCGCCTCCTGGGTTCAAGCGATTCTCCTGCCTCAGCCTGTCGAGTAGGTGAGATTACAGGCGTGCGCCACCACACCCAGCTAATTTTTGTATTTTTAGTAGAGACAGGGTTTCACCATGTTGGCCAGGCTGGTCTTGAACTCCTGACCTCGTGATCCGCTCACCTGGCCTCCCAAAGTGCTGGGATTACAGGTGTGAGCCAACACGCCCAGGCAGCCTAGTATAATTTCTAAGATTCCCTCATCTACTGACTTTGATACCTGGGGTAGACAATAAATTGAGGTAATTAGCAAGTATATTTACCTGGATAATCTCCAAAGGAATGAAAATTCATAAAGACAAAATGCAAACACACACAGTTATTTCTGACATATATGTATTCTAGTCTATGCATAAACACAATGGTGCCACACAACACTCATAAATCAGAAAATCACTGTAGTCTAAACATTGTTTTGTGCTATGCCTGAATTTTTACTTATTTTTTTTTTAGAGACCGAGTCTCACTCTGTCACCCAGGCTGGAGTGCACTGGTGCAATCCTAGCTCACTGTGGCCTCAAACTCCTGAGCTCAAGTGATCCTCCCACCTCAGCCTCCCAAGTAGCTGGGATCACATGCGGGTGCCACTACACCCTGCTAATTTTTGCATTTTTACTTTTTGTAGAGATGGGGCCTTGCTGTGTTGCCCAGCCTACTCTCGAACACCTGGCCTCCAAGCAATCCTCCCATCTTGGCCTCCCAAAGTGCTGGGATTACAGGCATGAGCCCCCACGCCCAACCTATGCCTGATTTTTAAATTTTTACTATAAAACCTAAACTTTTAAAGCAGTAAATAATACCACTACCTGAACATCTGTGTGTGTGTGTGTGTGTGTGTGTGTGTGTGTGAGATGGAGTCTCACTCTGTTGCCCAGGCTGGAGTGCAGCGGCGTGATCTCGGCTCCCTGCAACCTCTGTCTCTCAGGTTCAAGCAGTTCTCCTGCCTCAGGCTCCCAAGTAGCTGGGATTACAGGCACACACCACCATGCCTGGCTAATTTCTGTATTTTTAGTAGAGATGGGGTTTCACCATGTTGACCAGGCTGGCCTCAAACTTCTGACCTCAGGTGATCTGTCTGCCTCAGCCTCCCAAAGTGCTGGGATTATAGGCATGAGCCACCATGCCTGGCCGTGAACATCTTTTACTGTGACTGCATATAAGTGTATGTTTACATAAACATACATAGAGGTGTATTACATCAATGAATGTTTTTTAAAGTTTCTGTATGATGGAGTGCAGAGGCCTGGGCGCAAGGGAGTAAAGGGTCTTTAAGTAATCAATATATTTTCAACCTCAAGTATCCTATCTAGAGCCAGAGGTTTTTTTTCTCACCCTACTAGGAGCTCACAGCACTGCAAATCTGTTAACAGAGGTGCTTTTATGCTGCCCCTTGGCATGGTTATTTCATAACTGCAGCCAATTATAAGAGAACAAGCAATCGAACAGAACAAAGAGCAAAGGCTCTTCCTTTGTGGAGGAGCTAAAATTCCCACTGCTTACCATGTTACCTTCTCCTGTGTGTTGTTATCAAATATTGGGACTCTGGTTACACTGTCAAGGCCATGGGCCTTTCTTGTTCTAGGGCAGCTGTGCTCCTCTCTTAAGCAACTGACCCGTGTCTCCTGGCAACTCTCTTTGGTACTGGACTTCTCCAAGATCAGTCCTCAAATTAATAACAACACTGACAAGGGTCTTCGGACCACCGTGTTTGGTACCTGGCTGCTTGGGACCATCCAGGTTTGCCCCTTTGCCTGGCTTGGGTAACCCACTGTATGGTGCACACGAATAAAGGCTGATGCCGAGAAGAATGAGGCTTGTAGTTACGAAAAGTGACTCAATGGAATTAAAAAATCTACCCTGCAGCCTGGGAGCAGTGGTTCACACCTGTAATCCCAGTGCTTTGGGAGGCCAAGGCAGGAGAGTCGCTTGAAGCTAGGAGTTGGAGACCAGCCTGGGCTATATAGCGAGACCCTGTCTCTACAGAAAAAATACAAAAATTAGCTGGGCATGGTGGTGTGTGGCTGTAGTCCCAGGTACCTCGAGAGGCTGAGGCAGGAGGATCGCTGGAGCCCAGGAGGTCGAGACTGCAGTGAGTTGTGATCGTGCCACTACTGCAGCCTGGGTCACAGAGCAAGATCCTGTCTCAAAACAAACAAACAAACAAACAAACAAACAAAAACTATCCTGTAAATGTATAAAAATGTCACTAATTTCAATGTGTTTCGGTAAAAAGGAATGAAGTACCGATACATGCTGAAATTCAGATAGATCCTCAAAAGCATTTTGCTCAGTGAAAGAAGCCACACATGAAAAGTCACATATCAGATGAGCCACTTTATGTGAAATATCCAGAATAGAGGAATTCATAGACACAGACAGCAGATTAGCGGGTGCCAGGGGCTGAGGGATTAGGGGATGGGGAGTGGCCACGTAATGGACACGGGGTTTCTGTACGGCATGATGAAATATTCTGAAAGTACATAGTGGTGATGGTGGCACAACGTGCATTAGTAAATGCACTAAATGTCACTACACTGTACACTTTCAGATGACTAATTTTATGTTATGTGATTTTCACTTTAATTAAAAACCACCATATTGGCCAGGCGTGGTGGCTCACAACTATAATCCCAGCACTTTGGGAGGCCAAGGCAGGAGTATCATTTGAGCCCAGGAGTTCGAGACCAGCCTGGCCAACATGGTGAAACCCCCATCTCTACAAAAAATACACAAAAAATTAGCCATGTATGGTGGCATACACCTGTAGTCCCAGCTACTTGGGAGGCTGAGGTGGATCGCTTGAGACCAGGAGGCAGAGGCTGCAGTGATTGGAGATCGTGCCACTGCACTCCAGCGTGGGTGACAGAGTGAGACTCTGTCTCAAACAACAACAAAAACACAAAATATTTTGGTAATGCATAACTTCTTGGGATGAATTTTAAATGTTTATTTTTTTATGCAAGAGCTAACACAAGTGCTCTCAGCACGATGACTTTTTACCTTCTGAAAGATTGTATTGTGAGCTTTAAAATCTCTTTGTCCATTAATAGTTTTAGTGACTCACAAAATGGAGATTTCCAGACCCAAGATAGCTAGAAACAAGTGGCCTAGCAGGACAGGGTCATGGTGTACAGCCAAGCTGTACCTTGGTGTGAATGCAGGGGCTAGAACGCATCAACACCAAGGTTTATCAAGTGGTGACAATGTGGACACCAATACTTGGAAAGTGGCAGCGCCACTGTCATAGACCCCCACTTTCCCATCAGAGATCCCAGTGCCAAGGCTGTACCAACTTCTTTCTGTTCCTTGGGTTTTCTCTTTTTTTCTTTCTTTTTTTTGGGGAGACAGGGTCTCGCTTTTGTCACCCAGGCTGGAGTGCAATGGCACGAACTCAGCTCAGTGCAACCTCTGCCTCCCAGGTTGAAGTGATTCTCCTGCCTCATCCTCCAGAGTAGCTAGGATTACAGGCACCCACCACCACACCCGGCTAATTTTTGTATTTTTAGTAGAGACGGGGTTTCACCATGTTGGCCAGGCTGGTCTCGAACACTTGACCTCAGGTGATCCACCCACCTCGGCCTCCCAAAGTGCTGGGATTACAGGCGTGAGCCACAGTGCCCAGCCTAGGGTTTTCTCTTAAACATGGGAATGGATGGAACACCTCTCACTGGATGAGGTAGATTGTTTCCAAAGATGGCTGCTCCCATGGCTCCCATTCTGCATGTCCTTCTATAGCATTACTTGGCACTCCGCCCAACAAGAGGCGGAGGCTTTTTCCCCTTCTCTGGAATCAGAGCTGGCCTTGTGACTTGTTTTGACTACTAGGATGTGGCAGATGGAACATTAGGTGACTTCCAGGCCTAGGCCATAACAGGCATTGCAGTTTCTGTCGTTGCCCTCTTGGAAGCCAGCACCATAGGAAGAAGTCTGGGCTATCCTGCTTGAGAGGCCGCATGGAGAGAGAGGCCCTGCAGGATGAGATGCCATGTGGAGGAGAGTAATACAAGCCAGCTAACAGCCAGCACCAACTGCCAGACATGGCATGAGTGACCCCAACCAACACGAGGTGGAGCAGAAGAACTGTGCCTTACAGATCAGTCGATACATAAACTCATAAGAACTCATCAATTGTTATTTTATGCCACTAAATTTTGGGGGGGCTTGTTAGGCAGCTCTACACTTGAGATCCAGACCAAATGGAGAGAGTATGGTAAGCTCTGGGGAGCAGGTCGCAACCTGAAAAGCCTGGCAGACTCGACTCATGGAGGAAGACTGCTGGCCCCTACTTATTCCCCCAGCAGAATAAGTAATAATTACAAAGGATTTGCAGGGAACAAGGGAAATGGATGAGGAAGAGACAGTTCTTGTTCTCTATCTGTCCAGGAATATTTTTTGGCATCATCCTTAGTGTACTATTTCTAATAGTCATACAATGACGTCTTGTCCTCTTGCCCTTTCTCTATTTCTCCATTTAACAGGTTAGGTCTGTGCAGGCTGGATAGTGCAGCTGGGACATCTAGGACCACATTAGATCCTAGATGCCTCCAAGGCAAGAGATAGTATCACAATGTAAAAAATGCTTGTATAGGCTGGGCGAGGTGGCTCACGCCTGTAATCCCAGCACTTTGGGAGGCTGAGGCGAGCAGATCACTTGAGGTCAGGAGTTCGAGACCAGCCTGGCCAACATGACAAAACCCCGTCTCTACTAAAAATACAAAAATTAGCTGGGCATGGTGGTGCTTGCCTGTAGTCCAGCTACTCGGGAGACTGAGGCAGGAGAATGGCTTGAACCCAGGAGGTGGAGGTTGCAGTGAGCTGAGATCACACCACTGCACTCCAGCCTGGGGGACAGAGTGAAGCTCCATCTCAAAAAAAAAAGAAAAGAAAAGAAAAACAAAAGAAAATGCTTGTATAGCAAATAGGTTACGCTTTAGAAAACCACAGCTATCTTTGATAGAGGAGTATGGGTTGAGATCATATTCATCTTGACTTTTATTCGTTCAAATGATTACATCAATGACTAACCTCAAGTGAGTTTATGACTGGGCAGGGAATGTGACCAACATCTAAAGTCTGTGCCATGCCACTGCCCACGGGCTGCTTGGCTTCAGAACAAAGCGGTTATTTGCATCAGTGAATCCAAGTTGGTCCTCTTGCCTCCCATGCTATAATTGGAAACACCGAGTTTGTAAGTACAATGTCACCAGAAATGTCACTTGTAAATGCAAAGCTCAAATCATCAGATCCAAGACTCTAAGACACCCAGCCTTGCAGAACAAGGATGGAACTTGAGAGGGGAGAGAATGTGCTAGAGCTTACACTGATGACCTGGAGGGTCACAGCCTTACCCAGATGTACAGGGGCTGCCGTCAGAGTGGGGACAAGTTTTCTGTTCAAAGGCAGTAGAAAGCTTTTTAGAACAATGGAAGCAAATAATATCTCTTGTTGCATTGTGTACAAAATGTGAGACAGATCAATGGAATACACACAATAACAGATAAAGGAAATACACAGGAAATGCGTGCAAGAAAAACACCTGGGTCCCTGAATGACAGGAAATAGTGCTGTCTAATAGTGCACTAAGATTCTGTTAGAAATTTCTTCCCTAGCAATGAAAGACAGTTAAAGGGAATCATGTCATTGTATGTGCAAATCTTGGTATTTTAATTGCATATGTATCGTATAAATTAAGCTTTTGTCTGATTTCCACTGTCTGTAAGAGTTAAAATTAAAAAAATAAACACTTGGCTGGACCACACACTGAATTAATGATTTTAACACAAAAATGATACTGAAGAGAATGTGAATGCACTAATGCCACCGAACTGTGTGTACTTAAAAACGGTTAAGATGGTAAGTTGTATGTTATGGGTATTTTACCACTATTAAAAAAAAGTTTTTAAGAAAAAAGGCTAATAAGATTTCTGGGTTCAGGCAGGAGTAGGAAGGCAGCGAAAACCCGAATTCCCCCACTTCTCCTAAAAGAAGTCCAAACACAGGAAGAATGAATGAGCCCCCCTCCTTGATATACTGGAGGAAACCAGAACCTGTGCCATCAGAAAGCGCTAGGATGTGACAAAGCAGGGAGGGGACTACAAAGGGCCCCAGCGGTCCCGACCAGGATCCACCCTTTCAGGACATGGCCCAGGCCCGCTCAGGATCGCATGGGGGCAGATGCGAGCCCCAGGAGAACTCCCGAGGACCCGCGGCGGCCGCCGGGGGCTTCCTGACGCGCGAGCGGCGAGGCGGCGCCAGAAGAGGGCGCCCGGGAGCCGAACAGGAGGCCAAACCCCGGGCCTTCCCGCGTTCCCGGGGGTCCCCGTGCTAAGGCAGACAGAAGGCGCCCACCTGTCAACAGTGAGAACCAGAATCCACAAAGGCCAAAGTGCGGAAGGCACTGAGACAAAGCAAAGCGACCCACAGAGCAAGAGGACCGAGCCGCCGCCGCCGCTCACCGGAAAAAGCGTTGCACAGGGCCCGAGGCAGGGGCTTCGCAGAGGCGTTCAGCTCACCGCTGGGAGCTGTTCTGGGGCTCCGGGTCCCACGGCCGTTTGCCCAGCCGTTTCCGAAGCCGCAGCCTTGCTCCGGATTCGCCTCGCACTTTTTTTTTTTTTGGACAGTGCTAGGAAACATGCGTTTAATAAAGAAATCTAGGCATGCAGTTTTCAATTAACATGGCCCATTATGTCTCTCTCCTTCCGCTTACAGTGAAGATCAGGACCATGAAGTGAATTTGAATTTCTTTTCTTTTTTTCTTTTCTTTTCTTTTCTTTTCAAGACAGGGTCTTGCTGTATGGCCCAGGCTGGAGGATCATGGCTCACTGCAGCCTCCACCTCCTGGCCTCCAGCAATCCTCCTGCCTCAGCCTCCTGAGTAGCTGGGACCACAGGTGTGCACCACCACGCCCAGCTAAGTTTTTAAATTTTTGGTAGAGATGGGGTGTCACTATGTTACCCAGGCTGGTCTCCAATACCTGGGCTCAATCGATTCTCCCACTTTAGCCTCCCAAAGTGCTGGGATTACAGTCGTGAGCCATTGGGCCCAGTCACAAATTCCTTATTTTCTTTGTCCTACGATATGAACAACCCAGTTGGAACATAATACGACGTGAGAAGAGAAGCCTGCCATGGGGAGGGGAGCACAGACCCAGCAGGCAGGCTCTCAATGGGAGGTTCAAGGCGAGTCCCCCTCCCACCCACCTGCTCCCAGCTGAGAGTCCATCTGGGCCTCCGGTGGGCAACGACAAAAAATTCCATTAGGTTGAGAAGACGTGACTGGCACTGGCTCAAAGCCAAACAAATACTTGGTGGGCCTGCTTGGAGTTTAGCTCACACTTTTTGATTTTCTATTCACTGAATTTCACTGCTGTAGGAACCTCATATAAATGGAATCAGATAGTTATTTTTTTTTATGACAGGCTTTGGGGGATATATCTTTTTGAAGGCTCTTTATAACTAAACAGTAAATAGTTTAATTACAGTGGAAATTCTCTGGACTAGATTGTAAAGGTGGATCAGATTTGGAAATAAGACTTTTTTCAAGTCAAAGAAGAAAAACCAATTTAAAAATACAAGGCAATGGCCGGGTGCGGTGGCTCACGCCTGTAATCCCAGCACCTTGGGAGGCCAAGGCAGGTGGATCAGCTGAGGTCAGGAATTCGAGACCAGCCTAGCCATCATGGTGAAACCCTGTCTCTACTAAAAATACAAAGAAAAAATTAGCCGGGCATGGTGGTGCATGCCTGTAGTCCCAGCTACTCAGGACACTGAGGCTGAGGAGAATTGCTTGAACCCGGGAGGCAGAGGTTGTAGTGAGCAAAGATCGCGCCACTGCACTCCAGCCTGGGCAACAGAGTGAGACTCCACGTCAAAAAAAAAAAAAAAAAAAGACATGTCAGAAACAAAGAAAGAAAGACATGACAGGCTCAGAATCAATGTCAACCTGGGCAAAGGTCAGAAACGGAACAGGGACCCTTTCTTTGTGGGCAGGTTTGACATGAAAGGTTCAGCGACTTCAACTCTTCTGATTCTTTCTTCTTGAGCCCATTTTGGTAAGTTGTGTTTTCCTAAAAGTTTGTCCATTCCATCCAAATGTTCACATTAGTCAGGATCTGTGAAGGATGTCAATGGCTGTGAGGCGAGGGCCCCTTGCCAGTCCCCATGTTCGTTATTTATGGATGCCTGATGCCCACAACCTCGACTTCTCAGCTGAGGGCAACTCCTCCTGTCCTCTCGCTGCTTCCACCTAAGCCACCAGGAAATCCTGTTGACTCCACTTACAAAAGCTCTCCAGAGTCTGCTACCTCTTACCACCCTACTGTCGCCTCCCAGACCTGGTCTCCCCGCTTCTGCCCTGGCCCCTACAGCTCGCAGACAGCTGCCAGAGGAGTCCATCCGAATCAACTTCAGATTGCGTCACTTTTTCTTTCAAAATCCGACAAAGCTCCTCATTCCATTCAGAGTGAGAAGGGCCCCGCCATGCAGCCTTTCCTCCTCCTATTCACCAACCCCACTCTCGCTCCAGCCATCTTGATATCCTTGCTGGTCCTGGAGCAGGCCAGCCACGCTCTTGCCCCAGGGCCTTTGCACTTGCTGCCCCTCTCCTGTGATGCCCTCCTGGATCTCTGCATGGCTCCCTCCTGCCCTCCCTCCCTCGAGTCTTTGCTCACATGTCCCCTTCTCAGAGGGGCTCACCCTGGTGCCCTTCGAAAGTGGGCATCCACTCCCTTCCCACCCTGGCACCCGCACCCTCCTGTCTTCCTTTTTCTGTTCTCCATCCTACTCATCTCCCCCAACTAGAAAGGCAGCTGCAGCTGCGGAGCACGGGATCTCCATCTGCAGCTGCATCCCGGGACCTAGAACAGGTACAAAAGTACCTAATAAGTACCCACTGAATGAATAATTGGCTGAGTTTTCTGTACCAAAGACTGAGCTAAGACTCTTTAAAAGGATGATCTTATTTAAGCCTTACAGCAAGTAAATGTTATCCCCATCTTCCTGATGAGGACACAGTGACCACCACGCTCAAGGACACAGAGGGTGGACGTGCCACATTCACACTCTGTGACTTAGAGCGGCTGGACGGGCAGGGACTTAGGAGGCCTACAGCAGCCAGGGTGAGATTATGAGGCTGAGCTGAGAATATCAAGACTGTACCGAGTAGGGGGCCTTGGCAAGTGTGGAGAGCCCGGCAGCTGGGGCAGAGGGCGGAGTACGGTGTGCGTTTACGGACCTCTTCAAACGAGGTAGGAAGGTCAGAAGTCAAAAAGGGAACAAATGATGTTTAACCACACAAAAATGAAAATCCAATGGTTGGATATCCATTCCAAATACACAAAGGCAACGGATAAGTGATCCGGGCCAGGCACAGAAGGCCATGCACCCGTAGGATTGCACTCAGAGCTCCCAAATGCATAGGAATAGAAGGGTGGGTGCAGGAGGCTGAGGGGTGGGGAAAGGGCATGGGTGTTTCATGAGGACAGAGCTTCCGTTTCATGCAATGAAAAGAGTTTGGAGACGGATGGTGGTGACTGGACTATACACTTACACACGGTAGCGATGGTACACTTTGTATTATGTATATTTTACCACGATCTTTTTAAAGTGTCAAAGGCAAATGGCCAAATGGTTCCTTGTCCTATAGCTGTAGCAGCCATCGGCTGTTAGTGACAAAGCCCCTGAGTCAAGATGACAGCAGCCCCCATAACTCCTAATCGGCTCTCCCGCGTGGAGTCATTTAGGAGTAGTCGCATTAGAGACAAGTCCAACATCTAATCTTCCACCCTGGCCAGGGCCCCAGCTGGCAGCGAGGGTGGGAGACTCCGGGCAGAGCAGAGGGCGCTGACATTGGGGCCCGGCCTGGCTTGGGTCCCTCTGGCCTTTCCCCAGGGGCCCTCTTTCCTTGGGGCTTTCTTGGGCCGCCACTGCTCCCGCTCCTCTCCCCCCATCCCACCCCCTCACCCCCTCGTTCTTCATATCCTTCTCTAGTGCTCCCTCCACTTTCATCCACCCTTCTGCAAGAGTGTGGGACCACAAATGAGTTTTCACCTGGCCTGGGGACACACGTGCCCCCACAGGTGCTGAGTGACTTTCTAGGACAGTAATCTGCTTTAGGCTAAAATGGGACTTGATCTTCTGTTAGCCCTAATCATCAATTAGCAGAGCCGGTGAAGGTGCAGAACCTACCGCCTTTCCAGGCCTCCTCCCACCTCTGCCACCTCCACTCTCCTTCCTGGGATGTGGGGGCTGGCACACGTGTGGCCCAGGGCATTGGTGGGATTGCACTGAGCTGGGTCATTAGCGTAATCCTGGACAAGGGCAGACAGGGCGAGCGGAGGGCCAGCTCCGGGGCTCAGGCAAGGCTGGGGGCTTCCCCCAGACACCCCACTCCTCCTCTGCTGGACCCCCACTTCATAGGGCACTTCGTGTTCTCAAAGGGCTTCCAAATAGCATGGTGGCCTTGGATGCCCAGGGAAGCCTCAGAGTTGCTTATCTCCCTCTAGACAGAAGGGGAATCTCGGTCAAGAGGGAGAGGTCGCCCTGTTCAAGGCCACCCAGCCAGCTCATGGCGGTAATGGGACAAGGCTGGCCAGCCATCCCACCCTCAGAAGGGACCCGGTGGGGCAGGTGATCTCAGAGGAGGCTCACTTCTGGGTCTCACATTCTTGGATCCTCGGATCCTCTGACTCTGGTGGGGACAGGCAGACCAAGCTCTCTTGGACCCGGGAAGAGGGACCCTTGGAAGTCACTTGGGATTGAGTTCTAGAGTCTTGACACTGTTTCAGCAGATCTATACTTTGAACCCACCTCAGGCATCTCATCCACAGAACAGGGACAGTGACCATTCCATCTTGCCAAGGAGTGCGGGGCACACACCATGCTGCTGGCAGCCAGGGTGGAAAGTCAAGGGGTCCCAGCTGAAGCACTGCCACAGAGGCAGGATGCAGTCCGAGAGGGGACTTCAGAGCAGGGGCCCAAGGCCAAGGCCATCAGGGAGGTCTTTCTGCAGGAGGGACCTCTTTAGGAGTTAGGCCCTAAAAACAAATAAGAGGAAGAAAGGCACTTGGTGGTTTTTAGTCTATTCACGGTGCTGTGCAGCCATCACCACCATCCAGCCGCAGAACTTGTTCATCTTCCCAAACTGAAGCTCTGGCCCCGTTCAACCCCAACTCCCCACCCCCCAGCCCCTGGCACCCACCCTTCCACTGTCTGTCTCTATGGATTTGACCACTCTAGGCCCTTCATATAAGTGGAATTTTACAGTATTTACCCTCCTGTGACTGGCTCATTTCACTGAGCAATGTCCTCAAGGGTCATCCATGTTGGAGCATGTGTCAAACTTCATTTCTTTTTAAGGGTGAATCATATTCCATCGTCTGTATAGACCACAATTTGTGTAGCTAATCATCCGTTGATGTTTGTTGATTTGTTTGTTTGTTTTGAGACAGTCTTGCCATCAGAGCTCACTGCAGGCTCAACCTCCCAGGCTCAAGAAATCCTCCCGCCTCTCTACCTCCCAAGTAGCTGTGACTACAGGCACCTGCGACTGTGCCCTGCTAATTTTTGTATTTTTTGTAGAGACAGGGTCTCACTATGTTGCCCAGGCTAGTCTCGAACTCCTGGGCTCAAGTGATCCTCTCACCTCGGCCTCCCAAAGAACTGGGATTACAGGCATGAGCTACCATGTCCAGCCCAATTGCCCATTGATGGGCACGGGTTGCTTCCATGTTTCAGCTGTTGTGAATCACGCTGCTGTGAACATGCGTGTGCAAACAGCCCTTCCAGACCCTGCCTTCCATTCCTCTGGGCCTATACCCAGCAGTGCGGTTGCTGGGTCCTATGGGAATTCTACGTTTAACTTTTGGAGGAGCTGCCAAACTGTTTTCCACAGTGGCTGCGCCATCACAATCCAATTTTAGGACATTTTTATCACCCATAAAGCACTCCCTGTACCCATTAAGAAGTCATCCTCCATTTCCCTCCCTCCCCTGTCCTGGCACCCATTCCTCTGCTTTGTGTGTCTCTGGATTGCCCTATCTAAGCATTTCACAGAGATGGAGCCATGCGCTCCGTGGTCTTTTGTGTCTGGCTTCGCTCACTGAGCATGCTGTTCTCCAGGTCCATCCACGTTGTAGCGTAGGTCAGCCCTTCATTCCCTGTTATGGCCAAATGATACTCCATTGTACAGACAGGCCACTTTTTACCCACTCATCTGCTTCTGGACTTTTGGGTTGCTTCTACCATGTGGCCTGTTGGGAACAGTGCTCTGTTTGTATTCATGTACGGGTTTTTGTGTGGACACACATTTTCAAGTCTCTTGGGTACACAGGTGTAGAAGTGCCAGAGTTGGGGAAAAAGCTCACCTTTCTAGGCTGTGAATGGGCCCTGGCAAGTCTGTGGCCAGGACTCGTCTTCTCTTCCACATGGGGCCCCTAGCTTGGCACCTAGCACGTGGCAGGCAGCGACAGATGTTAAAAGCCATTCTTGCTATGGGTAGCCAGGCTGGGGCTCCATGCAGCCCTGGCCTTCAGCTTGGCAGCCAGGGCCCCCTTGTGCCTGCAGCAGAAGCCATGCTGCCAGGAGTGTAAGTGTGAGCCAGGAATGCTGGAGAATCGTGGCTCTGAGAACAGGGACAAGAGGCCACAAGCTCACGCCTTGGCTTTCCTAAGCTTAAGGAATAAACCCAAAAGGAGGTACCTGGAAGGAGCTGGATTTGGGGACTGAGGAGCTGGGAGCTGATGGAAGCCGTGAAAGGGGATGTGCTCCTGGGGAGGCGCTGGGGCGGGTGGGCCGTGGAGGGGACAGGGCCCGTTGGTTGGAAACTGAGGCGAGGCTACGGAGTTGGGCACTAACAGGTCATCCGTGCCCCTGCGAAGCGTGGGGACACAGGGACAGCAGAGATGGCCTGTCTGGACACTCTGTCGACGGGGGGCCTGTGGTTGGTGAAGCCCAAGGCAAGGCTGTGAACTCAGGGCAAGGGAGACGTGAGCAGGCGCTGCCGTGGGCTGATGTGGGCACTGCATGTGCACCCTGGCGGCCAAAGGACCTACAGCTCATGGGGGGCAAGGGGGAGGAGGGAAGCCAACAGCAGGATGTGCGCAGTCAGTCTGCCCCCCCTACACTGGAGGAGGAGCCCCCCGGCACAAATCTCGCCCGTTTGGGCCCACGGACATGGCTGGCCTCGCAAGGAGGATCCGGTTCCAGGCCTCGGCCCTAAATAGTCTCCCTGGGCTTTCAAGAGAACCACATGAGAAAGGAGGATTCGGGCTCTGAGCAGTTTCACCACCCACCCCCCAGTCTGCAAATCCTGACCCGTGGGTCCACCTGCCCCAAAGGCGGACGCAGGACAGTAGAAGGGAACAGAGAACACATAAACACAGAGAGGGCCACAGCGGCTCCCACAGTCACCGCCACCTTCCTGGCGGGGATGGGTGGGGCGTCTGAGTTTGGTTCCCAGCAAATCCCTCTGAGCCGCCCTTGCGGGCTCGCCTCAGGAGCAGGGGAGCAAGAGGTGGGAGGAGGAGGTCTAAGTCCCAGGCCCAATTAAGAGATCAGGTAGTGTAGGGTTTGGGAGCTTTTAAGGTGAAGAGGCCCGGGCTGATCCCACAGGCCAGTATAAAGCGCCGTGACCCTCAGGTGATGCGCCAGGGCCGGCTGCCGTCGGGGACAGGGCTTTCCATAGCCATGGCCCAGCAGTGGAGCCTCCAAAGGCTCGCAGGCCGCCATCCGCAGGACAGCTATGAGGACAGCACCCAGTCCAGCATCTTCACCTACACCAACAGCAACTCCACCAGAGGTGAGCCAGCAGGCCCGTGGAGGCTGGGTGGCTGCACTGGGGGCCACCGGCCACCCACCTGCCCCGCCCAAGGGAATCTCTCTTCTGCACGTCCCCACCAGCAGAGAAGGCTTTCTCCCATAGCTTTTCTGATGACATGAATTGGGGGGTCCTCTCCAAATCTAGAAGGACACCATAATATCGAATATGCATTCTCAAGCCACACAGGCTTCCCAGCCCCTTTGAGAATCCGAGGCCGGGGAAGAGTTTATGTGCTCTTTCTTTGTGGCCCGTAGATGAGTGTGTTCACTGCTAGCGAATGACCTCTCATTCCACGGAGTCCCTCAGCTTCCTGGGGAAGAGCTGGGTCTGTCTTTACATTTGAAGCCGAAAGGAGGCAACATACTGACACACCCAAGGGAGGCGGGAGGGTGGGGAAGACAGCAGCAGAGGGCAAGAAACTTCTAGAACTTCAGGGTCGGCAAAGCCTGTAGCAGTCATTTTGTCAAACTCCATGATGGGGCCACTTGGCTTTTGGCTGCACACCTCTGGGGGAAGAGGCTGCATTGGCGCCCAGGGCCATCTTTCCATTCGGAGCCGTCCTGGGAGAGAGGGCTCAGGCCCAACAGAAAGCTGAAAGCTCTCATCAGGGCAGCCCGAGTCCTGCCATTGGGAGTTGCCCAATCCGAAAGTTTTGCACGCAGGCCCTCAAAGAAGCTGAGGACACCAGTGACCGCCCCACTCCTGGCCCTCTCCCCAGGTCCCTCCTCCAAACCAAATTCCTTTGGTGCCTTCAAGAACATCGTGCAGGCCGGGCACAGTGGCTCACGCCTGTAATCCCAGCACTTTGGGAGGCAGAGGCGGGCAGATGACGAGGTCAACAGATAGAGATCATCCTGGCCAACATACTGAAACCTCATGTCTACTAAAAATGCAAAAATTAGCTGGGCTTGGTGGCGCATGCCTGTAGTCCCAGCTACTCAGGAGGCTGAGGCAGGAGAATCGCTTGAACCCGGGAGGTGGAGGTTGCAGTGAGCCGAGATCACGCCACTATGCTCCAGCCTGGCCACAGAGTGAGACTCTTGTCTCAAAACAAAACAAAACAAAAAACAACAACATCGTGCAGGCTGTGGTTTCCAGAAGCCACGCCAGCTCCTTGATTGCCAATAAACATCCCGCTGTGGGGTGGCCAGGACCGAGTGCCAATTAGTGACAGAGTGCCCAGACCAAACCGGATGAGGATCTTGCAGTTGACCTCAACATGACTGTGCCCAGAATTTCCTTGGTGGCAATGTCAACAGTCTCTTCCTAGATGCCCCCAGACTTCATCAATGCATGATGCTTCAGTGCACTCTTTTCAAATGTCGGGGTGGGTTTTTTTTTTTTCCACAAAACTTCAAGCATCTACTAAAGTAGAGGGAGGAGTGTAATGAACTCCGGTACCCATCACTCAGCTTCCACGGTTTCATCTCATTTCATCTGTGACCCCTCCACTACCCTTTCTTCCTGATTCTTGGAAGCAAATCCAAGACATCACACCCTTCCCTCTGTAAATCTTTACTATGTTCCTCTAGGAGAAAAGGGCTCTTCTCAATACATAACCACAAGTCATCATCACACCGACAAGTGTAACAGTATTTCCTGAATAGCTTCAAATATCCTAGTAGTGTTCAAAAAATGTCATACGTATTTTCAGTCTGCTTGAATCAGGGCTCAAATAAGGTCCACACATTCAGATTGACTGATATGCCTTTTGACTACCTTTGAATCTAGAGGTTCCCTTTCTATCTCCCTGCAATTTATTTGTGGAAGCAAGCAAGTCGTTCATGACGTAGCCTAACAGGCCCCTCTGACGTTGTTCATTATGATTTTTCTGTAAATTGGTAGTTGATCTGAGGATCTGGCCAGAGGTAGGTTGGATTTGTTGGTGTGTTTTGGCAAGGAGAGTGTCTCTTTTCTGGGGTGTTGGCAGCTACTGAAACTCAATGCCCAGACCAATTAAACCACTGGGGATGGAAAATGACGGCATTCGGACACCTTACCCTGCCTTCACCTATTGGTGACCAAAACCTTAACATCTTCACAGGTCTTCTTACCCTGAGGGTATATGCCACTAGGTTGTGTAGTAAACCGGTGTGTTTCCAGTCCCTTAGAATAGTCCCTCTCTAAGTGATATGCCACTCAGTGGATATGCATTTAGCTTCATTTCTTTTGTTGCTGATTTTCAGAGATTGCTCTGTAAATTTAAACTTTTATTTTACTTTATTTTATTTTTTCGAGACAGTCTTACTCTGTCGCCCAGGCTGGAGTGCAGTGGCGCGATCTCAGCTCACTGCAACTTCCGCCTCCTCGGTTCGAGCGATTCTCCTGCCTCAGCCTCCCGAGGAGCTGGGACTACAGGTGCCCGCCACCACGCCCAGCTAATTTTTTTTATTTTTAGTAGAGACAGGGTTTCACCATGTTGGCCAGGCTGGTCTCCAACTGCTGACCTCAAGTCGTCCGCCCACCTCGGCTTCCCAAAGTGCTGGGATTACAGGTGTGAGCCACCGCCCCCGGCCACTTAAATTTTGTTTTATAATTATGTAATAAAACAGTTAAAAGTCTCAAATTAAAATCTAGAAAAGAAGGTGTATTTGAAGAAGTCTGGCTTCTCTGCGCCACCACCGACCGCCCCTTCCCTACCTGCCTGTATTTCCTCGAATCACTTTGCCTGGGAGTTGACTTTGATTCTCTTGCTCATTGCTTCATGAAATTCAGTTCCAGAACTTTCAGGAGGGAGGGGTAGGCCATGACACCAGCTCTAGTTACACTGGTGGCAGCTCCTGTCCCCTCCCCCACTGCTGCTGGGACCTGTTCTCTCCTTTGCCCCCTTGTCCCTGCACTGCCCAATTTGGACCGCAAGGGTTGCCAGGGAAGGGCACTGGCTGCCTTGTTTTCAGAGGTCGTAGCACCTAGATTGCTCCAGCCCCTTGCACTTGCCTGCAGGCCAGAGTGTCCCAAACCCTCCCAGTCTCAGCTGCTCTTCCCCAGTTCACCCAAGGTACTTCCCAGGGAAGAGCTGCCGACAGTTTGGGGGTTCTCTGTTCTTAGGTCCATCAGCAACCCCATTGCTCCCCTCTGCTTCCTTCTGCACGGAGACTGACGCCATGCAGGTCTTCAATTGTCAATGGTCTGTCCCTGCTGCTCATACTGGGGGTTCCTGGGGAGCCAGTGCCAGGTATCGGGATTGCAGACATTGTCTGTGGGTTTCCAGAAGCTCCTTGTGTTAGGAACATATGGGGCCCGTGCACAGAGGGCAGCAGAGGCCTTGTGGGATCCAGCTGTGCTAGGGGTGAGATTTATCTGTCTCTCCTGGCCATAGCCAGGAAATCCCCATTTTTCTTAAGCTAGCTTGAGTTGGGCTTTTCTAACACACAGCTAAAGAATCTCTTGATAAACCTTGGGACTCTCCATGAGGCCTTATATGGCAGCAGGTCTGTGGCTTGCAATCCCTTCAAGTAATCTGCCAAAAACAATGTTATGACGAAGGTCCTTCCAACACAAAAGGTGTAGAGCCCTAGCAAACTCCTACAGAAGAAAAAGGAGAAATAATTCGTTTGTAGTCCCAGCTACTTGGGAGGCCAAGGTGGGAGGATCACTTGAAGTCAGGAGTTCGAGACCAGCCTAGGCAACATAGCCAGACCCCATCTCTACAGAAATAAAAAAAATTGCCATTGTGGTAATGCACGGCTTGTAGTCCCAGATACTCGAGAGGCTGAGGCAGGAGGATCGCTTGAGCCCAGGAGGATCGCTTGAGCCCAGGAGTTCCACGTTGCAGTGAGCTATGATTGTGCCACTGTACTCCAGCCTGGGTGCCAGAGCCAGGCTCTATCTCTATTTGGTGTTGTTGTTGTTGCTGTTGTTGTTTTTGAGACGGAGTCTTGTTCTGTCACCCCGGCTGGAGTGCAGTGGCGTGATCTCAGCTCACCGCAACCTCTGCCTCCTGGGTTCAAGTGATTCTCCCGCCTCAGCCTCCTGAGTAGCTGGGACTACAGGCGCCCACCACCATACCTAGCTAATTTTTTTTTCTTTTGTATTTTTAGTAGAGACGGGGTTTCACCATGGCCAGGCTGGTTTTGAACTCCTGACCTCAAGTGATCCACCCCCTCGGCCTCCCAAAGTGCTGGGATTACAGGCGTGAGCCACCGCTCCCAGCCGACTGTATCTCTAAATATATAATAATCATAATCATAATCAGGACAGCCGTCATATTGGATTAGGGCCCACCCTAATGACCTCATTTAAACTTGGTCATTTCTGTAAAGACCCTATCTCCGAAAACGGTCACATTCTGAGGTATTGGGGTTAGGACTCCAACATATGAATTTGGGTGGGGACACAATTCAACTCATAACACATTCATTGATTAATTTCCTCATTCATTTATTTTCTGAGCATCTATTGTGTGCTGGACACTCTGTGAGGATGAATGAGTCAAAGTCTCTGGTGAGAAAGACAAGACTTGTACTTGTGTCTCAGTACTGGCTGCTATAAGAAATTACCAGGCTGTGGCCGGGCGCAGTGGCTCACGCCTGTAATCCCAGCACTTTGGGAGGCCGAGGCAGGCGGATCACGAGGTCAGGAGATTGAGATCATCCTAGCTAACATGGTGAAGCCCCGTCTCTACTAAAAATAGAAAAAATTAGCCAGGCGTGGTGGCGGGCGCCTGTAGTCCCAGCTACTCAGGAGGCTGAAGCGGGAGAATGGCGTGAACCTGGGAGGCGGAGCTTGCAGTGAGCCGAGATCGTGCCACTGCACTCCAGCCTGGGTGACAGAGCAAGACTCCGTCTCAAAAAAAAAGAAAAAAAAAAGAAAAGAAAAATAAATTACCAGGCTGTGCATGGTGGCTCATGCCTGCAATCCCAGTACTTTGGGAGGACAAGGCAGGAGGATCTCTTGAGGTCAGGAGTTTGAGACCAGCCTGGTCAACATGGTGAAACCCCATGTCTACTAAAAGCACAAAAATTAGCTGGGTGTGGTGGTGGGTGCCTGTAAATCCCAGCTACTACTCCGGAGGCTGAGGCAGGAGAATTGCTTGAACCCAGGAGGCGGAGGTTGCAGTGACCCGAGATCACATCACTGCACTCCAGCCTGGGTGACAGAGCAAGACTTTGTCCCAAAAAAAAAAAAAAGAAAAGAAAGAAAGGAAAAGAATAAAAGAGAAATTACCATAGATTGGGTGGCTTTTAAATGATAAATTTATTTCTCACAGCTCTGGAGGCTGGAAGTCAGGGTGCTAGCGTGGTGGGCTCTGGCGAGGACCCTCTTCCTGACTGCAGATTGCCAACAACTCATTGTATCCTCACATGGAAGAAAGAGAGCTAGAGAGCACTCTAGGGACTCTTTTTCTTGTTTGTTTTAATTAAAAAAAAATTTTTTTTACATGGGCATGCCATGTTGCCCAGGTTGGATTTGAACTCCTGGGCTCAAGCAACCCTCCAGCCTCAGCCTCCCAAAGTGCTGGGATTACAGGCATGAGCCACCATTCCCAGCTAATTTGGGCTGTTCCCAAAGGCTCAAGTGATCCTCCCACGTTGGCCTCCTGAGTAGCTGGGGCTACAGGCGTGAGCCACCATGCCCAGCTTCTAGGACCTCTTTTATAAGGGCACTAATCCCATTCATGAGGGCCCCACTCACTCTGCACACATGACCTAAATGACCTGCCAAAGGCCCCACCTCCTAATACCATCACCTTGGGGGTTGGGATTTCAACACAGAAATTTATGGGGGGCACGTACATTCAGATCATCATGAACAGTAACTCCTATGTGTGACAGAAGGTGACAGAGGTGGGTAGTGGTCTTCCCCTCAAGGGGGTGAGTTGCCACTAGCTGGGGAATCTTCTGGAAGGCAAATGCATATGAGCTGGGCTTTACAGGAGGCAAGCGTTTCTCTATGGAAGGGCAGAGGACTGTGGGAGGTAGGAGGTGGGGCTGGGGCAAAGGGAAGAGGGGAGCAGGGAAGTGGGGTGACTGCACACTGGGAGTGGGGAATCAGATGGAGGAGACGATGAGGAGTTCTGTTAAGTTCAAGATGCCAGTGCCAGTGACCAGCGGGCGATGGTCTCTGGCTTGAGGGACAGGATGGAGGGGAGACTGTCTGAGGATGGACAAAGCTGGAGGGAAACAGCCAATTGCAAAGGCAGGAGGGCGGAAGGGGGAGGGGAGAGGTGGGATCAGCACTGGTATAGACAGGCGGTGCTGCAGCCCAGCTCCTCTCTCTCCTCTGCCTCCTGCCCTCAGGCCCCTTCGAAGGCCCGAATTACCACATCGCTCCCAGATGGGTGTACCACCTCACCAGTGTCTGGATGATCTTTGTGGTCACTGCATCCGTCTTCACAAATGGGCTTGTGCTGGCGGCCACCATGAAGTTCAAGAAGCTGCGCCACCCGCTGAACTGGATCCTGGTGAACCTGGCGGTCGCTGACCTAGCAGAGACCGTCATCGCCAGCACTATCAGCATTGTGAACCAGGTCTCTGGCTACTTCGTGCTGGGCCACCCTATGTGTGTCCTGGAGGGCTACACCGTCTCCCTGTGTGGTAAGCCAGTCGGGGCCCAGGCTCGGCGGAAACCACTCATTCACCCTGCAAGCTCCTCCAGCCACCTCATGATGATCGGGGCCCAGCTGCTCCTGTAGGCCTGTCTCCCTCCCCATCTGCGCCTCACATCCATATACTGAAGGGTTCTGGAGGCTTCCATCTGAACACTCACATTAAATTCAGCTCCCTTGAGTCAAACATACCCTGAGTTCCTACTCTTGAGTCAGGCTCTGCCCGGGGACAGCCAGTTTGGAGCTGTGGGGCTGGTGTGGGAGGAGACAGATACAGAGCTAGACAACCCCAGAACAGTAGGGGGGCGGGGACTCTGGGCACCCTGGACAGAACTCCCCTGCAATTAGGGATGCCTGCTCTTTCAGCTCGCCAGCATCTGCTTTTCCCGGAGGAGACACAATTCCCAGATCCTCTCCCCATCCCCATCACTAATATCTCTGTGGGCCACTATTCCGCTCAGGTCAGGAGACAGTGGCCGAGAGGTACTAGCGTGCCAGGCTCTGTGCTAAGGAGGGGGCCCTATAGCCAGACGGCAACCACACAGTACCATCATCAGTCCTCTCAGACAAGAAGGGGCCTGGGGCAGGTGGTGGAGGAGCGGCTGGGAGCAGTTTGTGGTTCGAGTGGATAGAGTACCACCAAGCAGCCGTGGCTGCTGGACACGAGGTGGGCAGGCCCAGGTCTCAGAGGCCTCAGACGTCATGCCCAGGAGCTGGGACTTTCTTTCAGGAGGAGGAGACCCCACATCCAGCAGCAGCAGCTCCTGCTCTTGCCTCCCCACCACTCTTAGCAGCCTCCCCAACCCCACCCCGTTAACTGCCTCAAATTGTACCCACGATGGCCCAGACCAGAGAGGGTGCTTGTCCAAGTCCCGGCACTACCCCGATAGTGTAGAAGGGGAGCCAAGGGAAGGTCAGGCAGAGAAGGTCCATCCCCAGGTCCGAGTGCTCTCTGCAGCAGGCATGGCCTCGGTGGTCACACGACCCTTCCCGAGTGCCCCCCTGCATCTCCGCCCACGTCTGTCTCCGTTTCTGCCATGGTCTCCCGCTCACCCTTGCCTCTGCTCATGGTCTGTTCTTGGGTCAGTCAGGTGCCAAGCAGCCAGCACTTCCCCACCACTTTTGGTCCACGGATGCCCTTGGCCATCTGGGAAGCCTGTGGACCCCATCTCAGGAGAATTTTTGCAAACGCATAAAATGAGACCCATAGGATTACAAAGGCAGCAAATTATACTGAAATACAGTTATCAAAGTATTAAACATTCATCAGTAACATAGTCTTTAGTTAAAAGCATTTACTGGCCAGGCTCATACCTGTAATCCCAGCACTTTGGGAGGCTGAGGTGGGAGGACTGCTTGCCTCCAAGAGTTTGAGACCAGCCTGGGCAACATAGTGAGACCTCTTCTCTACAACAAATAAAAACAGCTGGGCGTGGTGGCACACCAGTAGTCCCAGCTACTCAGGAGGCTCAGGCGGGAGGATCGCTTGAGCTCTGGAGGTCAAGGCTGCAGTGAGCTATGATGGCACCACTGCACTCAGCCTGGGCAACAGAGTGAGATTCTGTCTCAAAAAGTAAATAAAAATAAAAGCATGTGTTAAACGTATTAGTGACACCACTCAGTATTAAGGTATTAAATAACAGGATCCCGCCTGACAACCACTGTTATTTCAGAGTAGTGATGAACATAAGTGGTATTCGAACTCTCTGCCACCTCTATGAATTGACAGGAAAACATCTGTGACCTCTCTTGCTGACCGAGTCACGGGTACTGCTAATACTGCCACGTTCATAATGGAAGGAAATGCCCAGTGTCTGTTCGAGGTTGGTGGAAAGAAAGATGTCGTTTTTTCCACCTCAGTCCGTGGAGCCCTGAATTCTGTGTGCAGACGTTTGGGGTCTAAGCAGGACAGTGGGAAGCTTTGCTTCCCACCTTTGCTTTGGCTCAAAGCCCTCATCTGTCTGCTCTCCCCATAGGGATCACAGGTCTCTGGTCTCTGGCCATCATTTCCTGGGAGAGATGGATGGTGGTCTGCAAGCCCTTTGGCAATGTGAGATTTGATGCCAAGCTGGCCATCGTGGGCATTGCCTTCTCCTGGATCTGGGCTGCTGTGTGGACAGCCCCGCCCATCTTTGGTTGGAGCAGGTAAGGGTGCGAGGACGCAAGATGGAGTGGGCAGGGTCAGACTCTGTGACCTTAAGGCAAATCACTTCCTTTCTCTGGGCCCCTCTGAGCGTGCAATGTCTATCAATGTATGAATGTGGCTGCAACATAGGAAAGGCTCTGTGGTCCCCGAACCTCTGGAAACATATTTATCCCAAGCACGATCAGGTCACAGGCGCACACGGAGCTCAGGCCATCAGCACAGCTGTCAGTGAACGCATAGCGTGTTTGCATTCCAGGTCTCTTTCTTGCACACGCTGCCGCACCACGCCCCCCACCTTTCAGAGGCTGCTTGGGTCATAGATCCACCTGGGCCTACAGAGCACATGTCCTGGCCAGGCCAAGCAAGTGGCTCAAATGTTTGATTGGAGTGGACTGGGTGGGACAGCATTTCACTGTTTTATCGACAAGCTCGTGAATAAGTTCTCGTGGTGTTTGGAGAGGGAATGTTCTTTCCTCGAGAACGTTCCACAATTCTAGGAAACAAACCTTGTGGAAGCCTGTCTCTGTCTCCCGCCCTCCTCATGCCGCCATGCCCCACACAGCTGCCCGTTATCAAACATGTGTGGTGAGCTGACCCTGGTGGAGGCTCTCCCGCGGGTTATCTCATTTAATCCTCCAGGCCACTAAGTGAGCAGGGCCCTTTATTTCAGTCATGGCCTAGCTGACCTCAGATAAAAGACTCAGCTCTTCATGGGTGTTCTCAGAAGGTCAGGGCAAGAAGGAACCTCACAATCCCTTTGTAAAGAAGGGGAGTGATTGGGAAGATGAAAATGTCCTGGAAGCAGATAGTGGAGATGGTTGCACAGCATTGTGAATGTACCAAAGGTCACAATGGTACTTTTTTCTTTTTTTGAGACAGGGTCTCACTCTGTCACTCAGGCTGGCACAGTGCAGTGGTGTAATTATGGCTCACTGCAGCCTCCACCTCCTGGGCTCAAGTGATCCTCCTACCTCAGCCTCCTGAGGAGCTGGGCCTACAGATGCACCACTTCACCTAGCTAATTTTTTTTATTTTTTGTAGAGACAAGATCTCACTGTGTTCCAGGCTAGTCTTGAACTCCTGGGCTCGAGCAATCCTCCTACCTCTGCCTCCAAATGTGCTGGGACTATAGGCGTGAGCCATTGTGCCTGGCCTATAATGGTACATTTTATGTTATGTGTATTTTACCACAATTCAAAAAGAAGAAAGGCATGACATCTAAAAATGGACAAGGATTAACCAAAATCCTACCCAACGGTTTTGTTTTGGGTTGATGAAAATGTTCTGGAAGCAGAGGTGGTGACTGCCACAGAATTGATCACTTCAAATTGGGTAATCTCATGCAACATGAATTTCACCTCAATTTAAAAAAACAAACCCCACCCGAGTTAGCACCGTGCCTGGGCCGGGGGTCCTGGGTCACCCCACCCTGCATCAGGACTGGCTGCCGGCCCTTCTCTCCAGGTACTGGCCCCACGGCCTGAAGACTTCATGCGGCCCAGACGTGTTCAGCGGCAGCTCGTACCCCGGGGTGCAGTCTTACATGATTGTCCTCATGGTCACCTGCTGCATCATCCCACTCGCTATCATCATGCTCTGCTACCTCCAAGTGTGGCTGGCCATCCGAGCGGTAAGCCCCCCGATTCCTCCTGGCCTCACCCGCCTCCTGCCCCTAAGCTGCTCTGCCCTCAAATGAGTCCACTGAGACTCCTAAACTATTTTTCCAAAAATCCTTAGAGAAGAGGATTTTACCCCTATAAGAAAATATTAAGATCCAGCGATGAGAATCAGGTGATTCCTTTGGGACTGTACCAGTGGCTGCAGGTTCAGCCCCAGCCCCGTTGTCCTCAGCTCTGTGAGACGGGAAAGCACTGCCACTCCCTCCCTGGAGGAGTCCACTAAGGGAACAGAGGTGTGCCTTGCCCCGACCCTGGACAGTTCTCCCCGGGGTGGAAAGGCTGCCTTTCCCACAGAGTAGAGTGGAGCAGCCACATCAGCAAATGACACCTGCAAATCAAGGCGTGTTTTTATGAGGCTGCCACCGGAGTACCCTTGTCCTTTTCATAGGCTGTGGGGCCGACCAAGGAGTGGACCCGAGAGTGCCATTTGCCCCCCTGACCCACTCTCCACCTCCATGTCTGGCCCTCTGCCCTGGGAAGCTGATCCTGTCCACAGCCGTCACCCCCCACCCCTAGACTAGGCTACCACTGGGAGCCCTTCAGGAAGTCAGAGCAAGGGAGGAGAGCCAGGCTGGTTCTTTTCTGTTAGCAGTGGGAGCCCTTTCAGGGTGCTGGCTTTCCTATATGAAGCTGCCTGTGCCCACAATTGGATGGGCATGCCTGCCAAGCTCTCTCTAGAGGAGTCTGTGAGCCTGTGAAAGGCCCCCTCACCCCGTCACCTTGGGGTGAAGGCTCCCACAGGTACCCAACCATGGCTTCGGCTGTATTAGTCTGGGATGGTAGAGCCCCAGCTCCACAATGTGGCCCCAGCTCTGCTGTCTCAGCCATCCCTGCATTCCAGCCCTCACACTCCCTCTCTCATCCCCACTCATCTGCCTGCCGCCAGTCCCTCATCCCTGGCAGGTGGTGGCTGGCCTCTGGCCTCCCCCACAGTGCCTCTGCCTGGAGGCCATTCGTCTCCTTCCTCCCAGCAGGCATGAAGGAGCCACCCCACCAAAGCTGCCCTCAGCTGCCTCACCGTGAGTCCAGGGCAGGATTTAGTCCACAGAGTGGCCAACCTGGCCTAGGAAGCCTGAGGGAAGTGTATGCATTGCTCTGACACTCCCATCGCGCACCCCGCCAGCCACTGCTTTTGCCTCCCCCGCCATCTCCACCTTGTTAACTCCTTCATTCTCCACGCCCAGTCATCAATCAAATCAGGCCTCCATGCTCAGGCCTGAGCGCAGGACAGGACAGTCTGTTAAGGGATCAGGTGAAGCAAAGGAGCTTGTTAGATCCAGCTCTGGGGTCATCTTAGGCCACACCTAGCTGCATGCCACCTCCAATTCTAGAACTCCCCCAGGGCCAGCCTGAGGCAGCCATGTCTGCCTGGGGCCGGCTGTGCTCCACTCAGGGCTGGAAGATGGCTGCTGGGCTCCTCTCCTCCTCCCCACAACTCCCTATGCCTGGGTCACCTGCCTCTTGCTGCCCTCCAACCCCCGACTCACTATCCCTGTCTCCCTTAGGTGGCAAAGCAGCAGAAAGAGTCTGAATCCACCCAGAAGGCAGAGAAGGAAGTGACGCGCATGGTGGTGGTGATGATCTTTGCGTACTGCGTCTGCTGGGGACCCTACACCTTCTTCGCATGCTTTGCTGCTGCCAACCCTGGTTACGCCTTCCACCCTTTGATGGCTGCCCTGCCGGCCTACTTTGCCAAAAGTGCCACTATCTACAACCCCGTTATCTATGTCTTTATGAACCGGCAGGTAAGCAACACCATCAGCAGATCCCACTCAAAATACCGTGTGCCCTAGAAGGGTGCAGTGATGGCCCCACCTGGAATCATGTCTCTGATAAGAAGCCCGCGGAGCATCTGGGGGACCCTCCAGGGAAATGACCGGGAAAGGCTCAGCGTGTGACCCAGCCCCAGCCAGAGCTCCAGCTGGCCCTTAGCAGAAGGCTTAGGTGTGCCCTCTGGAATCCTTTATAGTCTCGGCCTGAGGGTGGCATTTCCCAAAGCGTCTGTGTGCCGTGCGCTCTTCCCTTCCGGTGGCCCTAGAACTATGGCTGCCGAGCTTCAGGGGCTCTCCTGGCGTTCAGACGCTCTAGGAGTTGGTGAGCCCTAGGTACATCCACCCTAGGTGTGCCCCTCTTCTGTTCAGACTCGACCCTTCTCAACCTTCATCTCTCCATTTTCAAACCGTAACCTCTGGAATTTGTCTTCCTATAAGAACAAAAGCCGGCCCTCCTTGGCTACACTGACCAAGAGTTCAAGAGCTTTCACGAGTTCGTGGGTTAGTTCAGGGGGGACGTGCTGTGGTCCTGCCCAGAGGCAGCCTCCTTAGCTGGCATATTGGGCCTCAGCAGCAAGCTGCTCACACACCTAAATCCCCCCACCTCCTGCAGGTTACAGGCTTCATTAAAGCGCAGCTGTGATGTGACTTGATGGTGGCCAGAAAGGTGTGCAGAGGCCTCCCATTTCACCAGGCCCAGTCCATCCCTTCCACTGGGCTCTTCCTTGCTTCTCCATCTTAGAGCCACTCAATGGCTCCAGCCCCTTTGGCTCAGCTTTGACTCACACAAGCCAAGTCTGCAGAGTTCATTAAGGGTTCATTCTCTCTGGTAACTTTTAAACAGTAAGTAGGACCAGGCCTGCAGTGGATTTCCGGGAACTCGCTGTAGCACACTGATGCCCAGAGTGTAGTTCTATCCCTGACCCCTGTTTCCTGACTTTCATGAGGATCTTTTTTAGGTTTCTGGAATCCTAAACTATCTTGCCAAGTACTGTCTTTACTGGATTATTTCCATTCTCCTTTCCAGAACTCCCCCTGGACAGGGGGAGACAGATGTCTGCACTTCTGGACCTCACCAGGCCTCGAACTTTGCTTTTACCCTTTCCACATAATTATCCTGTCCTGCCACATTCTGAGAGAATTTTCTGGAACGCAGTTCCATGAAGACAGCAAATTTTGCTCAGGACAGAGTCTGGCACACAGTGGGTGCTCAAGCAGCAGCTGCTGAATGGATTCCTCAGCCCTATCTCCCAGCTCTTCAGCCGAGCTGATTCTGCTGTTTGTCCCGTTTCTTATGTTATTAATTTCAACCATTATATTTTTTATTTTTGAGAGTTTTGATGATAGAGGGAGTTAGAGCTAGTCAAGAGTAGGCCTGAAATATTTAGAAAATGCCTTTGGTCTGGGTCCTCAAAGCATTGTGGTTACTTCAGGGATGACACAGGACATGATTTGAGACATTCATATGGCCCAGATCTCTTTGGGGTGAAGCAGCAAAGACAGACCCCTCCTGGTACCGGAAGACGCTTGGCTGGAGAGATGAGGTAGGGGCTAGATTGTCATTACCTAGGCCTCACCTTGCCCCAGATCCATGGACTGGAAAAAACATGACAACCACATGCCTTTTCATTAATATTCCTCCGAGCCGCTCACCAGACAGTCTGGGGACAGGTCACCACTGCCCCTTAGCTGTCACTGTGGATGAGTGTCATGGGGCTGCCGTCACAAACTACCACAAACTCAGTGGCTTCAAACCACAGAAATGGATTCTCTCAGGGTTCTGGAAATCTTGAGTCTGAAATCAGGGTGTTGGCAAATGGAAAGGTTCCCTATGGAGGCCGGGAGGGAGAAGCAGCTGCAGGGCTGCCGGCAGTCTTTGGCGTTCCTTGACTCCAAGGTGTGTCACCCCAGTCTCTGCCTTCATCTTCACGTGGCCTTCTTCCCTCTGTCTGCGTGTCCGTGTCCAAGCGTTCCTTTTCTTATCAGGACACCAGTCATTCGATTAGGGCCCACCCTGCTCCAGTGTGACCTCATCTTAACCTGAACACATCTTTTGGGGGACCCACTTCAACCCAGTGTAGTCACCATCAACTGCTAAGTCAGATGACATCCCCGCGTGTGAGGGAGAAATAATCCAAGCCTTCCTCCATCCCCCATGGGATTCGGAATGGGTGAAGGGAAGGCTCGGGCACGTACATTCAGCACAGTGCTCCACCCTTCCCTGCTCTGCTCAATAACGCTTTCTGTCCTTCCAGTTTCGAAACTGCATCTTGCAGCTTTTCGGGAAGAAGGTTGACGATGGCTCTGAACTCTCCAGCGCCTCCAAAACGGAGGTCTCATCTGTGTCCTCGGTATCGCCTGCATGAGGTCTGCCTCCTACCCATCCCGCCCACCGGGGCTTTGGCCACCTCTCCTTTCCCCCTCCTTCTCCATCCCTGTAAAATAAATGTAATTTATCTTTGCCAAAACCAACAAAGTCACAGAGGCTTTCACTGCAGTGTGGGACCACCTGAGCCTCTGCGTGTGCAGGCACTGGGTCTCGAGAGGGTGCAAGGGGGATAAAGAGGAGAGAGCGCTTCATAGACTTTAAGTTTTCCCGAGCCTCATGTCTACCGATGGCGTGAAAGGATCCTGGCAAAACAGAAGTGTGAGGCAGGTGGGCGTCTATATCCATTTCACCAGGCTGGTGGTTACATAATCGGCAAGCAAGAGCTGTGGAGGGGCTTGCTGGATGCCCTCAGCACCCAGGAGGAGGGAGGGAGCTAGCAAGCTAAGGCAGGTGGCCCTCCTGGCCCCTTAAGGTCCATCTGCTGGAGGCCCAGAGTCCTTGGAGTACAGTCTACACCTGGAGGGGACCCATTCCTGCCAGTCTGTGGCAGGGATGGCGCGCCACCTCTGCCAGGCCAGGACCCCAAGCCCGATCAGCATCAGCATGGTGCAGGTGCACAGGCGTGAGCTGATCAGTGACGAGGGGCAGGCACACAAGGTGGAGACAAAGACCAAGAGGACGGTTGCCAGTGAGAGGCGCGGACTCAGGAACTTGAACAACATCTGCGGGGGACGGCTTTGGAGGTGCTCCGCTGCCTCCAGTTGGGTGACTTGCTGTAGCATCTCCAGCTTGGATATTCGGCTCTTGAAGGTCTCCGTGATCTCCTGCAGGAGACGAAAATGCACGCACCAGAAGTCAGCACAGAGTTGTGGTCGTTTATTGAGTTCTTAGGGGTGAGCAGAAAGCACTGTGGAGTGGGTATTCGAGGAGGGAAGCAGAGAGCCTAGAGCACATTCAGGGCAGAGGGGAGGGCGCAGGCTCTCCAGCAACAGGGAAAGCTTCATCTGACCCGGCTGCACTCCCCCATCCACTGTCTCCCGAAGCTGAGGACCTGGTCAAGACACAGCTACCCAGGGACGGGGGTGGGCGCTATGGGAATGGAAAAGTGAGGAGAGGGAAGCCAGGTCTAAGGAGGGGTTCTGAGAGGGCGCTCCCTACACCTGCAGCCGCAGCAGAAGCAGCTCCACCCCAGATCTCCCGAGTCAGAGGCTCACGGGTGAGCACTGCAGCACCAGAGTGGCAAAAGCAGCTAAGCCAGATGGTGGGAAGCGGAGCGTGAGTGTAAAGATCAGATGCTGCTAGCTCTGAAACAAATGTGTGTGGCCATCGAACCCTCAGGAGGGGGCAGCTCGAGGACCCGTGTCTTGCTTTGGTTTGGGGGTATCAGAATAGATTCGCTCATCCCTCCAGTCTTCTTGCAAGGCTCCCCCAGGAGGTTCTCACCCATATTTCCTTGGCTCTCTCATAGGATAGATAGGCCATTCTCTCTTCGCTGCAGGCCAGATTGTGTTTGAGGTTGTAAATCTCATTCAGCTGTCCCTGCAGGCGACCATTCACCTGTTCTTCCATCAATGCTTGCCTTGGGAGCAAAAGAGAAAGTGAGATTCCTTCAGTACCTCATCCAGAGCTCATGCCAACAGCGAGCGGTCCTGACCTAGACTAGATTCGGGTTCAGCTTCTGCCTTCCTCCCCGCTCCCCAGGCTCTAGGGAAAGCCTGCCTCCCACTCCAGGTCTGCCTGGGAACACCCCAAACACACACCAGCCACACGCACACCAATATTCATATATATTTTATATGTAGTTACTCTTTTGTAACAGCTTTACAAAAATAGCCACAGACTAGAAGTTGTAGAAATGACAGTGTGAACTATCTGTGTGTGCTCTTCAGTTCCGCAAATCCCCCAGGACCAGTGTTGAGCACGAAGTCTAGCCTGCAGTTTAGCCTGCAGTTACTCTATAGAAACATGGTGACTATAAGGATTGAAAAGCCACAAAAGACCACAGATTCCAGTACAATTCCATTAGTTACGAAATGTCCAGAATAGGCAAATCCATAGAGACAGAAAGCAGATTAGTGGGTGCCAGGGGCTGGGGGTGGGGGATGGGCAGTGGCTGCTAATGAGTACAGGGTTGCTTTGGGGCTGGTGAAAATATTGTAGGACCGGGCACGGTGGCTCACGCCTGTAATCCCAGCACTTTGGGAGGCCAAGGCGGGCGGATCATGAGGTCAGGAGATCGAGACCATCCTGGCTGACACGGTGAAACCCCGTCTGTACTAAAAATACAAAAAAAATTAGCCGGGCGTGGTGGCGGACGCCTGTAGTCCCAGCTACTCGGGAGGCGGAGGCAGGAGAATGGCGTGAACCCGGGAGGCGGAGCTTGCGGTGAGCAGAGTTCACACCACTGCACTCCAGCCTGGGCGACAGAGCGAGACTCCGTCTCAAAAAAAAAAAAAAGAGAATATTGTGGAATTAGATAGTGGTGATGGTTGAACAACTCTGTGACTATACGAAAAACCAGTGAATTGTACACTTTAAATTGGTGAATTTTATGGGATGTGAATTATATCTCAATAGAGCCGTTATTTAAACAAAAAGAGAAAAGTGAATCATGGCAATAGTTGCGCAACTCAGTAAATTTACTAAAAACCATTGAAATGTAGTTAAAATGGTGCATTTTATAATATGTAAATTATATCTCAATAGAGCTGTTAAAAAACCACAAGCAGGCCAGGCGCAGTGGTTCACAGTTGCAATCCCAGCGCTTTGGGAGGCCAAGGCAAGGGGATTGTTTGAGGCCAGGAGGAATTCAACACCAGCCTGGGCAACACAGTGAGACCCTGTCTCTACAAAAAAAATTTTTAATTATCTGGGTGTGGTGGCACGTGCCTGTAGTCTCAGCTACTCTGGAGGCTGAGGCAGGAGGACCTCTTGAGTCCGGGAGTTCGAGGCTGCAGTGAGCTGCCATCACGCCACTGCACTCCAGCCTGGGCAGCAGAGTGAGACCCTATCTCTAAAAGAAAACAATCACTACCTGTTGTGTATATAATTATATAAGTAGTAAAAGTATAAAACCATGCATGGAAAAGATAAGCACCCAAATGAGAATGGTGAGGCCAGTATAGCAAGGCCAGAATAGCAAGGAAGGGAGATGGTGCTGGAAAGGGGTAATGAGGGCTTCAACAGAATATTTTAAAGTTTTATTTCCTAAAAAAATAAGATTTGAAGTGAATATGGCAAATGTTAAGATTTCAGAAAGCTGGGGCTGTTAATTATGTTATCCTTACATTTTCCCTTTGCTTGAAATACTTCATAATTTAAAAACTTCTATGAAGTTCCCCTTTTGGCACCACAAAGAACGGGCCAGAAGGACAGAGGCCAGGGGGCCAGTGAGGGGGCTCTGGCACCACCGCTTACGTAGAAGAGAGAAGGCACCAGAGCGTGATGGAACCCATAGACTGGCAGGGCTGCCGCCCCAGGAGGCCCAGGAGGGTGGCGGCAGGCCTCAGGTGCAGGAGGTCTAAACGGTGGTGCTGACAGAGACGGGGAAAACAGTGACGACTTCTATTCGGTCCCACTCCAAGGACTTGACCAACACCCACACGGAGAAATCCCCCGGGCACTGAATAAGCTGACAGCTCATTTGTTGAAAGCCAATTTGTCAAAAGCTGGTTCCTCGCAGCATTTCAAGGAATATTCCATTTGTCTCTGCCCCAGGTCCCTGTTAAGAAGAGAGTCGGTGGACAACATGGACTAGGCCACTGCTCACAGAGAGGGGGAGTGGGTCGGCAGGATGGTCACCCCGAAAATAGATTCCTCATTACTGTCTTTCCATTTACATGAATGATCTAGCTGTGAGAACATTCAAGATTTTAACTGTCCTCAGGAATATGAAGTCAATCTTCATCAATGTATTGGTAAAGATACATGAAGATATTCTTCAGTGCATTCTTGAAGAGTCTCTTCAGATGTCAGTAAACAATATTTTCATAAGGATATTCTCTCAGTCTCCCCTTCTCTCTGGCCCCCATCTCCTGGCCCTCTGGCAGCCGCGCTCCCTTCTCTTCCTTGGTCAAGGACCCCCCTCTCTCCACCTCCTACAGTCACAGAAGCAAATGGACAACTCTGGAGAATGCTCTTATGAACACAAAACGATGACCAGTCAACCCAGACACCCTCAAGACAGACCGAAGGTGTTAAGACCACCCTCTCCAACACAAAGTGTTCTAAACTTTATTGTTTTTTTCAAAATAGTGTTGTTGTTTTTTTTTTTTGAGACGGATCTCCTTCTATTTGCCCAGGCTGGAGTGCAGTGGCACGATCTTGGCTTGCTGCAACCTCCGCCTCCCGGGTTCAAGTGATTTTCCTGCCTCGGCCTCCTGAGTAGCTGGGACTACAGGTATGCGCCATCATGCCGGGCTAATTTTTTGTATTTTTAGTAGAGACAGGGTTTCACCATGTTGGCCAGGCTGGTCTCCAACTCCTGACCTCAGGTGACCCGCCTGCCTCGGCCTCCCAAAGTGCTGGGATTACAGGTGTGAGCCATTGGGCCCAGCCAGAAAGAGTATATTCTTGGTCATTTCTGAGAATTTGCTTTTGGCAAATTGAGCTAGAGCCTAATCATGGCCCACAACTTGGAGGAAAAGTCTGAGACGGAGAAACAGCTGTAGGAGGGGTCAATAGCCCAGGTGCAATCGGTGCATGTGGCCAGGATGGATGAGCTCACTCTGAGCAAATGTGCCAAAGCAAGGGGCCCTGGGGAGCTGGGGGAAGAGCCAACAAAACAGAAGCGAAAGCAGGAGGAAATTCGCCAGGACGGCTCACACAGGAACCCAGAGGATGTAGGGATACAGTGGAAAGGTTGAACATACATGTAACTGGGGCCTTAGAAGGGGAAAAATGAGAGACTAGGGCAGAGTCACTATTTGAAAATATAATGGCTGAAAACGTCCAAAACTGACAAAAGACATCAAGCCATAAACCCAAGTAGCAATGCGAAGCCCAAGCAGGATGAATGCAAAGAAAATCACACCAAGGGGAGAGTCAGCGGCACAAAAAAGAAGAGAGAAAGAAAATCACGCCAAACATCATCATAGCAAAACCACTAAACAACAAAGAAAAACAAAAGATCTTAAAAGGAGCCTGAGGAAAACAAAACTGTGATCCGAGGAGCAACAAGAAGACTGGCAGCTGCCTTTTCAACAGAAACCATGGAAGTCAGAAGGGAATGATTTGTTCAAAATGCTTATTATTTCCAAAAATTAAGTGCCAACTTAGAATTCTATGTCCAGCAAAAAATATCCTTCAGGGCCGGGTGTGGTGGCTCACGCCTGTAATCCCAGCACTTTGGGAGGCCGAGGCAGGCAGATCACGAGGTCAGGAGTTCAAGACCAGCCTGGCCAACATGGTGAAACCCCGTCTCTACTAAAAATACAAAAACTAGCCGGGCGTGGTGGCACATGCCTGTAATCCCAGCTACTGAGGAGGCTGAGGCAGGGGAATCGCTTGAACCTGGGAGGCAGAGGTTGCAGCGAGCCGAGATCTCACCATTGCACTCCAACCTGGGTGACAGGGTGAGGCTCTGTCTCACAAAAAAAAAAAAAAGAATTCCTTCAGAAATAAAAAGGAATGATGGCATGTGTGAGGCAATAAGGTGACAGTGACTGCATATTTAACATTGTGGACTTGTTTTAAAACATTTTTGGTATGGTATTTAGGCTATGTTAACAAAATGATCCATATTTCAGGTTCACACTGAAATATTTACAGATGAACTGATATAATGTCTGTGCTTTGCTTCAACGCAATAGGGATGAGAGGAACCAGTTCAGAGAGCAGATCAGACCTTAGGTCAGACCTCCTCAGAGATCCCAAGATGCAGGATGCTGTGACATGGAGGAGAAGTCGGGGAAAAAATGGAAGTTAACACGACCCCAGCCTGCAACAAAGCCCTAAGCAGATACCTTGAGGAAAGTCAGCCCGAGGCTGGATCCCTGGGGCTGAGAGGTCACAGAGCAACACTGAAGCCTCTAGGAACCATAGCCTGTTATCTCCAAGCCTCGTCTGAAAGCGAAACATACCAGAACAGTCTTGGGACAGAGGAGCTAGGGTCTGGATGCCCCCAAGGACCTCGTGTCCAGGAGGGAAAGAAAAACATGGAGACCTGGCATATTCACTTCCGGGCGTTTTCAATATGACAGGAGGCTATAAGAAAATTTCACGACTGCCCACTTGTGGATACAGCCAGAAATACAAAGCAAGAGTGAAAGTTTTGCCTACTCGGCACCTGAGTAGCTTCTTTTTTATTCAATTTTTATTGAGGTAAATTTCATGTAACATAAAATGAATTATTTTAAGGTGAACAATTCAGCGGCATTTAGCACATGTGGTGTTGTGCAACCACCATGGCTATTAATAGTTCCAAGACATTGGCCGGCTGCAGTCATGCCTGTAATCCCAGCACTTTGGGAGGCCGAGGCGGGCGGATCACGAGGTCAGGAGATCGAGACCATCCTGGCCAACACGGTGAAACCCCGTCTCTACTAAAATATGCAAAAATTAGCTGGGCGTGGTGGTGCATGCCTGTAATCTCAGCTACTCAGGAGGCTGAGACAGGAGAATCACTTGAATCCGGGACGCAGAGGTTGCAGTGAGCTGAGATCAAGCCACTGCACTCCCTCCAGCCTGGGCAGCAGAGCAAGACACCACCTCAAAAAAAAAAAAAAGCCATTAACAACTTTCTTTCTTTCTTTCTTTCTTTCTTTCTTTCTTTCTCTTTTTCTTTCTCTCTCTCTCTCTCTCTCTCTCTCTCTCTCTCTCTCTCTCCCTCTCTCTCTCTCTCTCTCTCTCTCTCTCCTCTCTCTCTCTCTCCTCTCTCTCTCTCTCTCTTTCTGTTTTTTTTTTTGAGACAAGTTCTCACTCTGTCCTCTATCACCCAGGCTGGAGCACAGTGGCACAATCATAGTTCACTGCAACATAAAACTCTCGGGCTCAAGCGATCCTCCTGTCTCAGCCTCCCATGTAGCAGGGACTACAGGCATGTGCCACCAAGTCCGGTTAACACTTTTAAAATTTTTTGCAGAGATATGGTCTCACTTTGTTACCCAAGCTGGTCTCAGACTCCTGGGCTGAAGCAATCCTCCTGCCTCGACCTCCCAAAGCACTGGGATTACAGCCATAAGCCACCACATCTGGCCCCATTTTTCTTTACGATCTTTCAAGGACTTAGTTTGCACATAGGAAGCAGAAAGGAATTGTAAATTCAGTTCCATCAGCATCTACTTGGGGCTTACACACAAGTATTAATTAATTCTCACAACAGTTCCAACAATAGTGGGATCATTTTTACCTCCATGTTACAGATGTGGAAACTGAGGATTGCAAACTTGAAGCACCTCGTCCAAGGTCATTCAGTAAATACCTTGCAGAGAGGAGGCTGGGCCAGGCCTAAATCCAGAATCAGCCCTCCTGGCCCTGCCCTGATGTTCCCAAGACACAGCAGATAGAGTTCTGACATACATGGAGGAGGGAGGCAGCCCAGAGGGCGAGCTGGGTCCCTTCAGGAAGGGAGGAAAAGCAGCATCCAGACTGATCCATGAAACAGGTACTCACAGAACAGCCATCATGTGCCAACATGTCTTTGGGCAGTCACTCAGACACAGTGGCCGACCTGAATGTGCTGATATTTTGACGAGAACAATACAACACAAATGAATACCTACACAAGGGAGAGCAGTTTAGGCGGTGAGTGCTGCGAGAAAGGAAAAAGTAGGGGAGTGACAAAGACTGGTCCGGAGTATATAAAGAGCTCTGACAACTCAACAATAAAAAGACAATCCAAGTTGAAAACAAGCCAAAGACTTATTGGCTGATAAGCACATGAAAAGGGGTTCAGCATCATTAATCGTCAGAGGCAGGGTCACACACCCACTAGTCTCATGGGCTAGGATACTGGTTCTCAACCAGGGGCAATTTGCCGGCCCCCCCCTCCCCAAACAAGGGACATTTGGCAATCTCTGGACAGACATTTCTGGTTGTTACAAATAGGTGGGGCACGGTAGGCTAAAATTGCCCCCCTAGGCTGGGCACGGTGGCTCACATCTGTAACCCCAGCACTTTGTGAGGCTGTGGTGGGCAGATTACCTGGGCTCAGGAGTTCAAGAACACCCTGAGCAACAGGGTGAAACCCCGTCTCTATGAAAAATACAAAAAAATTAGCTGGGTGTGGTGGCACGCGCTTGTAGTCCCAGCTACTTGGGAGGCTGAGGCAGGAGAATTGCTTGAACCCAGGAGGCGGAGGTTGCAGTGAGCCAAGATCGTGCCACTGCACTCCAGCCTGGGTGACAGAGAGAGACTCTGTCTAAAAAAGAAAAAAACAAAAAGCCCCTCCGCAAAAGATATCTGTGTCATAATCCTTGGAAACTGTGAATGTTACCTTCTATGACCAAAAAAGGGGGCTTTCCAGAAGTGGTGAGTTTAAGGGTATTGAGATGCAAAGATTATCCTAGATTATCCTGGTGGCCCTAAATGCAATCACATGTATGAGAGAGAGGCAGAAGGACATTAGACACACACAGACGAGAATGTCATGTGAAGACAGAACACAGGTTTGAAGATGCTGGCCTTCAGGACAGGAATGATGTGGCCACAAAATTAAGGAATTTGGCAGCCACCAGAAACTGGAAGAGGCAAAGATCAGTTTGTCCCCTAGAGCCTCCAATGAGTGTGTGTCCTCCTCGCCTGATTTCAGCCCAGTGAAACGGATTTCGGCCTTCTAGCCTCCAGGACTGCGAGAGAATAACTTTCTATTATTTTAAGCCATGAAGTTGGGGGCAATTTGTCACGGCAGCATCAATTAATTCACGGCACCACTGGCATCAAGTAAGTGGAGACCAGGGATGCTGCTCATCATCCTAGAATGTACAGGACAGCCCCGCACAACAGAGAATCATTCGGTCCAAAATGTCGACAGTGCCAAGGTCGAGAGAACATGGGCTAGGGTGATGAAATTTTGGAGTCTAATTTCACCAAGTTGTGGCTGAACTTAAGAGGCTGACATTTAAAAGACTGATCTTGCCAAACGTTGGCAACTGGAACTCTTATACACTCCTAGCGGGACTGTAAAATGGTATAGCCATGTCGGAAAACAGTTCCTCTTTTTTTTTTTTTTGAGATGGAGTTTCACTCGTTGCCCAGGCTGGAGTGCAATGGCACGATCTCGGCTCACCGCAACCTCCGCCTCCTGAGTTCAAGCGATTCTCCTGCGTCAGCCTCCCGAGTAGCTGGGATTACAGGCATGTGCCACCACGCCGGGCTAATTTTGTATTTTTAGTAGAGACAGGGTTTACTCCATGTTGTTCAGGCTGGTCTCGAACTCCCGACCTCAGGTGATCCGCCTGCCTCAGCCTCCCAAAGTGCTGGGATTACAGGGGTGAGCCACCGCGCCCGGCCTTCCTCTTTCTTAAAAAGTTAAGCATACTGCTATGGGGTACATGTCCCCCCCAAAACTCGTGTTGAAATTTAATGGCCATGTGATGGTGTTAAGGGGTGGGACTGGTAAGAGGCGATTAATATTAATATTGTTATCATGAAAGTTTGGCCCCCGCTCGCTCTCTCACGCCCTCTTGCCCTTCTGCCTTCCGCCATAGGATGATGCCGTACAAAGGTCCTCACCAGCTGCCAGCGCCTTGACATTGAACTTCCTTTCTTTATAAACCACCCAGCCTGCGGTACTCTGTTACAGCAACAGAAAGTGGGACTAAGACACATAACACTTCCCTGTTATCTAGCAATTCCATATATGAAAGCATATGTTCACAGAAAGACTTGTGCGAGAACGTTCATAGCAGCTTTATTCAGTCGCCCCAACTGGCAGCGGACCAGGGCATAAGCAACCTGCGGCGTCTCCATGCAATGGAAGGCTGCCAAGCAATACGAAGCCATGAGCTACTCACTTCACACAGCTTGGGTGGATCTCAAAACAATTCCACGGAGCGAAAGCCGCCAGACACAAAGCACTGCGTGCCGTGCGATTCCACTTACGTGAAGTTCAAAAGGAGATGAAGCTAGAGTGACAGAAACCGGAACAGTGGCCAATTATGGGAGACGGGCATTCACTGGAAGAGGGTATGAGGGTACTTTCTGGGGTGGTGGCAAAGCTCTTTATTGGGATTTTAGCTGCCCAGGTGTAAACCTTTGTCAAAACTCGTTAAACTGTATGCCTAAACTTAAATGCAATTTCACTGCATAAAATTTACCTCAAAAAGGCCAGGCGCGGTGGCTCACTCCTGTAATCCCAGCACTTTGGGAGGCCGAGGCAGGTGGATCGCCTGAGGACAGGAGTTCGAGACCAGCCTGACCAACATGGAGAAACCCCATCTCTACTAAAATTACAAAATTAGCCAGGCGTGGTGGTGCCTGCCTGTAATCCCAGCTACTCGGGAGGCTGACGCAGGAGAATCGCTTGAACTCAGGAGGCGGAGGTTGCAGTGAGCCGAGATTGCGCCATTGCACTCCGGTCTGGGCAACAAGAGCAAAACTCCATCTAAAAAAAACAAAAAAACAAAAACTTTACTTCAAAAAACCCCGCTTCCAAAAGAATAAAAGAAGAGGCCATTTGAACGTGGTAGCCTGGGAAGTCCCTTTGAGGAGAGGACATCAGAGCAGAGCCTAAAGGACAAGCTGAGTGTGGGAGTTTCCTCTGGCTGCCATCACAAAGCGTTACAAACTTTGAGTGGCTTTCCCAGCAGAGATGGCCTCTCTCCTGGCTGGGGGTCCAGCAGTCCGAGAGGAAGGCCCAGGCTGGGCGGGCTCCTGCCGAGGACCGAGAAGGCGCCTCCACTCGGGGCCTCTGTCCCAGCTTCTGCTCTGCTGCCCACCTGCGGGCTTCCTTGGCTTCTGCCACGGCAGGTCGGCCTCAGCCTCTGTCTCCACACGGCGCTCTCCCTCTGGGTGTGTCCGTGTCTCCGTCTCCCCTTTCTGTCAGGACACAGGTCACACTGCATTAGGGCCCACCCCTCTGCAGAATGACCTCATCCAGATCTAACTCATCACGTCCGCAACGACCCTGTTTCCAAATAAGCCGGTTCCTTGTCACCAAGTGGAGCCTTCAATGAGTTGATGCCAAGGCAGGTCTAGGGAACTAGAAATGGGGCAAGAAGCAATGTCCTCCAGCCAGGTGTGGTGGCTCACACCTGTAACTCCAGCACTTTGGGAGGCCGAGGCGGGTGGATCGCTTCAGGTCAGGAGTTCGAGACCCCTGGTCAACATGGCGAAACCCCATCTCTACTGAAAAATACAAAAAGTAGCCAGGCATGCTGGCGTGTGCCTGTAATCCCAGCTACTCGGGAGGCTGAGGCAGGAGAATCGCTTGAACCCGGGAGGTGGAGGTTGCAGTGGGCCGAGATCGTGCCACTGCACTCCAGCCTGGGGGACAGAGTGAGACTCCATCTCATAAAAAAGACAAAAAAAAGAAGCAATGTGCTCCTCACAGTCGGGTTTTCTCCCAGGACCATTTTACTCATCCAACAAAGAACAAAGATGTCCCAGCAACCCATCTACCCCAGGCATTGACCACTCGGGCTACAAAGGTGAAGGAGGAGGGTGGGGCTGGGCAGGCTGGGACTGGCTATGGACCCCAGAGAGTAAAGATGGTTTTGCTGGCACCATACCCCCAACTCCAGGACTTGTCCATGCCCTGTCTACGGGGCCAAGACTGAAACCTGACTGCCTTTCACCATCAAGCAGAAGTCAGCTGCGCATCCTGTAAGAGATGGGGAAGGACCCCCAAGACCCTCCCAGAGCCCCCTGGCTCATTAGGAGGCTAGAGGGGGCCTCCTGCAACTCTGCATGCAAGGTGCCCAGATGAGACCTGGCCAGTCGAGACTTTTACTTGAAGGCTCCCCATGCCTTCCTGGGGTGCCATCTCTTCTACCAATGAACATTTTCTGAGTTTCTCAAGCCTTCTTTCCTCCTGACCCACGAAGAAACTGAGGGACCGGGGCCTTCTGGTCCCCCAGGAGACTGGCTTGTGCTGAGGAGGTAGGCCGCTCACTGTGCATCTTCTCGGAGATCTGAAGCTCCTCCTATTTCCACAAGAAAGAAAGGGAAGCTTGGCAAAGACCCTTCCATCCAGAATCATCAAGTTCGCGACGCCCGTGCTTCTCCTCAGCACACAGAGAGGAGAGTTACCAGGGGCCTCAAGCAACTCCAGCGGAAGCAGTCACAGTCCTTCCAGGACCCAGGAACGTCCTCTGCAAGGACCTACAAACCCAGACCTCATGAAGGAGGAGACCCCAGGGCCAGCCCCAAGCCTCCTGAGTCTAATTGTTGCTGTGATAGAGACCCTGCACGTCGCAGAATCAAAAAGAATATATTGTGGGTTTTTTTTTTTTTACCACAATCAATTAAAAAATGCATTAAAAAGTAAGAACTGTCCAGGCACAGTGGCTCACATCTGTAACCCCAGTACTTGGGGAGGCCGTGGCCAGGTGTTCAAGACCAGCCTGGGCAACATAGCAAGATCCCATCTCTACAAATAATAATAATTTTTAAAAAGTTAGCCAGGCATGGTGGCACATGCTTTGTACTCCCAGCTACTCGGGAGGCTGAGGCAGGAAGATCGCTTGAGCCCGGGAGTTCAAGGCTGTAGTGAACTATGACTGCATGCAGCCTGGGCAACAGAGACCCTGAAGAAAAAGAAAGAAAGAAAGAGAGATAGAGAGAGAGAGAGAGAGACAGAGAGAAAGGAAGAAAGAGAAAGAGAGAAAGAAAAAGAAAGAAAGAGAGAGAGAGATGGAAAGAAAGAGAGAAAAAGAAAAAGAAGAAAGAAAGAAAGAAAGAAAGAACTTTTGCCTATCCAAAGACTCAGGAAAAATAAAAAAGAAAGCCAGCCCTCATAATGAGATACCACTTCACAGTTACATCTGTTGGAAAAAAAAAAAAAGGATAACAACAAATGTTGGCAAGGATGTGAGGCAACTGGAAGCCTTCTGCATTGCTGGTGGGAAGATGGAGCTGCGCGGCTGCTGTGGGAAGACTCCTCTAAACGCTACACCTGGAGTCACCACGGGGTCCAGCAATTCTACTCCTGATTATAGACCCCAAAGAATTGAAAACTGGTGTTCAAACAACTGGCATGTATCTGAGTGTTCAGCGCAGGGCTTCTCACAATAGCCAAAAGGTGGAAACAACTCAAATCTCCATCCACTGATGGACAGATAAACAAAATGTGGTCTACCCATGCACTGGAATATTAGTCAGCCGTCAAGAGAATGAAGTACTGATACGTGCTACAACATTAGTGAACCTTGAAAACAGTGAAAGGAGCTAGACACAAAAGCCCACATATCGTATGGTCCCATTTATATGAAAAGTCCAGAAGAGGCAAACCCACGGAGACAGAAAGCAGATTAGGGAACGCCTGGAGCCGAGGCTAGGAGTGACCGTGTAGTGAGTCTGGAGGTCTCCTTCTGGGGTGATGAGAATGTTAGACAACCGGACAGAGGTGATGGTTGAACCACACTGCAGATGTACTTAATGCACTGAATTACATGCTTCCAAATGGTTAATTTCACATTACGTGAAATTATGTGAATTCTACATCAATTTTTTTAAGTAAGCCCTTGTCATAAATGCGTTTAATACAGTTGCTGCCTCAGCATCCAACTTTAGCAGTTGTACCCTGTC